>NC_000012.12:129207124-129508748 GCF_000001405.40 Homo sapiens | reverse complement strand
TTTTTGAGACTCTTAGTTTATTCAGTATGTGTATTTTGGGGGATACATTTACAAGAAGTGTGATATATGCAATAGCTCCTTTAATTTTTATAATAATCTGGTGAGATCGATATTCTTATTTCCTCTTTATGGGGAGGAAATGTAAGGACAAGAAACGAAGAAATTTTCCTACGGTCATGAGGCAGGATGTCCTAGCTGTAGAATTTGAATAGTCTCTTTCTCTTCTGCGATACGTTCTGTTTGCAACGAGAAGGAGGAGGAAGAGGAAGAGAAGGAGAAGAGCAAATATTTTACAAATAAGAGCTAATAGTCATTGTCTGCTTTCTTTATACTTTTGTATTTTCACTTATCCAGTGCTTCAGCTAGCACACAATTCATGCCTAATTGTTGCCACTGTTGCTGTTGAACCACATTTATTTTCTCCACAAATATTCCCAGTTTCTTTTTTAATAAGATATTTCTTCCATGCTTACACTTGAAAAAATTTCCAAAGCATGATGGTTTCAATGGATTGTATAACTTGTAGAGAGTATTTTATAATATAAGTTAAACTCTATAGCACAATATTGATAACGCTTTACAGTCTAGATTCTAATACTCTGTTCAACATGTTTTGCCCATAAATTCCATCATAACTGCCAGCTGTTCCCAAATCTAGTGAGAGCTTCCATTGCTGTTCCCATCTTCCTAAAGATAGGATAAATCAGCTTATCACAAATCTGATGGGTTGGAATTGTATACTCAGGAGTACACAAAAGAAGGATAGTCTGCAGGCCATGATGCTGAGTTGATAGTGGACCAAATAGAATATGTGGTGGAGTTTTGGTGTCTAACATATACAGTGTTAGACATGAAAATCAATAGACTTTCTATTTTTTAATGTTTTTTGTTTCCATAGGTTATTGGGGAACAGGTGGTGTTTGGTTACATGAGTAAGTTCTTTAGTGGTGATTTGTGAGATTTTGGTGCACCCATCAACCGAGCAGTATACACTGCACTCAATTTGTAGTCTTTTATCCTTCACCCCCTTCCTACCCTTTCCCCTTGAGTCCCCAGAATCCACTGTGTCATTCTTGTGCTTTTGCATCCTAGTAGCTTAGCTCCTGTTTATGATTGAGAACATACGATGTTTGGTTTTCCATTCGTGAGTTACTTCACTTAGAATTGTAGTCTCCAATCTCATCCAGGTTGCTGCGAATGCCATTAATTCATTACTTCTTATGGCTGAGTATTTCATTATATTTATGTGCAACACTTTCTTTATGCATTCGTTGATTGATGATCATTTGGGTTGGTTCCACATTTTTGCAATTGCAAATTGTGCTGCTATAAACATGCACGTGCAAGTATCTTTTTCATATAATGACTTATTTTCTTCTGGATAGATATCCAGTAGTGGGATTGCTGGATCAAATGGTAGTTCTACTTTTAGTTCTTTAAGGAATCTCCACACTTTTTTGCATAGTGTTTGTACTAATTTACATTCCCACCAGCAGTGTAGAAGTATTCCCTGTTCACCACTTCCACACCAACATCTATTATTTATTTTTTATTTTTTTATTATGGCCATTATTGTAGGAGTAAGGTGGTATCACATTGTGGTTTTGATTTGCATTTCCCTGATCATTTGTGATGTTGAGCATTTTTTCATATGTTTGTTGGCCATCTATATATCTTCCTTTGAGAATTTTCTATTCATGTCCTTAGCCCACTTTTTGATGGGATTGTTTGTTTTTTTCTTGCTAATTTGTTTGAGTTTGTTATAGATTCTGGATATTAGTCCTTTATCAGATGTGTAGATTGTGAAGATTATCTCCCACTCTGGGTTGTCTGTTTACTCTGCTTACTGTTTCTCTTGCTGTGCAAAAGCCTTTAGTTTAATTAAGCCCCAGCTATTTGTCTTTGTTTTTATTGCATTTGCTTTTGGGTTCTTAGTCATGAAATCCTTGCCTAAGCCAATGTCTAGAAGAGTTTTTCTGATGTTATCTTCTAGAATTTTTGTAGTTCCAGGTCTTAGATTTAGTCATTCATACATCTTCTCTTGATTTTTGTATAAAAATGAGAGATGAAGATCCAGTTTCATTCTCCTACATGTGGCTTGCCAGTTATCCCAGCACCATTTGTTAAATATGGTATCCTTTCCCCACTTTATGTTTTTCTTTGGTTTGTCAAAGATCAGTTGGCTGTAAGTATTTGGGTTTATTTCTGGGTTCTCTATTCTGTTCAATTGGTCTGTGTGCCTATTTTTATACCAGTACCATGCTGTTTTGGTGACTATCGCCTTATAGTATAGTTTGAAATAGGGTAATGTGATGCCTCCAGATTTGTTATTTTTGCTTAGTCTTGCTTTGGCTATGTGGGCACTTTTTTGGTTCCATATACATTTTAGGATTGTATTTTCCAGTTGTGTGAAGAATGATGGTGGTATTTTGAAGGGAATTGCATTCAATTTGTAAATTGCTTTTGGCAATATGGTTATTTTCACAATATTGATTCTAGACAAACAAATGGTGAGAGAATTTGCTACGACCAAACCAGCACTACAAGAACTGCTAAAAGGAGCTCTAAATCTTGAAACAAAGCCTGAAAACACATCAAAACAGAACCTCTTTAAAGCATAAATCTCACAGAACTTATAAAACAAAAATTACAATAAAAAAACAAGGTATTCAGGCAACAAATAGCATGATGAATAGAATAGAACCTCACATCTCAATACTAATGTTGAATGTAAATGGCCTAAATGCTTCACTTAAAAGATACAGACTCACAGAGTGGATAAGAATTCACCAACCAACTATCTGCTGCCTTCAAGAGACTCACCTAACACATAAGGACTCACATAAACTTAAGGTAGAGGGGTGGAAAAAGACATTCCATGCAAATGGACACCAAAAGCAAGCGGGAGTAGTTATTCTTGTATCAGATGAAACAAACTTTAAAGCAACAGCAGTTTAAAAAGACAAAGAGGGACATTATATAATGATAAGAAGCCTTGTCCAACAGGAAAATATCACAATCCTGAATATATATGCACCTAACACTGGAGTTCCCAAATTTATAAAACAGTTACTACTAGACCTAATAAATGAGATAGACAGCAACACAATAATAGTGGGGGACTTCAATACTCCACTGACAGCACTAGACAGGTCAAGACAGAAAGTCAACAAAAAAACAATGGACTTAAACTATACCTTGGAACAGGCCAGGCGTGGTGGCTCATGCCTGTAATCCCAGCACCGTGGGAGGCCGAGGTGGGCGGATCACAAGGTCAGGAGATCAAGACCATCCTGGCTAACATGGCGAAACCCCATCTCTACTAAAAATACAAAAAAATTAGCCGGGCATGGTGGCAGGCGCCTGTAGTCCCAGCTACTTGGGAGGCTGAGGCAGGAGAATGGCATGAACCCGGGAGGCGGAGCTTGCAGTGAGCCAAGATTGCGCCACTGCACTCCAGCCTGGGCGACAGAATGAGACTCCGTCTCAAAAAAAAAAAAAACTATACCCTGGAACAAATGGACTTAACAGGTATTTACAGAACATTCTACCCAACAACCACAGAATATACATTCTGTTCATCAGTGCATGGAACTTTCTCCAAGATAGACCATATGATAGGCCACAAAACAAGCCTCAATAAACTTAAGAGAATTGAAATTATATCAATCACTCTCTCAGACCACAGTGGAATAAAACTGGAAATCAACTCCAAAAGAAACCTTCGAAACCATGCAAATATGTGGGAATTAAGTAACCTGTTCTTGAATTATCAGTGGGTCAACAATGAAATCAAGATGGAAATTTAAAAATTATTTGAACTGAACGACAGTAGTGACACAACCTATAAAAACCTGTGGGATACAGCAAAGGCAGTGCTAAGGGGAAAGTTCATAGCCCTAAATGTCTACATCAAGAAGTCTGAAAGAGCACAGCAGACAATCTAAGGTCACACCTCAAGGAACTAGAGAAACAAGAACAAACCCAAACCCAGCAGAAGAAAGGAAATAACCAAGATCAGAGCAGAACTAAATGAAATTGAAACAAAAAAATACAAAAGATAAATGAAACAAAAAGCTGGTTCTTTGAAAAGATAAATAAAATTGATAGACTATTAACAAGATTAACCAAGAAGAGAGAAAATCCAAATGAACTCAATTACAAATGAAACAGAGGATATTACAACTGACACCACAGAAATACAAAAAATAATTCAAGGCTACTATGAATACCTTTATGCAGAGGAGATGGATAAATTCCTGGAAAGATAAAACCCACCCAGCTTAAATCAGGAAGAATGAGATACCCTGCACAGACCAATAACAAGCAGCAAGATTGAAATGGTAATAAAAAAATTACCAAGAAAATAGTTCAGGACCAGATGGATTTACAGCTGAATTCTACAAGACATTCAAAGAAGAATTGGTATCAATCCTACTGACACTATTCTACAAGGTAGCAAAAGAAGGAATCCTCCCTAAATCGATAGACTTTCAGATGAATTTTTAGGAGGTATGGAAACTTTGGAATTCTCGAAGGACATAAGAGAATCAACTGAAGAATTACAGGATGATGATGATGGTGATGGTGATGATGATGACGGTGATGAGGGTGGTGATGGTGTTGGCAGTGATGGTGACAGTGATGATGGTTGTGGTGATAATGGTGATGAGGGGGATGGTGATGATGACAATGATGATGATGACAGTAATGATGATGACAATAGTGATGATGATGACAGTAATGATGACAATAATGATGATGATGACAATAGTGATGATGATGACAATAGTGATGATGGTGATGATGATGACAGTAATGATGATGATGATGGCAATAGTGATTATGGTGATGATGGTGATAAGAAGAAGATGAGGAGGAGGAGGAAAATCTGGAAGGTTGTGTTTCAAAAGTGAAAGAAATGAAGAAATAATTATTAGATGCTCAGATGTAACTGCAGAGAGAAGAATAATTGTTCCCTAAGCTTGGGGTCAATCTTTTTGCTTGTCTCCCATCTTGTTTTTAACCTGTGTTTAAACTCCATCCTTAATAAATTAGTAAAGTAGGTTAAAAAGTTAACCTTCTAGATTATTATGGATATTATTCACAGGATGAATGACCTGTGGGGACTAAATTATGGTGCTGTGATTTGCAATCTATAAATGACTGCAGATTCTAGATTTAAAATATGTGAATAAAATGTTTTAAATTGTTTAAAAAACAGTTGCTGTGTACTTACATAAGCTTTTTCTTTGCTTGGAATGTCTTCCCTTTCTTCTTTCTCTCTCAAAATATACTCATCCTTTATCATTCAGCTTAAATTCCTAATTTCTGAGAGTCTCCAACACCCAGTCCCCTAAACAAAGATACAAGCACCTTGTTTTTCCTGCCTGCTTTCAGAATACTCTATCCATAATCCATTTGCTTCTTTGGGTTTTTATCTTCTTATATAGTTTTGTGGACTCTTTAGATTTCTTCTGTCGACTTTCTACATGTGACATATAAATATTAAAGGTGCCAAGAAAATAGTAAATAATATAAAATCACTTTGACTTAGCCTCTGTGACCTGGAAGGAAGTACAGGTTTGTCAGCTGTAACAAGAATCTTCATTCTTACTGCGAGGTTATAAATTTTCTGCAGTACTGAGCATCTATGACTTTTAAATGACCAGCACTCATTCCCCTTTTCATTCACTCGTTAAATATTTATTGGACACCTATTGTGTGATATGTACTATTGCAGATACCAGAGATATAGCAATAAGATAGACAGTCAAGGTTCTTGCCCTCATGAAGGTTACATTCTAGTGGCAAAGGACAGACGAACAAATAAATAAGCCTGGGAACAACAGCTCCCCATTGTTCTGTTCATTTTCTTGGGGTAGAGCTAACCTCACCATCTGACTCTAGGGGAGGGAGTGGCATGATCCAAATCTAGCTAATTCCCCTGGCCATGAGTATTGGTCTGTAGACGAGTGAGTGATATATTTAGGTCCAATGAATATCAATGCCAGAACTTTTGCAGGGAATAAACTTTCTTTCTTTCTGTTTCTTTTTTCTACCTGGAGCTGGTAGAATAGAAACTTGAGGCTTCTAGAGATTAATTTGATATCATATAGCATTGCTCTCTGCCTGAAAAGGGTACTCACAGAGGAAAGACAAATTAAAAGAGAGGTGGAGAATCCTTATGGCCATGTTTGAACACCTGGATCTAGTTATGCCCGAAGTCAATATTTTTCCAAGACTTTTCATGTACATGAGTCAATAATACGTATTTGCTTAAACTGGTTGACGCTGGGCTTCTGCCATGTGCAGTCCTATACAGCATGCTGCAGTTCTGACTATCAGCTAAGTAATTAGCATGCCTAATTGAGAAGCTATTGTCTGATGATTGATATTCAACCTTGATGGTAGCAATGGTAGCGAACTTGGATTAAGAAAGTCACAGAAGGCCGGGCGCCGTGGCTCACGCTTGTAATCCCAGCACTTTGGGAGGCCGAGGCGGGTGGATCACGAGGTCAGGAGATCAAGACCATCCTGGCTAACACAGTGAAACCCCGTCTCTACTAAAAATACAAAAAATTAGCCGGGCGTGGTGACGGACGCCTGTAATCCCAGCTACTCGGGAGGCTGAGGCAGGAGAATGGTGTGAACCCGGGAGGCGGAGGTTGCAGTGAGTCGAGACCGTGCCACTGCACTCCACCTGGACGACAGAGCGAGACTCCATCTCTCAAAAGAAAAAAAAAAAAGTCACAGAAATTGGGAATGGGTATTGTAAGTCTGGGATGTTCATTTCACAGATGGAGGACTTGAATGTGTAACGGTTTGAGGATTTTGTTCTGAGCCTAGATTTTTAGGAGCCAGTTTTGATGACACCCAAGATAGTGATGATGACAAGCCCTCACATGGTTGTTATCCCCTGTTGAATTTAGGAGCTGCTGCTGGCGGGGCATGGTGGTGCACACCCGTAATCCCAGCAATTTAGGAGGCCGAGGTGAGCGGATTGGGTAAGCTCAGGAGTTCAAGACCAGCCTGGGCAACATGGTAAAACCCCATCTCTACAAAAAATTACAAAAGTTGGCCAGGCGTGATGGTGTGCATCTATAGGCCCAGCTATTTAGAAGGCTGAGGCAGGAGGATCGCTTGAGTTAGGGACGTCAAGGTTGCAATGAGCCGTGGTCACACCCTGCACTCCAGCCTAGGCAACAAAGTGACACCCATCTCAAAAAAAAATAAAAAAAATTAAAAAAATCTGCTGTTAACTTTTAATAATTGTTCCCATGTATTTCTATGAGGATATTCTGGAAATTTGGAAGTTTTAGAAAGTTTTAAGATGAGAAATGAGCACATCTCTGCGATAGAATCAGATTTTTTTTTTCAAAAGAGAAATTGCAGGGTGGTTCCCTAAGCTACTTTTCTTAGCAGCCTCAGAAATCATGAGACATGAGATTGTATTTTAGGATCGTCTAAGTAAACTTCCATTTCTCTCTCTCCCGCCTCCTTTTTCTAATCTGAGGGGATAGATCGTGAGTCCTTCAATCTCTGTGAAATGCTTTTCACTTTGGTTGTCATTTTAAATATGAATTTCCCCTGAATCCTAGAAGCTTTATTTCATTTTGCACCTTTTTCTATAGCCTGGGAATAAATCTTGTCTTGATGCTGCAATTTCAAGATTCTGTTCTTTATGTATGGTATCGTAGACAAAAGGTGCTCAAACTTTATCCTCATTTACAGGGGAGACTAAAGACAGACCAGGAAAGATGTAAAGACTGTTATAATTGAAATTACAATGTTTTGAAGCGAAGCTCATTTTACTTGCCCAGTTTTCTTGTAATCCACTGGAATCCGTCATAAAAAGTTCATTACTGCTTGGTGGATGGTTTATCAGGTACCTACAAAGGACTGGGGTCATCGGTGCAGGAATTAAATGCATAATAACACAAATACAATTAAGCTTTTGGGTCATTTGGGCTGTTCAGAAACTGAATGTGTAGTTTCTTTTATCGCAGAGGAATGCAGCCCAGGAGCAATTAGACACTTTCTTTCTCTTTTTCCATTTGGACGGGGGAAGGAGGAAAAGCGGGTCATTGTGCCTAAAGTGATGCCCATATATACCTAATACCATGTTGTGTTTATCAAAAGTTGAACGAGGGACGTAAATATCACATTCTGTCTAAGGTAGACCCCATCCAGGTCCCTTTGGGCAGGTTTTACCTGCTGTGGTAGCAGCCAAGGGTAGAGAAAGAGCAACTGAGAATGCAGTCTACACAATTGTTAGCAATCTAGGCAGCTTACTAAGCCATCCATAGACTGAGCAGTTTCCTCCAGGCTAGAGGCGCCTCAAGCCAGCTGGAGACAAGGGGTACAGATGAGGTCAGGTGAATTGCCTCCCCGCTCAGGGTATTTGTTGGAGGTAACTGACTGATGGGGGACAGATGAGGTCAGGTGAATTGCCTCCCCGCTCAGGGTATTTGTCGGAGGTAACTGACTGATGGGGGACAGATGAGGTCAGGTGAATTGCCTCCCCACTCAGGGTATGTAGTTGGAGGTAACCAACTGAAGTAGGGGACAGATGAGGTCCGGTGAATTGCCTCCCCACTCAGGGTATGTGTTGGAGGTAATCGACTGAAGTGGGGGACAGATGAGGTCAGGTGAATTGCCTCCCCGCTCAGGGTATGTATTGGAGGTAACTGACTGATGGGGGACAGATGAGGTCAGGTGAACTGCCTCCCCACTCAGGGGTATTTGTTGGAGGTAACTGACTGATGGGGGACAGATGAGGTCAGGTGAATTGCCTCCCCACTCAGGGTATGTATTGGAGGTAACCGACTGAAGTGGGGGACAGATGAGGTCAGGTGAATTGCCTCCCTGCTCAGAGTATGTGTTGGAGGTAACTGATTGAAGGGGGAACGTTAAGAACCCTCAAGGCCAGGATAACTCCTTAATCGCCCCATGACTCTGCCTCATACGGTCTTACTCTGTGTTTTCTACTTAAATTCCTTCCTCATATTTAACCTAAAGACCCTCTGAAGTGGACTTTCCCAAGCCATGTTTCCACTGTCCCAGAACACGTGTTCATGTGTTTAATTTCATTTCCCTAATGATGTCACCAGCCTGTGGAAGATGCCCATTACTGGGGCCCTAGGACGGAATCTCACACTGGGACTCCACTCCATCTGTGCACTCAGTGTATGTGTCCCTATGGGGGAAAGGGTGTCAAAATTCTGTGTCCTCCTGATCTTGCCTGTGTCATCATTTATCTCACTGGCCAAAATCAACTGGTAGAATATCACATTTCTATTACTGAAACACAGAGAGTAGCTGAAGCATACTTTATCTCATATTCATGGCTTTCCTTTTATGTACTAATTTCTGATCCTGTTATGTTCATTCCCCTGGTTCAACAAGTTTCTGTTCTGAGTAATGCCACCCCTCACCTCTTCACCTCTTTCCAGGGATGTTGGTTTTACAAATGCAAAGACCACGTGAACCTTCAACATGCTACTATCTGCTTTTATTATGTTATTTGTTTTATAAGGGTAAATTAAGTGCAATATTTTGCATATGTTTTTTGTTTTTCAGTATTGTCTGTCTCTTCCACTGGAAGATAAGGTTCACAGAGCAATAATGTTATTTTCCTTTTTCTCTTCCTATACTAGTTCCAGCTCCCAGAATATTACAGAGCACATGATAGGCAATCCATATATATTTCTGAAGGAATGAAGGCAGGCTGGCACGTTACCCTATTTGGCAGGCATATTATTCCAAGGTAGAGTAACAGAAGGAGCTGCTAGAGAAAGAGAGAAATGAAGTGATTCCCTGGAGGGAGCAGAGATGAGGAGGGAGAGAGCCCTGCCCATTTGGAGCTCCAAATTTTAGTTGTTTTTGGAGTGCCCCTATGTCCCCACCTTAGATTCCATAATGTAGTAGTCCTATATTCTCATGTTAGACTTCTTAAACAACTTTATATAGAATTCTCTTGCTTGCAACCAAAGAACCTTAACTGATGAAGACATACAGGAGGATCTTAATGCAGACATTCACCTACACCAAGCGGAATATTTCATTTGCCCCAAAGTGTATTTGGATTTGACGCATCTATCCAAAACTCTGCGTTCTGACCAAGTTAACCAGTAGAGAATTCTGAGAAGGAAAAAGATGTTGGAAATTACAGTTAGCATTGTTTCTATTCATAAAGATTTTGGACAGGCTCATGCCTCTAATCCCAGCGCTTTAGGAGGCTGAGGCGGGTGGATCACTTGAGGCCAGGAGTTCAAGACCAGCCTGGCCAACATGATGAAACCCTGTGTCTACTAAAAATACAAAAATTAGCTGAGGGTGGTGGTGTGAGCCTGTAACCCCGGGTGCTCAGGAGGCTGAGGCAGGAAAATCCCTTGAACCCAGGAGACAGAGGTTGCAGTGAGCTGAGATCGTGCCACTGCACTCCAGCCTGGGCAACAGAGTGAGACTCCATCTCAAAAACAAACAAACAAATAAAAGATTTTGGACAGATACATCTCATCTTGGAGCTTAAACCCCTGCAGTTCTTCATTCTGACAGTGCTTGGAGATATTTATCCCTCTGAGAAGTCATTGAAAACATTTCATTATTAAAGCTTCCTATGTACTGTTTACTCTCTGGGTTCACATGAGAAAGTGAACCATGAGGGAATGATGTTAGTGTGAATTTTTTTTTCTGTTTAATTTTCACTGCTCAAAGGAGAAAAAAACAACCAGAGCTGGGAAATGTGTCAGTATTTTGTGGCTGTATAAGGGGAAAATAAAATCAGGTTGGGCATAGTAGCTTATGCCTCTAATCTTAGCCCTTTCGGAAGTGGAGATGAGTGGATCACTTGAGCCCAAGAGTCCAAGACCAGCCTGGGCAACATGGTGAAACCCCATCTCTCCTAAAAACATAAAAAATTAGCTGGGCATGGTAGTGTGCACCTGTAGTCCCAGCTACTCGGGAAGCTGAGGTGAGAGAATTGCTTAAGTCGGGGAAGTCGAGGCTGTAGCGAGCTGTGATCACACCAATGTATTCCAGCCTTGACAAGAGCAAGACCCTGTTTAAAAAAAAAAAACAAAATCAAATAACAGGATTGCTCTAATAAGCTTTTCAAAGCCAATGAACAACTGATTTCTGCTTTTAGCCCTAGATAGACATTTGCCATTTCCAGATCAGACATGATTTTAGTGAAGAGAATAATTAGAGAGGTTAAAGGAGGAGAAACAGCCATATGGCTGTGCCTGGAGGTCAGCAGCAGCAGAAAGCCCTTACACTCCTGAGGCCTGGAGGGATAAAGGGAGGGAACAGCATTGCTGTGCTCAGTAAGAGGTGGAGTCGTGGAGCAGGGGCCACTTATCACAAGCTAGAGTTTCAAAGGAATTCAGAGGAATACAGGCACCAGCAGCAGTATGTTTTATTTTTATTTATTTATTTTTCTGAGACAGTCTTGCTCTGTTGCCCAGGCCGGAATGCAGTAGTTCCATCTCAGCCCACTACAACCTCCGCCTCCCAGGTTCAAGTGATTCTCCTGCCTCAGCCTCCCAAGTAGCTGGGATTATAGGAGCCCACCACCACGCCCAGCTAATATTTGTATTTTTAGCAGAGACGGGGTTTCACTATGTTGGCCAGGCTTGTCTCCAACTGCTGACCTCAGGTGATCCACCCGTCTCAGCCTCTCAAAGTGCTGGGATGACAGGCGTGAGCCACTGCGCCCGGCCAGCAATATGGTACAATGCAGAGACGCAAGAAGGAAAACCCAAGCCCATCCAGCCCTCTGTTCTCCTGACAGGAACTCCCACTGGCAGAGTCCCGTGGGGAGCTGGAGGCCCAAGCCTACCCATTGGTATCACCCAGCAGTGTCTTCCATATGGGTTACTCCCTGGGTGCAAAAGAGGGCGGAGGATGAATCTCAGTGAGGGGCAGCCCAGGGTAATTAGTGAGCACGAGTGATTGTCAATCGTCTTCTGCACTTCTGGTTCGGTCCATAGGTAGTGTTCACTCTGAAAAAGGCATTCAAGCCTTTTGCATTTTTATTTCTCTCTCCTGGTGGCTCATTGCTTGCATTTTTTTTTTAATGTAAGTTGCAATAGGGAAATATAATAATATTGTTACTGCTAAAACATATATTTCTCTTTCCTCCCATGTGAATATTTCTTGTGTCCACTTGCCTATTACCATCTTTGGAACATTTCCAAAATCCATCCTTACCTTGATCATTATTCATGCCTGAGTCACTTCCCACGTTGAATATTATAATTTCCTCCTTTATGATCTTCTTAAGCCCTTACTCTTTAGACATCAGGGGGTCGCAGCTGAGTCAGCCAAACATTTCTTTCTTCACCAAGCCAGCCTTGTCACAGCCGGTGATAGATATCCTGCCCATTGCTCTCTAAAACCAGTCGGGAATGGCTCTTCTGCTTTTAAAGATTCCCCACTAAGGTGCTTAGTAATTTCTGTGAGTGCACATATACCTGAAAACTCACCCCTGCCGTCCGTCTTATGAATACTTCTAACTCTCTCAGCTCTCATTCTTAAATAGCTTAGTATGCTTTTAAAAACTTGTGCGAGTATTCACTTAATAAACTCACTCAAGAAAGTATTCATTGCATGTAATGTTACATCCGGTACTCCACTATGAGGAATAGTGAAGTGAATGAAACCAATCAATATCTTCATGAATGCAGCCTGCAGACAAATCTCTTCCCACCACAAAAAAGGGTGCGAGGTTCTCTTTGTGTTCATATTGAATTTCTAAGCCCCCTGCCTTACTGAGTTTGCTATTTATTTCATAATGGACTTGTAAAAGTAAAACTGAATCTCCCCATTACTTTGGAATCACTTTGACTGACATTTATGGAGAGGCTGTGGTTTTAATCCTACAGCAGAGTGGGACACACCTGGAACCCAGCCCTCCCCTCCAGGAACCTGAAACAGTGCCTCTCTTCAGGCGCTGATAGAGACATCCCCACGAAACACTGTCAGAGCCCATCACTACCCCTGTCCCCACCCCGTCAAAGCCTTCGGCACTCCCCATTGTCTTAGGCTTGTGACATACCCATTGCTCACAATCTGTTCTCTCCCAGTGTTGGAGGGGAGTGGTGGGAGCAGCTCAGGGAGAAAGGGACGTGACTCGGGGTCACCTTCTGTCAGCTCACTCATGCCACCTCTCTGTACCTGCTGGTGGGCGTGGCCTTGTCTAGCTCATGCTTTTAGTAGGTTGCCCAGGATAGCTGATGGCACACCCCCATCAGCTAGAATGTGTGAATGTATGGGGCATGGCTCCTAGGAAAATCCCATCTGCTGTGTAACCCTCTGAATGTAAAACAGAGGTGCTTGAGGACCGATCTCCCCCTTCTGTCTGAGTGACATCACTGTGGACACCACTGGGAGGTCTCCATTGTCAGCCTAGGCCAGGTGTGTGCAGAGTGAGGAGGAAGACCTCGGATAGCTACGCAACAGCCCTAAACTGCACCTCGTTTTGCTGATACTTATGGGTTGCTTATATCCTTGAAATTATTAACATTGGCTTTGATCTCTTGTTTGTGTGAATCTAATAGATGAGCCAAGCTTTTGTATTATCTTAAGGCTAAACTCCTGCCCCCTTTGTAAAGGTAACAAGGCTTCTCAAAATTTGACCAGAGCCAACCTCTGCTGAGACTCCCTTCTGTTTTTCCCTATCAGGCAGCCTATGTTTCTGGCACAGAGAGCCTCTTGTCAGCCCTAACTCACCGGGCTTCCCTCAACACCAAGCGTATGTGCCTGCTCACTGCTCATTTGCTCAGCTGAGATGTGTTAAGCATGTGCCATGTGCCATTACTGCTGTAGACACTGGCATTCACTACTGAGTACAGGGCATATGTCTGAAGTGTTTGAGGATCCCAAAGAGGCCAGGATGATTGTAGCTGAGAGGGAGAGAGAGAGGCAGGAAAAGAGGGCAGAGAGGTAGGTAAGGATTGGATCACATGGGGACTCAGAGGCCAGGATGATGACTTCCGATTTTATTCAGTTGTAGGAGGATATGAGAACTTTTGGAGGAGGGACATATCATGTTCCATTCTCTTTTTTTGAGGGGAGATGGTAATTACTATAGAGTAGTATCAAAGACCAGCAGAGGCAGAGGAATAGAAATTGGGGCAATGCCAATGATCAAAGCTGAAAAATCTATTATATATAAGCCGATTTACACTGCTTTGTACATTTCTTAATATGTAAATGTTATAAAATTTACATATCCTGTCAACATGGCAGGCATATGCTTGTAATGTTAAGAAAATTGGATGCATGAGTAATGCCAGCAATAAAAAGTGTGCCTACAGGTGGCCTTGATTTTCCACCCAGCATATTTCTGGGAAGAAGCTCATCACAGTAGAAGCAATGCACGTTTTAGAGCCAGAGATTTTCTGATCCTGCCACTTGACCTTAGGCATATCTAAGTCCTCTGCTCCTTATTTCCTCATAAACCAAACAAGATGATGCTAAAGAAACGCCAATCGCTTACCCTGGTTTCCACACAGAGGCACAAGAGAAGCGCGGCTCTCTAACATGCTTGATTGTTGACTTCCACTGGTTCAAGTTTCCATGTAAATGCCTGACCCTTGGGGATTTATATCTTCAGTGTCCTCTCCACTCCCCAGGAATGTGAGGCAGGCTTGTTGGATGAGCGTGTGTTCGTGGATGCTCACTTTTCACCAGGTGGAACTCCTGAGCTCCTGACTGGATGGTGGGAGGGAACACAGAAGGGAAGAAGCTTAGAATGCCCATTTGACATTATACCTAAGGCACATCCTGCCACCCAGCCCTAATCACAACACAGCACAGTTTGAGCTTCGAGTCTCTGATGCTTTTCTCTCTTTCTCAATTTCTTGCAAACCCGGGTGGAGAATTGGGATTATTTATAGATCCCCAAACATGTCAACAGAGCAGGGTGGTTGTGAAGAATTCATGCTCTGAAGGCAGCCTGCCTGCTTGGCTTCCCAGATTAATCGGTGTCTCAGCCCCAGCTTCCTCCAGGATGACCTTCCTCCTGCATGTGGTGAGGATTCAGTAAGATAATAGGTGCACTGTCTTGTGCTTAGAATAGAGCCTAGCACATGATAACCAGTCCATCTATATGGCAGCTGGTATTGTGTGTGTCAAAAATCAATACATGCATACATATAGCTGTATTATTATAATGCATATTTATTTACAGCATTTGTTTATTTATCCTATTTATTGTACAGACCTACAAGAATACAGAGTAACTGGTTATGGTACTGATTCTGAAGAAGACAATTAGGAAATGAGGTTTCTCCTGACTTACTTTTAATGGGACACCAATTTGTTCTGTTTGGATATTTTAGTAATGTGTATTTATTACTAACCACGTAAATCACTTAGAATAATACCTGGCATGTAGCAAGTGTCTCAGAAATGTGAACTAATATCATCTTCAATGCTGTCTTAGATATTAAAGTGGGTTGTATTAATTGTGATGAGTTAATAGACTGTCAATAATGGTAGCTGTAAGCAAATATTTTTCCATTAACTGTTGGATTAATTTTTGGATTCTTTGGTTGTTAGTTACAGAATCTTAAGATTAAGAGAGAGACATGAAGTTAAAGAGAGAGAGAATTTATTGGTTCAAGAACCTGGAAACGACAGGCACATGTTGACCTTCAAGTACAGCTGGATACAGGGGCACAGGTGGTTTAGGAGGGCGTGGATTCCCTATTTCCGAGCTGAGAATTCCTCCTGTCAGCTTAATTATTCTCAGGAGGTTCCGCGGGGTGACTTGGCGCCGCTATCCATCTAGTCATTTCAGGAAAAGGGGGATTAGCTGTTTAGCAGCCATCCCAGCGAAAGTTCTCGATGCACATCTCTGTGAGCTGGCTTGGATCACATGCCTCTCCCCAACCCCAGCCTTAGAGTACAGGAAGTCCCGATTGCCCGTGCTTTGTTCATGGGTAGACCTTAGTGACTTGAGGGTAAAGCAGTCTCGCGTGACTCTAGAGAGTGGAAAACAGAAAACTCCCCACTTGCCAAAACAAATACAAAGAAGAAGGTGGTACTGTCATCAGATGAAAGCGCAAAACTCAACCAGGAGCATTACTAAAGTCAACTTTTGACAGTGTGTATACTGTATTTTCTCTGTTCTTTTGAGAAAACAGAACTTCTAATGAGCAAAGCAGCAAAAAATTACAAGATGTTATTACTCCACTTGGGTGGAGTGTGCAATGTGATTTAGAGAATGGGGGCTACATGTAGTTATATTTTGTGCACCAATTGTCATGCTATTAGTGTATTTAATGATCTGATGTCTAATGAGATGTTCTCTACTATATATTTAAGTGTACTTATGTTCCATCACTTTATAGACAAATTTCTTTCTTGATTTCATTGCTTTGTACTGAAAATCTCTCTCATGTTTTCTTAAAATAAAAATTAATTGCTTTTCAGGAAACTCTGTGAGCAAAATGATGCATCTCCCAGGAAGTATTTCCTAGTCAGTCAGTTTCCAAGTACTGCATTTGTAACCAAAACTATTTGTAATTGGCTTGAAACTGACATTTGCTAATTTTCTGTACTAATTTTAACTTAAGAAAAAAAGAAAAAGAGAAGACACTAAAACTACATCCAGGAAGTTTGTCAACCTGACACTCTTTTAGACCTTACAAATTCTTAGGTAAGGAACACTAGCTGTGTTAATAAACAAACCCAATTCATAATGCCACTTGCCCAAGTAAAGTTTCTTTCTAACTTGTATAAAATCGAAACAAGTATTCTTTAGAGATAGCTTTCCAATAAGCAATTTTTTTTTTTTGAGACAGAATCTCACTCTCTTTCCCAGGCTGGAGTGCAGTGGCACGATCTCAGTTCACTGCAACCTCCACCTCATGAGTTCAAGTGATTCTCCTGCCGCAGTCTCCCAAGTAGCTGGGATTACAGGCATGTGCCAACATGCTCAGCTAATTTTTGTATTTTTAGTAGAGACAGGGTTTTGCCATGTTGCCCAGGCTGGCCTTGAACTCCTGGCCTCAAGTGATCTACCCACCTCGGCCTCCCAAAGTGCTGGGATTATAGGCCTGAGCCACAGCACCTGGCCCCAATAAGCAAAGATTTAAAAACCCAGGCTCCTGCAAGATGATGGTATCTCCTCTTCAAATGCTGGTTCCAGTGTCTTCAATGCATAGTTTCCATGGTTACCTAAGTGACCGCATGGAGTGAAGGGTTAGGAGACAGCGGGGAGGACCGGGGGAAGCTGGTTGGCACAACCTAAATGTGGGAGCAAGGCTTCCCTCCACCCCATCCTCCATCCGCAAGTCTCAGTCCTGGGGCCACCTCTACCGCAAGGGTGGCTGGAAACTGGAGTTTAGCTCTGGGCCACAACGAAAAGAAAATGGTTTTTGGTGAACAGCCAAACAGTGTTGGTGAAATAAATATGATAAAATCAGTGGGGTCCTGTTGTTGTTTGTTGCCGTGGGCTTTTTATGGAACTGTGCATACTGGCAGTGCAGGAAGAGCCTCCCCTGGGCAGATGAGTGAACCACATGTTCGTTAGCGACTTTTCAGCGCTCATCATGAATTATCGCATTTGATGCTCACAAGCCCCATGCAAGTAAGCCTAACTAGGTGATGGTACCAGAAGGGAAAATTCAGTCTCAAAGAGGCTCCATTGTATCAAGTCGTATATTTGGTACTTTTAGAGTTGGGACCCCATATTTTGGCCCAGATTCCAGCATTCAAAAGCTGCCATAAAGCTGGTGTCATTAAAGGACTAAGAAATCCGTGGGAACCAGCAGGGGTCACAGAGCAACGTGCCGGATCAGAGTAGGGGGTAGGCAGGAAATGTAAATGATTAAAGAAACTGGATGTGAAGCTACAGGGAGGATGGCGTCGTGGCAAACGGGGGCACAGACTAACGGGGTCGCCGAAACTCAGATCTGCCAGCTGCTGCTATTTGGGACTGAGGTCATGGGTCACCAGAGTTCTTTCATGAAAAGGAAATTATGGGCCGGGCGCCGTGGCTCACGCCTGTAATCCCAGCACTTTGGGAGGCCGAGGCTGACAGATCACGAGGTCAGGAGATGGAGACCATCCTGGCTAACACGGTGAAACCCCATCTCTACTAAAAATACAAAAAAAAAAAAAAAAAAAAAAAAAAAAAATTAGCCGGGCGTGGTGGGCGGGCGCCTGTAGTCCCAGCTACTCGGGAGGCTGAGGCAGGAGAATGGCGTGAACCCGGGAGGCGGAGCTTGCAGTGAGCCGAGATCGCGCCACTGCACTCCAGGCTGGGAGACAGCGAGACTCTGTCTCAAAAAAAAAAAAAAAAAAAAAAAAAGGAAAGGAAATTATGATGTTCAGGTGAAATTTTTAAATATTTATAATATCATCAAGGCCAAACAAGACATACCTGTGGGTTATCAGTTTGTAACCTCTAGTTCAGACATCAAACACATAGACATCTAAACTGAATAGTTTGGCAAATATTATTGAGTGCACTGAGATGGATGTAGAAGAGTTTTTTGTTGTTGTTGTTTTGTTTTGTTTTGAGTATTGTGTGGAGTAGCTTGGTACCAGAAAAAGAAAACCACTTAAAAATCCAGTAATACGAAATTGACTAAATGAACTATAGTAGCTACATTGAACAGAATGCAGTGTGTCCATTAGCTGTGATGACATGCATTTGGAAAAATACTTTGGATATATGGTTAAGCCCAGAGCATTTTAATAAAGAGCGCCCTCACCCTAATTCCATGGGGCATATAGATTTAATCTGTGTCCCCAAGGGTCCCTGTTGACTGGACAATTTCTCCCTCTCTTCCTCTCTGTTATTGACAGATGTATAGTGAACTGGAGAGCTTAGTCTCTTTCCTCATATTGGTAGGTCAACCAGTTGTCTGGAAAATTATTGTATTATGGCTAGAAAAGACTTTAGAAGAATCTGTACCAAAATATTAATGTAATTATCTGTGAATGGTAGGATTATATAATAATGATTTTTAAAATCCACTTGCTATCAGTAATTATGAACTCATTTACTATTTAGAAAGAGTATTTGTATATTTTAGAAAATAATAAAAGTTTTAAAAGAGACAATTACATTCTACTATAATGATTTCCATTTTCCTCAAATGGTCTCTCAGGAATAAAATACATAAAACTGACATTATTTAAAAGGCCAAGGCCAAATAACATTTACAGCTGCAATTGTCACTACCACAGGGCCCAGTAAATGTGTGTTGCCTAATGTATGCAAGTATTCTTTATCATTTTATTGTAGGCATATAACAGTATCTCAAAATTATGACCCAGGAGAAAAAAGCTTACACCATTGTTTTGTTTCAGTGACTAACACAAGGCCCAAACACTGCCTCACACTCAATAAACATTGATCAAGGATGATATGTATTCCCCAGACCCCATAGATTCTTTGAGACCAGAAATGCCAATGTCTGCTATTTCCACAGTTCTAAATTGGCTCTGAGCCCAGGGTGGAGAATGACCCAATATTTGTCCAATTGATGTGACACAGAGAAAAAAGAGTCATTCAAGAAGACCAATTTGCCTTATCCCTTACTTAAGGAGAAAAAGGAATCCTTCAACATAATTTTAATTTTCGGAGAATGTTAAGAATGAGAGAAATTCTGAGTCAATAACTATGTCCCCTGGTGTTCAGTTTACATTTTCCTTTGATTTGCATTTGGCTGTATTGTTATTGATGGCTATTGACGACTATTGACATTATTGATGACTCTGACAACTCCCAAGAGGGCTTGCAACTTTAGCCTTGGCCCATGAACTGCCGCTGCTCTGAACAAAACAAGGCCTGGTTGAGATGAGCCTATCTATCACCCAGGCAGGCTGGCCAGGGAGCCAAATGAGGCGGAAGGTGCTTTGGGGAGAAGAGAATTTATTGTTTTGGCTTTTTTTTTTTTAACCATGCAAAGTTTGCTCATGGCCTGAAAGATCCCATATCCTCCTTGCCCCTAGCCCCTGCCCACCTGTCTGGCCGCATCTTGAAGAAGTTTCCCCCGCCACACTCCTGAATACCAAACATACCTGGTTTTTGTTTTTGTTTTTGTTTTCCTCCAGACAGAGTCTTGCTGTGTCACCCAGGTTGGAGTGCTATGGTGTGATCTTGGCTCACTGCAACCTCTGCCTCCCAATTCAAGGGATTCTCATGCCTCAGCCTTCCAAGTAGCCAGGATTACAGGCATATGCCACCACACCCAGCTATTTTTTTGTATTTTTAATAGAGACAGGGTTTTGTCATGTTGCCCAGGCTGGTTTCAAACTCTTGACCTCAAGTGATCCACCTGCCTCAGCCTCCCAAAGTGCTAGGGTTACAGGCCTGAGCCACCACACCCGACAATAAGAAGATAATTGAAAGTACATGTTAACATCATATAGTTTAGTGATTGGAATGCAAGCATCCAAAGGAAGCTGCAGGGCTGGTGCCAGGAGACAAACCAGGCCCATGGACATGAACCCAGAAAGGGGCATAGGGTAAGACATGATGGAGTCGCAGCTTGTTTGTGTTGCTGTAACAAAGTTCCACAGACCATGTTATTTATAAAGAACAGCAACTTATTTCTGAGTGTTCTGGAGGCTGGGGAGTCCAAGATCAAGGTGCCGGCATTGGTGCGTGGTGAGAGCTGCTCTCGCTTCCAAGATGGCACCTGGGTGCTGTGCTGAGGACACCATGTCCTCACAAGGCATACGGGATGGAAAAGCCAACAAGGGGCCGTTTCTCCCTAAAGTTCTCCCTAAAGCCTCCTTGATTAGGCCAGATTCACTCTTTTTTTTTTTTTTTTTTTTTTTTTTTGAGATGGAGTCTCCCTCTGTTGCCCAGGTTGGAGTACAGTGGCGCAATCTCTGCTCACTGCAAGCTCCACCTCCCGGGTTCACGCCATTCTCCTGCCTCAGCCTCCCGAGTATCTGGGACTACAGGTGCCTGCCACCATGCCCAGCTAATTTTTTTGTATATTTAGTAGAGACGGGGTTTCACCATGTTAGCCAGGATGGTCTCAGGAGATCTCCTGACCTCATGATCCGCCCGCCTCGGCCTCCCAAAGTGCTGGGATTACAGATCCACTCTTGAGGGCAGAACCCTCATGACTCCATGACTTCCTAAAAGGCCCCACCTCTTAAGATCACCACATTGGGATTCACTTTCAACACTGACTTTGGAGGGGCCTCATTCAAACCATAGCAGGTGGCCTCACCAGGTTCTGTAGGAAGTTCCAGGCACTGCCGTCCTAGCAAAGCGTGGGAATGCAGGATGATTGATGTCCCAGGGTGAGGTAATTGTCCTAACCAGTCTTCCTCATCCACTCCTGCTCTCATTTTTATATGACAGTGAGTGATTTTATAAAACTTAAATTACATCTTGTCCCTTCAGTTCCTCCTGCACTTCCCACTGCATTCATTATGAAAGCCAAACATCGTACCACAGTGTATGAAGCCTTAGGAGATCCAGCCACACCTGCCTCTGTGACGGCATCTGGGGCTGCTTCTCCTTCTGCCCTGGAGCTGCAGGTACAGTTTCACGCCTTGTCTCTCCCATGCACGCTGGGGCTGTTCTACACATCCTTTACTTCCTGTAAAATGTTGCTAGTCTTCTCACAGCTGGAGTGGCTCCTTATCATCAAGGTTCAGCTGAAACATCACCTCTTTAGAGATCTGACCAAAACCAACTGTCACACAGCTACACCCACAACCCCCCCCCCCATACGCAAACATTCGCAGACATCAACTCTCCAGCCACGCTGCAATACAGGCCTCTCGTATCCTTCATGGCATTTATCAGTAGCTAACTATTCTTATTTGTTTGCTTATTCATTCATTTATTTCTCTATGAAGACAAGGACTTACTTTTTTTTGTTCAAGGCTGTTTCTATCACCTGAAACAGGACCTGCCACATAGCTAGGTGCCCCCATGTGCTTAATAATGTGCTTAATAATGGAAGGGATGAAGGAAAGGAGGAAGGGAGGGAGGGAAGGAAGCATACAAGAAAGAATTGGTAAACAAGTGAGAAGAACCACAGGCATGGAGGTAAGCACCTCATTCTATGGTGCTGGGGTCGTGTCCACATGGACATCACAATCCTCACATCCGTGGTATGACTTAGGGTGTATGATCCCTGGACACACAATGAGTGGGGACAGAGCCGAGATTTCAGGCTTTATTACTATCATTATTATCTTATTTATTAGCTTGGGACCTTGGAAAAGGGACTTTAGGGCTCAGAGACTCGGTTTTATATGGGGATCATAGTATCACCCTCTTCATTGGGCTTCAGTGAAGAGTAGGAGAATAAGTGGTAAACACACAGGCCCACCCGTGACATGTATGGGGTCTGGGCAAGTACATAACCGGGTCTCTGCCAGCTTGGTTTGGATTCACCCAGAAGAAAGACCTGAGACAAGTGTTAGAGGGCGTTTTAAAATTTTTATGGAGATGAAGAAAAATACCAGTAAAGGAAAGAAAAAGACAAAGAAGGAACCTGTAGCTGATAAAAGGTGTGTGATGTAGCAAGGGACTGCAGCGGGCAGCTGTAGCTTCCACTCCTCCTGGAGCAGCTCAGGGCTGTCTCCTCCTGGGAGTGAGGAAGAGGACAGGTAATACCGACACCGATCAGTCTTCCATGGAAGGTGGCTCCCACGAGCTTGGTTCCTCTACATTTTCCACCTTCTGTTCTGGCAGTAAAGCAGATTCCGGCATCAACAGGAAGCCCTGAGGCAGGAGAAGCAGCTCTCGCTGTTGGACATCAGGCTGGGTGCACCGAAGTGGAGAAGCCTGGGGAATGTGGAGGCTCACCAACAGCATCTGCTACACACAACATGTCTAGATACTCAGAAGTTATAAATCAGGCTAACAAACTGATAAATAAATGATGTTCTGTTCTCCCACCATGACAAATATACCTTCCTAACTACCTAGGATGCCAGGTAAGGATTCAGAATTCTTGGACTCAATTCCTCAGATTCTGCCTTTGAACCTGCTGGCCCCAGAAGAACCAGCCTCGGCTGACCTCTTTTCCTGCCTCACCTCCTTGCCACACAAAGGGGCATGTTCCTGTGGAGAGGTCTGCCTGCATTGATGGCTTCTGGCGTGCCCTCTGCAAACAGCTGCCACCTGGTCTTGCGTTTGTTCCTGTAGGGAGTACACTGGCAGCCTGCCTCATCCTCAGGTGGGTGGACCCAGGAAAGAGGGATGCACAGACTTGGAAGTGGGTTTGGCCCATTGGACAACACATTTTAGGGTCTTGCAATGGCAGACACTGATGGTGCCTGACCCGTAGCCTCCCAGCACTCACTGTAGCCCTGAATGTGGACCTCAGACTCCAAATCCAAGTGCCTGTGATTTTTCCTGGGAGTTTTCCCTGGTGGCTGGAATCCATTCTGCTCATCCATGGGCAGGCTGAAAGTGTGGGGAGGTAATGCCTCCTGGAGCCACCTTCCACCTGTGACTGACAGGAGATGGTGGATAAATATCCCTGCCTCCTCATCTCCTGTTGGGTTGTCTGAGGTATGTTTCCCACTGTCTCCTGGGTTTCCCCGTGGGACTGAGCCTGGCACCCTGCAGTGACCCCCCATGCTCAGTAATGTACCACGTATATGTGTTTGCCTCCCATCTCACCACCACACTCTCCTGCACTGGTTTCTGGGATCACCTTCCAAATTCAGTGCTTGCACCTGCAAGCTTATCTCACGGTCTTAACAGGCCTGGGCACCTGGAATGTTGGCTAGAAGGAGGTGAGAGGCTGCAGGTGACCATGTCCCTTTGGCCCTCTGTGAAGAAACAGAGTCCTCTAAAACATTGGCCCAGGGGCAGCCCCACCCAACCGCTTAGTAAGAACCCATAAATGTCATTGTTTTGTAATCACTGCTACCTTAAAAAAATTTTGAATTCTTAATGTTTTGAATTCTTATCTTTTGTTCTTTCTGATACACGCCAGTTATTTCTAATAAACAAAAGATAGCTGTGTTTGGGTGTGATTTTAGTTAATAATCTTTTAAGTTTCCATGGAGAGCATGCCTTAAATGAGCTGAGAAGGCTAAACTGCCTCTAACTTTTCCAGAAACTGAAGACAGAAGAAAGAAAGAAGATTCCATTGTTTCTCCACATTCAGTGTTGGAAGAGAGCATGTTAGATCTTTTGAGATAAGTAACAAAATGAAGTCCATTTCACCACTGATAAAGTAAATATGGCACTTGTCAAATCCATGGAGAGCTGGGTGACTTTTCTCCAAATATGCTAGAATCTTTGCGACCTTTCTAGAGCACGAGATGATATTTTATAGCAAACAAAATTGCTGAGCAAAAATATGAATCAAGGGAGCAGACATTTAATTACTCTATTGTGTGCCTAGCCCTGTAGAGAATATAAAGTTACCCTTGGACAAGTTTTTGGTCCAGGTGAAGAGTTAAGGGACAGTTGATGCAACAAAGCAAGTGCCCAAGATTTTAGAAATAAGTAACTGTCAGGAGCGGTGACTTGCGGTGACTCACGTTGACTCCCAGCACTTTGGGAGGCCAAGGCAGGCAGATCATCTGAGCTCAGGAGTTCAAGACCACCCTGGCCAATATGGTGAATCCCCATCTCTACTAAAAATACAAAAATAAGCCAAGTATGGTGGTGCACGCCTGTAATCCCAGCTACTCAGGAGGCTGAGGCAAAAGAATCGCTTGAACCCGGGAGGTGAAGGTTACAGTAAGCTGAAATCACGCCATGGCACTCCAGCCTGAGTGACAGAGTGAGACTCTGCCTCAAAAAAAAGAGAAATAAGTAACTGAATAAAGATCAATTCAGAGCAAGTTCAAGATTTTAAATATAGTTTGTATACATATGTTTTGGCAGGTGCAAACTAAATTAGAGCAAAATCATTGAGAAATGCAGATATTTTCATCAAGAATGACCCTATGGAAGGGATTTTGTGAATGAAACACTACAGTTCTGCTGAAATGCTCTCACGCAGCCATGAAATGCCCCCTAATTGGGGCACTGAGTTTTGTGCTGACATTTGCGTCACCACGAAGGGGAGCGTTGACGTGGGTATTTTGGCAGAAGCCACACGTTTCGTTTCAGCCTCTGTGAAAAGCCAACTGCTGGCAGCGTTTGTGTTCACTCAAAATGATGTTCCAAGCTAACCGAATATTCAGATTAACTGGCTTTTTCTTTTACCAATTTTCAGATGACTCAACTTCAATTAAGTATGGTTAATAGTAAAACTATGTGAAATATAATTTGATGGTGTCACATTGATTCAGAAGACACAGGGTTAGAATATTGTAAGAGTTCCTCGAGAATGCGTGTTACTCAGATTCATCTCAGACCCATGTCTCTCAACCTTGGGTGTGTGTTAGAATCAGTGTTTTTCAAATTGCAAGGTGTAAGCTTCATCCAAATTAAAACAGAATTTCTGGGATGGGGCCCAAGCGTCTGTACTTTTTCAAAGCCTTCTGGAAGCTTCTAATAGGAAGCCCAAGGTGAGAACCACAGTATTAGACAAAAGAAAGAAAAAGTCAAGCACACTGGCACAAATTTGGCCAGATTCTATCAGACATGCAGACTGTACGTTCACGATAGAAGCGTAATGACAGATATCTGACAGCGGATTTTGTGTTTTTTGTCATTTGTTTAATGAGAAGGGCATTTAGAAAACACAATTTTCTTTCTTTTTGTTAAGCTCTCAGGTCATTTGAATTTCGCAGTAAAAGGAGTTTTTGAAGATTTGATTATTTGGCATGCCTCATGCATCCTCTTCCACACACACACACACACACACACACACACACACACACACACACACAGATTAAATATGTTCTCAGAGATAAAACCAGATGTTTGCTCTTTTCAAAGGAGCACGCTAGGAAGAGAGCCAATTAACTGTATTAAATGAGTCTGGGTTAACTGTATTAACCCAGGTGAAAAAAGGCTAATGAAACTTTTCAGAATTAACCTAAATCTAAAGTTGGCAAAAAAAAAAAGATGTTGTATTTAAAATTAGTAAAATAACTTTGCAAGTACCCTCAAATGTATTCTCAGAATTTGTTTGAAATTGATAGACAAGTTTTCAGATGCTGATCTTTTTAAAAAGCTATTTTGCTGTACCATTTTCTTCATTTGATTTTCTTTAATTACCAGAGTAGTACATATAATGAGTAAAGTACTTTAAAAACTTCTTTAGAAATTCAGCAATCTCCACCTCATCCCACCTTCCTAATATGGTGTCAACAACCTGGTGAAGTCTTCCATTTTTTTCTACGCTTCTACAAACATTTATTTTCCATTTACTTAAGTATTTAAACATATTGTTACAAAACTAGAGTTGTATATGATGCTGCAATATGCTTTTTCATTTAATATAGCATGGGTATGCTTTGTTATGCCTTCAGATTGGTAGACAAAAGATTTCTATCACTGTAATTCTCATGGAATTCTATAGCATGTATGTACCACAGTTAATTCAACCGTTCCTCAACCGAGGGACATTCTGGTTACGTCCAGTGTTTTGCCACGCTACACACAATGATGCAATAAACGCATAAGCACAGTGGAGATGGCTTGGCCGTACTCCATGGCACCTGGGGGCTCAGCTGGGAATGCCCGTGTGTCTGGGGGCTGGCTGAGACAGCTCAGCTAGAGTCATATGGCTGGGACCTCCTTCTGGCTGTCAGCTGGGTACCTCTGTTCTACAACAGATGGTCTGTCCACATGACTGGCTCTGTGTTCCTAACAACATGGTGGTCTTGGGGTTCCAGTTGGGAGAGGTCTGAGAAAATCAAGCCTCTGAGTCTTCCCGCTTGCTAAACTTCCAGCGGCCAACGCAGGCCTCACGGCCAAGCCCAATACCAATGTGTGTGTATGTGTGTAGGTGGTGGTGGGGGTGCCTGGGAGGGTTACCTAATGGTGTGAATAGGGGGTGCCTGATTCATTAAGGGCTAAAAAGAACAAGGTTACTGGATTCCAGGATATGTGCAGTTTTAATTTTTATAAACACTGCTAGATCACTCTCCCAAAAGGTTGTGGCAATTAACATTATCACCAGTAATGTATAAGAGAGCTCATTTCCTAAATTGATGCTCATAGCAAATGTTATTTTTTTCTAATTTGACAATATTACAGCTGAAAACTATCTTTTAAATTCCCATTTCCTTTACCATTAGTAAGATTGAAAATCTTTTCAAGTATGTGTTGGTAAATTGCATTTCCTCTTCTGTAAATTGTTTTGTATTTTTCTCTGTTTATAGGTTAGTTTGTCTTACAGTTTTGTGGGTTTTTTTTTTTTTTTTGGAGACAGGGTCTCATTCTGTCACCCGGGCTGGAGTGCAGTGGTGGTATCATAACCCACAGCATCCTCAACCTCCCAGGCTCAAGTGATCCTCCCACCTCAGCCTCCCGAGTAGCTGGGGCTGCAGATGTGCTTTACCACGCCCGGCTAATTTTTAAAATTTTTTTGTAGAGACAATGCTACCCACTTTGGTCTCAACTGATCCTCCCACCTTGGCCTCCCATAGTTCTGGGGTTACAAGTGTGAGCCACCGTGCCCAGCAGATTTTTTCTTTTTTTTCTTTTTTTTTGTATGTTAAACTCTTCCTTAAGTTCTACTTTGAAAGGAATGACCTGTTCTAGAATTCTGGACTTGAGAGGCACCTTGGACCTTGTTCTGTTTCCTCCTTTTCTCATGTGGCCCTGTGCTTTCCCAGGCTGATTCACATTCCTGTGTGCATTTCAGGTTAGTTGCTTCTAGCTGCTGCGTAGTATCCCATAGTGTTCATCCGCCATGTTTCATTCACCTGCTCCCCAGCAAAGGGGTCCGGGTTGTCTCCAAAACTCTGCTCCACACACGATGCTGCAGTGAAAATTCTTGCCCATGTGCCCTCTGGTCCTCTGTGAGAATTGTTCTGGGACACATCTCAGAAGTGGATTGCGGGGCCATAGGGGACACATGCACTTCATTCGAGCAAGTTTTTCCAGTTACAACAGCAACGCAGAAGAGCTACCGTTTCTCTACGTTCTTGCCAACACTTAGCATTGCCCAACTTTCTCATATTTGGAACACATTTATCTGGAGTCCCTGGAAACTGTCATCCTCCAACCGTCCCTAAGGAAGATGGAGTGTGGGGTTTCAAAGAAGGTATGACTCAGAACCAGATGGTCATATGCTAGAGAACGTCCCTATTACTGCAGAAAGGTCTGTGGGACAGCATTGCTGCAAAGCTCTACCCGGAGCACTTTGATGATTTTGCTCATTCACAGAGCATCACTCACCCGGATGACCAAGGACCGCCTAGCTGAGCTTTGTCCTTCCCTGTCTGCTCCCTGCATTTGAGTCCCAACACAGCAGCCAGAGGATGCTTTTAAACTCCCATCAGGACACTTGTCTGCTCCAGACCTCAATGATTCCTCACTGCACTCAAAGTAAGCACCAAAGTCTTTTCAGTGGCCCACAGGGGTTTGCACAGTATGGCTCCCCTGTTCCTTCTCTGACTTTGCTTGGTGCCCTCTGCACCCCCTGCACCCCTCTGCAGCTCCATGCACCTTCTTCCTCTCCCTTGCACACACTAGGGCTTCTGGCATTTGCACTTGGTATTCCCCGCTGCCTGGACCCTCCTCTGCCAGGAGGCTTGCTCAAATCTCTAGGACACAGTGAGAACTTTCTTCAAATCTCTAGGACACAGTGAGAACTTTCTTCAAATCTCTAGGACACAGTGAGAACTTTCTTCAAATCTCTAGGACACAGTGAGAACTTTCTTCAAATCTCTAGGACACAGTGAGAACTTTCTTCAAATCTCTAGGACACAGTGAGAACTTTCTTCAAATCTCTAGGACACAGTGAGAACTTTCTTCAAATCTCTAGGACACAGTGAGAACTTTCTTCAAATCTCTAGGACACAGTGAGAACTTTCTTCAAATCTCTAGGACACAGTGAGAACTTTCTTCAAATCTCTAGGACACAGTGAGAACTTTCTTCAAATCTCTAGGACACAGTGAGAACTTTCTTCAAATCTCTAGGACACAGTGAGAACTTTCTTCACTCCTCCCTTAAACTCACATCACCCCCAGCGTTCTTCAGACCCTCACACGGGCTTTACTTTTTTATGACACTATCAGCTTCTCACATACTGTAAGGTTAACTTATTTATCATGTTCTTTTCTGTGCTCTTGCCTGCATAAAATGTAATCACCATGAGGACAGGCATTGGTTTTTATCATATTTTGCATTTTGCTCTTTTATATGCTCCTGTGTCCTGAGTTTCACGCCTGCGATGGTGGGATCTCAGGACGTATGCCAGAGAGCAATGAAGGCCAGCCGTGTGCAGCCAGGATTCCCCCCACCAAGAAATTCCAGATTCTGACACTCTCTCCAGAGAAGTTCAACTAGTAATAAAGATTCTCTGTCTTCTGGAAATCAGGATATATTAACAATAGCCCAGGATCCTTAAATTTGATGCCAATTTTTTTTCACCAAAGCTTTTTCACATGGTACAATCTCATTCTACTCCCCTTAATGAAAAGAAAGTGGTCTTCAGCATGCCTTTCAACAGATGAAATCAAATTCATTTAGTGCCCATTGATTAAGCATCAGCCCTATACTGGGAATTGTGTTGGGCTCAAAATGATTTAGAGAACACTCTTGTCCTCAAAGAACTCTGTCTGAACACTGGGTACTGCAGATGGTCTCAACTAACTATAGTGTAAAGTACAAAATCATGCACTAGAAGTCCACGCAGAACGTAAGAGAACAAAGAGGAGGGAACAATTAATTCTGCTCCAGCAGTAGTCCACAAATATATCTTCATGCATGTGTAGGTCTTTTTTGTAATTATTTTTAACATATTTTAAAAGTCAGTGTGAGTTTGGAGGGGCAAAATGCCAAATACACATACAAAATGACAAGCAGGTAGCTTCTTATTCTAGCTTCAGTCCCTTTCAAGGGACTAAAGCTCGGATTCTAAAATTAGGTGTCAGCATCCTGCAGAACCCTCTCCCAGATTTGAAGGGAGGGGATCAGAGCACATTCCAGCCTCTGATCTAAAGAGCGGAAAAGGATGTACTGAACACAGCAACATACCTAGCCAAGTCTGAAACCAAGACAATCTACGTGCCAAAATTCTCTCTCAGCAAATCTAAGAGGGTTTGGGATATGGGGTGGAGAGAAACCCCTATCTGCCCCAGTCTCTTTCCAAATGAAATACTTGGCTGGATATTCTGAACTGTTCCAAAAATCAAGGGCCATTTAAAAGTCAGCCTTGTTTAATTTTATTCCTTGAGTCTACATATGTAGTCATGCAATGCATAGTGATGCTTCTGTCAAAGCTCAACCATACATGAGATGGTGGTTCCGTAAGGTTATAATGGAACCAAAACATTCCTATCACCCAGTGATGCCCTAGTCATCTTAATGTTGTAGCACAATTACTTTTTTAAAATATAAATGTAATGTAGCCTAAGTGTAGAGTTTTTATGAAGTCCATGGTAGAGTATAGTAATCTCTGAGGCCCTCACATTCACTCACCACTCACTCACTGACTCACCCAGAGAAACTTCCAGACCTGCAAGATTTATTCATGGTAAGTGGCCTATACAGGCGCACCTTTTAAAGATCTTTTATACCATATTTTTACTGTAACTTTTCTATGTTTAGACATGTTTAGATAGACAAGTACTTATCATTGTGTTGCCTACTGTATTCAGTACAGTAATGTGTGGTACAGACTTGTAGCCCAGGAGCCATAGGCTAGGTGTGTGGTAGACATGACTATCTTGGTTCGTGTAAGTCCACTCTATGATGTTCACACAACAATGAAATTGCCTGAGGACACATATAACATGTCCCCGTCATTAAACAACACATGACTCTCTCTCTCTGTCTCTCTCTCTCTCTCTGTATATGTGTGTGTGTATGTGTCTATTTTATTTTATTTTTTTTTTGAAATGGAATCTTGCTCTATTGCCCAGGCTGGAGTGCAATGGTGTGATCTTGGCTCACTGCAAGTTCCGCCTCCCAGGTTCATGCCATTCTCCTGCCTCAGCCTCCCCAGTAGCTGGGACTACAGGTGCCCACCACCACGCCCAGCTAATTTCTTTGTATTTTTAGTAGAGACGGGGTTTCACCGTGTTAGCCAGGATGGTCTCGATCTCCTGACCTGGTGATCCACCCGCCTCGGCCTCCCAAAGTGCTGGGATTACAGGTGTGAGCCACGGCACCCAGTCCTGTTTGTCTATTTTTAACATGATTCTCTCTAAGTTTAGGCCTTAAAACCAAGGTTTAAGAGGAGCAGATAGTTTTGGAATAGAGCATGGAGACCAAGTAAAGCAAAAGGGACACTTTAACAAATGCCTAGTGTATTGGTCTTGCCGTTGGCCTCTCCCTTTGGGTCTAGAGCATTAGATGAGATCGGTGTATGTCAACATGCTGAGCTTACAAAACACAGGATGAGGAGGGGGGTCTTAAAGGAACTGAAGAGTCAGCTTACCTTATTTTCAAAAGAAATCAAACGTCTCATCTTACGACTGTGTTTCTCAGCTTGTGTCACTTCGGCAATGTCTGGAGACATTTTTCATTGTCACGACCAAGGAGACGGGGTTGCTGCTGGCATCTCATGGGTAAAGACCAGGAATGCTACTAAACATCCCTGTTAAAAATAAAATCAAATGAAACTAATTTTTAAAGTTCTTGTGCATAGAAAAGCACCGTCCTGAAACCAGGAGATCGTAAACCAAAAATGATTAAGAGGCATGGATTATCAAGCAAGAACGAGGAAGTTGTTTATCCTTTATAAAAGTTGGTTGTCACAATCAGGGTTTTTGGACAAAAAACGATTGGTAGAAATTGATCATCTTATACTGGAAGGCAGCGTAAGTTTTGTTTGTGATTATCGGAGGAATTTATAAGAAATAATCTGAGTTAAGCTTCCCTGGCATTTGAGATTGAAGCGAGATTAAGCTTTGCTTACTTTGCCTAATTGGTTTTATCTGCCAGGAGATTGTCAAGCCTGGTCCCCATTTAATGGATCTGAGCATCCTACAATGCACTCCAGCCCCCACCACAAATACATCTCTCTCCCAGAATGTCGAGGTGGAGAAAGCGCGCCTTATGGTATTTCAACTTGGCAGGCTCAGGTGGGTCCTCCTTCTTAATGTAGAGAATTTGAGCCTCAGCGTGAACTTGGGCATTAGGGGCCATCCCCTGGACCCAAGGAGTGTTGGGAAGATCAGTGTCTGAGTGACCTGACCCCAGGCTCGGCACACGCAAGCAATTCTGTGACCTCAGGAAGGTGTGGGGCACCAACAATGTCAGACAGAGATAAGCCTGTTGGGAGTCACTTGGCATACGTGCAGTGGGTCCGCAATGATATTTAAATATGGCTGTGGATGACTTGGTTTTGTAGAATTTGGGAAGTTGCTCTTGTCTCTTTCTTCATTCTGATCCCTGACAGCAATACTTCTCAGCATAGTGATTTCCAAGCAAAGGCAATAGCCCTACAAATGTCCAGAATGTTTCCTCCCACCGTGTGTACATTCCCATGTGGATGGACACACACATGCCTGGGGGTATTTTATTAACATGGCGGAGGCATTATTTTTGATTGCCACATTTGCTGCGTGTTGCCAACTGGTATGAGCAGACAGAAAGCAGGGATACTAAACCCCCCACAGTGTGGAGGACAGTCCCATTCAACAGAAAGCACAGTCCTGCTTCCCGACATGGTACTCAAACACCCACAGGATACTGATGGAGAGGGAACACCCGCTTACAAATACGTGAGCATAAAACTTGACTCCATTCTCTATATAAATAGGAAGTATTTCTGCATAATTTTAATACAGTCAAATTGTCAAGGAATGCAATTGCCGGTTAAATCGAGGTCAGATTGTATTTTGCTTTGTCTAGAACTTTTTCAAAAGTTGTTCAACTTTCCAGAATATTCCATCACTGCACACCAGGTCATGCTCACAGCATCTGTCTTTACACGGTGCAGACCCTTCACTGTGTCCTGCAGCTCTGCTGGACGCCTGCAGAGTGGGATGCACATTGCTTTGTTATAAATCACTTTCCTTTCACTCATTATTATACGATGAAGCAGTTATACCTCTTTTGAATTATGTAAGCAGGTTATTATATTATCTACAGATTTCATTGTAGAGACAAAAGAAGGCAAAACAAAATATTTGTTTTTAATAAGGTGGCATGGGATCCAACTGCTTTAAGAAATATTGCCTTGGACAGATTAAAAACACATTCTCTTTTTCAAGAAGACCTGACTCCTTTATTTTCTGTCTCTGTTTCTTAGACCTGTCCTTCCTATCTTTTATAGATTGAGGAAACAGTTTGTGGAAGGAGTCCCTTTTTTATAGATTCTGCTACATGAAGAGTTGTAGGCATGAAATTCACACAAGGATGGAATGCCTAAGTCCAGTATCCCACTGCTCTCACTGTGGTCCAGTAAGGTCCGGCCACAGTGGCCTTCTTTGTGGTTCCAGAAACATCCAGCTGTTTCCAGTACCAGGACCTCTACTATGTGTTCAGCTGAGTCTGACTTCTTCTTTGTGCCTCAATTTCCATGTCACTTTCCTGATCATCCTAGATTACTGGATGTCCTACAGCTATTCTCTATCTCACAGTGGCTTTTGATAGCAATTGCCCAGTTTATAGTAATACATAGAGTTTTTGTCCTCTTGTGTGTTTTCTGTTAACCCCTTCAAAGTTCAAGCTTCGGTAGGACTTTTATGCATCTTTGTGTCTCTGCATCTAGCAGGCCATCTCAGGCACACAGTAGGTCCTGGATAAATATTCAGAGTGAGTGGATTATGGCATGCAGCCTGGCCAAAGCCCCAGCCTTCTGTGCATCCAGGACTCACTTTTTTTCTGCTTCTCTCAGATGCTTAGAAAGTAGAATATGCTGTCATCCTCTGGAGGTCAATGTCATCGCTTCCAGAAAATATCTGCTGGCATCATGATCAGAGACCAGAATTGGACAAGATGAGTGGGCAGACTGAACATGTAGAGCCCTCCCATGATTCAGCCCTCACCTTTGCACTCCCCCAGTTCACCCACGCTGTAGCCTATAAGTTAATGATGACAGCATCCACGTCAATGGGATATTCAGCTGTCAACGCGAAGGGACGAGAAGGCTGGCAGTTCAGTGCTCTGTCACTGGGTCTTGTCAACTTCTGACAGTCAGTCAGTCAGGGACAGCAGATTTAGTCCCAGCAGAAGAACACTGGGCTGGAAGTCAAGCCTGCAGACTGCGATGTTGTGAACTTCCTTTGAGCACCAGTGATCCTACTTGTGGTCTGTGAACTTGGGCAAAATAGCTCACCTCTGAGTTTGGGTTTCTTCAACCCTCAGCTGAGAATCATTACAATGACTTCACCCAGTTAATGGGTTGATGTGAGAATTAATTGTAATAAAGTACTTAGGGTGCCATTGTACATGGCCCAGAGCAAGCACTCAATAAATTGATAAATATGTAATGTGTTAGGAGGGAGCAGAAGGGCATACATCTTTATTAATAGTAAAAATATTACTGTGGTTTTGGAGACTCCTGTTCCCGAGTCCCCTGTGACAATGCACATGCCTTTGAAAAGATTGGTTAGTGCCCAGAAACCGACTGTGTTGCTCATTGACCTGAATTAATGCAGATATTGGAACTATTCGGAGGCGAAGGGTTACAGAAAGGAGCAGGTGAAAGGCAGTGATCTGCTTTGCCAGTCACTGCATGTTTAAAAGCCCAAGCCATGCCGTTGAAAGTCTCCAAAAAACAACACAGCTCAGGGGTTCATAGATGCCTGGTTTGTTGGTTATACAAGAATGTGGTTTCCAAAAATGTGTATTTAATGAATGAATTTGCTCATTGGGACGTTTTTGTTGAGCATCTACTATGTACCAGGTGTTTTGCTAGGCATGTGAATAAATAAAGATCTGCTATGGACATGCCTCGGAGATACTGCAGGTTCAGTTCCAGATCACCATACTAAAGTGAATCACACAATTTTTTGTGTGTGGTTTTCCAGTACATAGAAAAGTTATGTTTACACTATTCTATAGTTTATCAAGTGTGCAATAGTGTTATGTCTGAAAAGCAATTACATACTTTAGCTAAAAATAACTAAAACCAGGCCAGGTGCAGTGGCTCACACATGTAATCCCAGAATTTTGGGAGGCCGAGGCGGGCAGATCACTGCAGGCCAGGGGTTCGAGACCAGCCTGGCCAATATAGCGAAACCCCATCTCTACTAAAAATACAAAAAATTAGCCAGGCATGGTGGTGAGTGCCTGTAGTCTCAGCTATTCAGAAGGCTGAGGCGAGAGGATCACTTGAACCTGGGAGGTGGAGGTTGCAGTGAGCCGAGATCATGCCACTGCACTCCAGTCTGGGCAACAAGAGCAAGACTTGGTCTCAAAAAAAAAAAAAAAAAAAAAACAAAAACTAAAATCACTTTATTGCCAAAAACTGCTAATGAGCCTTCAGTGGGTCCTAATCGTTTTGCTATTGGAAGGTCTTACCCGACATGGACGACTGCTGACTGATCCGGGTGGTGGTAGCTGAAGGTTAGGCTGACTGTGGCAATGTCTTAAAAGTCTTGGCTGGGCGCAGTGGCTCACGCCTGTAATCTCAGCACCTTGGGAGGCCGAGGCAGGTGGATCACGAGGTCAGGAGTTCGAGACCAGCCTGACCAACATGGTGAAACCCCTTCTCTACTAAAAATACAAAAATTAGCCGGGCGTGGTGGCACATGCCTGTAATCCCAGCTGCTCAGGAGGCTGAGGCAGGAGAATCACTTGAACCCAAGAGGAGGAGGTTGCAGTGAGCCGAGATCAGGCCACTGCGCTGGGCAACAAGAGTGAAACTCTGTCTCAAAAAAAAAAAAAGTCTTAAAATAAGACAACAGTGAAGTGTCCTACATTGATTGACTCTTGTTTTCATGAAAGATTTCTCCGTAGCATGTGATGCTATTTGATAGCATTTTACTCACAGTAGAACGTCTTTCAAAATTGAAGAATCCGCTCAAAACCTGTTGTTTTATCAACTAGGTTGAAGCAATATTGTAAATCCTTTGTTGTCATTTCAACTATGTCCACAAACCACCTTTTTCATGCATATGAAACAGGTCCTCTTTTTGATGGGGTTGTTTTTTGTTTGTTTGTTTTTTACTTTAAGTTCCGGGATACACGTGCTGAACATGCAGGTTTGTTACATAGGTATACACCTGCCATAGTGGTTTGCTGCACCTATCAACCCGTCATCTAGGTTTTAAGCCCCGCATGCATTAGGTATTTATCCTAATTCTCTCCCTCCCCGTCCCCCCAACCCAACGACAGGCCCCAGTATGTGATGTTCCCCTCTGTGTCCATGTGTTCTCATTGCTCAACTCCCACTTATGAGTGAGAACATGAGGTGTTTTGTTTTCTCTTCCTGTGTTAGTTTGCTGAGGATGATAGTTTCCAGCTTCATCCAAGTCCCTGCAAAGGACATGAACTCAACTTGAAGTCCCCAGTGGCATTAGCCCCTAACAAGGGAGTCAGCATGTCCCTTGAAGCTTTGAAGCCAGGTATTGACTTCTCCTCTCCAGCTGTGAAGCTCCTAGATGGCATCTTCTTCCAACAGAAGGCAGTTTCCTCTCCATGGCAAATCTGTAGTTCAGTTTAGCCATCTTCATTGGTGGTCTTAGCTAGATCTTCTGGATAACTTGCTGCAGCATCTCCATCAGCACTTGCTGCTTCACTTTGCACTTTTATGTCATGGAGACAGTTGATTCTGTTAAGCCTTATTAATCAACCTCTGCCAACTTCCAACTTCCGTAGCTTCCTCACCTCTCTAAGATTCACAGAACTGAAGAGAGTTAGGGCCTTGCTCTGGAGTAGGCTTTGGCTTAAGGGAATGTTGTGGCTGGTTTGATCTTCTGTCCAAACCACTTAAATCTTTTTCCAGTCAGCAATAAGGTTGGTTGTTTCACATTCTTATCATTTGTGTATTCACTGGTGTGGCACTTTTAGTTTCCTTCAAAAACTTCTCCTTTGCATTCACAGCTTGGTTAGCTATTTGACACAAAAGCCTAGATTTTGGCCTATCACCTCTTTTGACATGCCTTCCTCATGAAGGTTAATCATTTCTAGTTTTGATTTAAAGTAAAAGATGGAGGAGCCTTCCTTTCCCTGGAACACTTAGAGGCCATTGTAGGGTCAGTAACTGGTTTCATTTCACTACTGTCGTTTGTCAGAAATAGGAAGGCCCGAGGAGAGGGAGAAGGATGGAGGAACAGCTGGTTGGTGGAGCAGGCAGAACACAGATGACATTTATTGATTAAGTTCTTCATCTTATGGGCACAGTTCATAGTGCCCCCAAAGAATTGCAGTGACACAGAAGATCAATGATCACCATACAGATACTGTAATAATAATAACTTAAAATATTGCATGAATTATCAAAATGTGCCAGAGACACAAAGTGAGCACATGTTGCTGGGAATAAGGAGCCGATAGACTTGCTCAATGCAGGGTTGCCATAAACCTTCAATTTGTTAAAAAAAAAAAAAAAGTAATATCTACAAAACACGATAAAGTGAAGTGCAACAAAATAAGAGGTGCTTTTCCTGGAGCCTAATTAGGATTCCTAATTAAGTGGGATTTGATTGCAAGGAAGAGAAACTCACTTCTGCTTGCTTATGCCATGAGGGATTTAGAGCAAAGATCCAGATAATAAACATGAGTCAAAGACATGTGGTCAGCTTTCCTAGATCCCAGAAATGCTCATGCACCCATTTTCTCTATCTGAGCCTCTCTGTGTTCTCATGATGTCATCTCTACTCTCTTCTACTTCTTTCTTTCCTCTTATTCCACAGACCAACTTTTGTGGTTATTTATTGACTTATGCATAGCCCATCCTGGTTACCTCAAAATTCTCACAACTGACAAGCTTCCTCTGTGTTTCTAAGGACAAAAGGTGCTGTGACAACTTGTGGGTCATTTTCAGGCCTTTGGAGGAGCAACCAGTTTCATAAATGTCAATTTCTTATGTCAGAAGCAGTTTATAGAATTGTAAAAATAATTTTCATGTTGTCAATTTCATGTTGTCATGAGACATGATGCCGAAACTCTTTACGATTTGCACAATATTTATAACCCCCTTAAACAATGGGGAGTTTTGGAGACACCAATACAGCCACTTTATTTGTGCAAGCAGCGATGTCCTCACCTGAAAAATAAGGACAAGAAAAAGTACCCATCACAGAGAATCACCAGGAGGATGAAGTAAATCAGGAAACATAAGCCCAACCCCTAGTATATGCCTGGCGCAAAGTAGGGAGGGCTTCACAAATGATCATTCCGAGGACCTCAGAGTTTCTCTTACATAAACTACACTACACGTGTTGGCAGTCTCCTCAGTTGCCTAACATAACTGACCACACCAAAAATTTAAAAAAACAAAATCTTAGAAGCTGCCTTGGTAACTTTACAAAGAAACCTCCTACAAAATCTTGCACAGTTGCCCAGGGGAATTGTCTGTGAAGTTTATCATCCAAATGCGCTCATCTTATGTGACTGTTCTCCCAAAACAAATCGCTTTTATAGTCCACACCACAAATTTAGAACCCCATTTTATGAGCTGTCTATAGAGAGATCTGGAGATGATTCCCTGCTTGATTGCCTAGGAATAAAGATTGATCCGTCCAGTATCTCCCCATGTATAGATTCTAGGTTGATTCACATACTGTACACAGGCCGGGCAGCCATATTTCATCCCTCTGGAAAATTACATAGTCAATACCTTTTCCACTCAGCATATCTTACAAAGGCTTGAAGGGGATTATGACCCCCCAGTGCAGACTTTGGAAAGGAGCAGGCAATTCACAGAAGTTAACTTTGCATCCAACAGAGACCTAAGGTTTTGACTTCAAGTTTCTTAGTATCACAATGCAAAATATTTTTTGTATTTCACTTTGAAGGTGACTCTGTGGTTTAAATCTTCAACAGAGACGACAAAGGACAAAACTAAAGGACAGAAGCTAAAGTCTGTCCATTCTGTTTTCTAAAATCTCCTTTTTCCCTTATAAAAGAGGGAGTGCCACACCAGAGTGGCAGCAATGACCAGTTACTGGTTCCCACTCTCTGGGTCCGGTGAGGTGGTCACTGCCGTATACCTGAGACAGAGCAGGGGCTCAGTGATTGCTTGAGTGATGGATGGACTGTACATTGTGTTATCTTGTTAGAATGTTCTAATTTTAAAATTCTCAGTTACCCTATAGGAGAGGTTCTCAAAATTTAACATTCATCCATATCACCTGAAGGTCTTGGTAAAACACAGATGGCTGGCCCCCCCTCCAGAATTTCTGATTCAGTAGTTATGGAGAACTTGCATTTTTAACAAGCTCCCAGGTGACACGGGGGGCACATCTTGAGAGCTTGAGAAAGGTTATCACAGAGTTGGCATCCTATGAATAAGTTTTAAGGGTCAGAACCAGAAATGTCTACCATGAGTGAAAACCAAAAATGGAAGACACTTTTCATCTCTTGATTCGAGGAGTGAGTAAAGGGCTGCTCCACTAACGGAAAACAGAACGTCACTCTTGCTTTCTGATTTATTGAGCAGGTAGTAGAGACTTTTGAGGCAAACAGCAGTGCTCTTTCTCTTAGATCTGAAGGTCCTTGGTTTGGGTACCAGTTTTCTTCATTAAGTTGAAAAGAGAAAAATTTATTTTGTTGTTGTTGCTTTAATGTCTTAGGTGATGTGCAGGTTTGGGGCACAGTGTAGGAGACAGAGTGTCTGTCACTCCACCTGTCATTACCACTTGGCTTCCTTCAGAGAATGCCATATGAAAACAAGCAGTGTCAAGAAACCAAAACATCTGTTTCCATCTGGAAGAAGCCTGATTTTAAAAACATGACATTAAAATTGATTTATCAAATCATAAAAATGAAGCAAAATAAAAGGCACCAACACCTTCAGCTTGGAGCACTTAGAAATATATGGCTGTCAGAGGGAAGAGTTGTTTTCAAAGTATCTTGTGTAAAATATCTTACGAAGTAGAGAGACAGAAAGAGGAGGCCACTGGAGGCATCAAGAGGAAAAAGTATAATCACTGAGATAAAACTGGGGAACTATTTATGGATCAACTTGCTTTTTTATTAATGTCTTGTGACTTTTATTTTGAGGATACAAAAAGGTAAAACAAAAAAAAAAATCTTATTGACTGAAGGACTTCAAGGCAGCCCTTGGAGCTTGTCTGAGGCTGGAGGTGTAGGCAACTTGTGTGTGTTTAATTGTCTTCCTGTGGATGCAGAGATGCTGCCTTGATGATATTTGCATCCACGTCTTTCAGGTCTTCTTTGCAATACAGAATGCTAATAGGTGTCTGTCAGGGAAAGAAATTAGGAATGTGGTTTTCCATCTTCTGTGTCTCCATTTGTCACAGTGCACAAAGGAATCAGCCAGGGTCAGAGTCTACAGATAGAGATGGAGCTCATTTCTTTGCTCACCACCCCTCTTCTTTCTGCAACAGAAAGAAAAAAGCCACTCCTCCGAGTCAGAAGCCAGGGGAGAAAACACACACACACACACACAAAGCTTTGTGTAATGCACAGTAATGATAGCCCTTGAAAATGTCTTTGCTTTATCTACTAAATGCCAGCCTCAGATGCAGAGTGGCTGAAGTGGAGGAGCTGGCCTGGGTAGAAAAATATATTTCAGGAGTGTCAATTCTGTCCTCAGCTGTTCCTGAATCCAAGTGTCACGTGTGTGCTCTTCTCAGCACATTGAGAGCTTCGTTATCTGTTACCTAGGCTATTGAAATGCTTTTCGGACATTTACCCAGGGTATTTTACACACAGCTGCTTGATTAATCCCTCTAAAGCGCGGTTCTGGGCTTGCCTCCTTCCGAGTGAAAAGCTTCAGTGGCCTTCCATTGCCTTCTGAGCAAATTGGAATCCTGCTGCCTAGCAATCAGGGCCCTTTGGGACCTGGATCTAACCTGTATTTCCAAACATTTAGTCCATTACAGCTGTTCAAGCACAGAACAGGTCATTCTGCCATGCCTTCCCACACAGAGTGTCCCCACATGCCTAAATTCTTTCTGGTTTTCAAGCCAAATTCAAATGACTTGACCTTGGCATGTCTGCTCTGTCATCATCCCAAATTCCTGTGATACCCGAGGGTGCAGAGGAGCCTCCTCCCTTTTAATCTCCTCTGGGTTCCACCACAGTAGCAGGTGCAAGTGATGTCACCCAGCCCCAGCCAATCAGAATGCTCAACCTCTTGGCCACAGTGATTGGTCAGGGATGGTCATGTGACTCAAGCATGGCCAATGAAATTCCATCCCAGGACATTGGCTGGAGCTATAGGGAAGCCACCCATCTTTCCAGTGGGGACCTGGAACTGGTTTCTCTTAAGCCCCCAGCTTCCTTTCACCATCTTTGAGAGTCTGCTTGGAAATTGAGATAGAGAAAAGCAGAGCCAAGAATATGTCCTGATGATAAAGTTTCAATCCTGGATTCAACCATGTTTGGATCCAGACCCACCCTTTGAATTTCCCAGTCATATAATCCAACAAATTACTATTCTTTGGTCTAAGCCAGAGTTGCATTAGTGTCTGTTTCTTGCAAGCACTTACAAAAACAGTACTTATTTTATCTGTTGGACTTTAATTACAGATGCATATTTTAAATTTTATTCTGTTATTCATTTGACGTATATTTTTATTAGGCACCTACCGTGTGTCAGATCACAGATTCAGCTCTGAGGGACTGTTCCTGCCTTTTAAGGACTATTCATCCAACCAAAAGGGGAGATGTAAATAATTACAGCAGTGCAGAGTAGGTCAATAGACACCTTGGAGAACTTACTCTGTTCATGCAAACCTGGATATATCTGCATAGTCTTCCTGGAGATGGTGACGTTGAAGCTGAGTGTTGAAGGATGAAGATGAGCTCCGGAAACAAGCTACAGGGGAAGGATGGAAAGAGCATTCAAGCCTAAGGAAATAATACATGAGAACAAGTAAGCAATGAGCAGAGTGAATGGGAAACTGCAAGTCATTCATCATAGTCAGAAGACTGTGTGCTGTTCCCTCTTGGAGCCTGAAGTGCCTGTCGAACAGTGTCTTCTCCAGGGAATGTACCTAATAAGTGTGTGTTAAGTGAATGAGCTAATGAGTGAACATTATTGGCAAGTGTTATTATAGGTGATAGAGGATTCATAACAGTTGTTATGAGGAGCAATGATTAATTGAGGCTTAGCTAAAATAATTGTTATTTAAAAAGGAAAAGTTGCCAGGCACAGTAGTGCGTGCCTGTGGCCCCAGCTACTTGAGAGGCTTAGGACGGGGGCGGGGAGGATTGCTTTAGCCCAGGAGTTCAAGGCTGCAGTGAGCCATGATCGTGCCACTCCCTGCACTCCAGCCTGTGTGACAGAGTGAGACCACATCTCTAAAAAAAAAAAAAAAAAAAAAAAAAAAAAAAAAAAAAAAAAAAAAGGAAAAATCTACCAGCCACTGTTATACCAGTTCTCCGTGTAACACCAACTTTCTAGTGACCTGCATGAGAGAGCAGAAACATTCTTCTTTGTCATTTATTTGGAATGAATCTGCAGAAAATAATGATAACAATAACAAAAGCATTATCAATAATAAATCTATAGTGATGACTTCTTCTTGCTTGTTATGTGCTAAGGAATGTGCCACGCAATTTACTTGCATTGTCTCAAACACCCTTTACATTAATCCTGTGCCGTAGATATTATGAATGTCTCCACTTTAAAATGAGGAAATGAGGGCCAGGTGCAATGGCTCATGCCTGTAATCCTAGCACTTTGGGAGGCTGAGGCAGGTGGATCACTTGAGGTCAGGAATTCGACACCAGCCTGGCCAACGTGGTGAAACCCCATCTCTACTAAAAATACAAAAATTAGCTGGGTGTGGTGGTACGTGACTGTGATCCCAGCTACGTGGGAGGCTGAGGCACAAAAATCACCTGAACCTGGGAGGCAGAGGTTACAGTGAGCTGAGATAGCTCCACTGCACTCCAGCCTGGGTGACAGAGCAAGACTGTCTCATAAAATAAAATAAGGAGTTCACTCATGATTTGGGCTCTCTGTTTGTCTGTTATTGGTGTATAAGAATGCTTGTGATTTTTGTACATTGACTTTGTATCCTGAGACTTTGCTGAAGTTGCTTATCAGCTTAAGGAGATTTTGGACTGAGACAATGGGGTTTTCTGATATACAATCATGTCATCTGCAAACAGGGACAATTTGACTTCCTCTTTTCCTAATTGAATACCCTTTATTTCCTTCTCCTGCCTAATTGCCCTGGCCAGAACTTCCAACACTATGTTGAATAGGAGTGGTGAGAGAGGGCATCCCTGTCTTGTGCCAGTTTTCAAAGGGAATGCTTCCAGTTTTTGTCCATTCAATATGATATTGGCTGTGGGTTTGTCATAGCTAGCTCTTATTATTTTGAGATACGTCCCATCAATACTTAATTTATCAAGAGTTTTTAGCATGAAGGGTTGTTGAATTTTATTGCTTCAAAGAGAATAAAATACTTAGGAATCCAAATTACAAGGGACGTGAAGGGCCTCTTCAAGGAGAACTACAACTCACTGCTCAATGAAATAAAAGAGGATACAAACAAATGGAAGAACATTCCATGCTCATGGGTAGGAAGAATCAATATCGTGAAAATGCCCATACTGCCCAAGGTAATTAATAGATTCAATGCCATCCCCATCAAGCTACCAATGCCTTCTTCACAGAATTGGAAAAAACTACTTTAAAGTTCATATGGAACCAAAAAAGAGCCCGCATTGCCAAGTCAATCCTAAGCCAAAAGAACAAAGCTGGAGGCATCATGCTACCTGACTTCAAACTATACTACAAGGCTACAGTAACCAAAACAACATGGTACTGGTACCAAAACAGAGATATAGATCAATGGAACAGAACAGAGCCCTCAGATATAACGCCGCATATCTACAACTATCTGATCTTTGACAAACCCGAGAAAAACAAGCAATGAGGAAAGGATTCCCTATTTAATAAATGGTGCTGGGAAAACTGGCTAGCCATATGTAGGAAGCTGAAACTGGATCCCTTCCTTACACCTTATACAAAAATTAATTCAAGATGGATTAAAGATTTAAATGTTAAACCTAAAACCATAAAAACCCTAGAAGAAAACCTAGGCATTACTATTCAGGACATAGGCATGGGCAAGGACTTCATGTCTAAAACACCAAAAGCAATGGCAACAAAAGCCAAAATTGACAAATGGGATCTAATAAAACTCAAGAGCTTCTGCACAGCAAAAGAAACTACCATCAGAGTGAACAGGCAACCTACAAAATGGGAGAAAATTTTTGCAACCTACTCATCTGACAAAGGGCTAATATCCAGAATCTACAATGAACTTAAATAAATTTACAAGAAAAAAACAACCCCATCAAAAAGTGGGCGAAGGATATGAACAGACACTTCTCAAAAGAAAATATTTATGCAGCCAAAAGACACATGAAAAAATGCTCATCATCACTGGCCATCAGAGAAATGCAAATCAAAACCACAATGAGATACCATCTCACACCAGTGAGAATGGCAATCATTAAAAAGTCAGGAAACAAGAGGTGCTGGAGAGGATGTGGAGAAATAGGAACACTTTTACACTGTTGGTGGGACTGTAAACTAGTTCAACCATTGTGGAAGTCAGTGTGGCGATTCCTCAAGGATCTAGAACTAGAAATACCGTTTGACCCAGCCATCCCATTACTGGGTGTATACCCAAAGGACTATAAATCATGCTGCTATAAAGACACATGCACACGTATGTTTATTGCGGCACTATTCACAATAGCAAAGACTTGGAACCAAGCCAAATGTCCAACAATGATAGACTGGATTAAGAAAATGTGGCACATATACACCATGGAATACTATGCAGCCATAAAAAATGATGAGTTTATGTCCTTTGTAGGGACATGGATGAAGCTGGAAACCATCATTCTCAGCAAACTATTGCAAGGACAAAAAACCGAACACCGCATGTTCTCACTCATAGGTGGGAATTGAACAATGAGAACACATGGACACAGGAAGGGGAACATCACACATCGGGGCCTGTTGTGGGGTGGGGGGAGCGGGGAGGGATGGCATTAGGAGATATACCTAATGCTAAATGACGAGTTAATGGGTGCAGCACACCAACATGGCACATGTATACATATGTAACAAACCTGCATGTTGTGCACATGTACCCTAAAACTTAAAGTATAATAATAATAATAATAATACATAAATAAATAAATAAATAAATAAATAAATAGGACAGGGATCCCAGGACACAGGCTGTTTTGGGTTGCTTATGTTTTTTGCCATATGGAAAGCTGAGATAGGCTTACCTGTGAATGTGAAGTTTAAAGATAATGATTATTGCTACATCTGTCAGTATTTCTGGAGACCCAAAATAAAATGGCACTCATGAATGCTCAAAAAAAATAAATAAAATAAAATAAGGAAATGAGGCTCCAAGATGTTGTGCAACTTCACACAGTTCCTGCATCTTCTAAGTAGATACACTTATTCAGAAGCTCATAAGAGAGAAAAGCAGAGTTTGATTCTGGACAGCACTGTGTAGGTTCAGCGCTCTTCTCCAGAACAATCTGATAGACTGTCTTGGAAACAAGTGATGCTGTCTAGATTCAGTTTTCCTGTGTGTGTCCCTTGGATCAGATTCTTTAAGACTTTCAAATGTTAGGGTCAGTTTGAAATCTCTGGAGTTTATTGTGGGCTCCGAGGACTCCCAGGCTGGGTTCATTGAGTCTCAGGCAAAAGAACCTACCTCTCTCTTTGCCCTTCTCATACAAGCAGTGGGAGACACGAGACTGGCCTGCGTATGGAAGACAAGTCTTATTACTTGAAAGGCTTGGAATCCAATGGGTTAATTCTCTATTGCCTCAACCTCCCATTCTCAAAGTCTCGTTTGTAATCAATTTGAAATTATTAATTAGACAAAATAATTATTTACTACCATATCCCAAGGGTAGCCAAAACTTAATTGCCAGAGCCTTGTTTGTGCAAGCAATTTCTGTATAACAAAGAGGAATATTTAGTGCCATTGTGAAATTAATTGGGTAGTTATACTTCTCCCCCCACAATAGTCAGAGGGCTGTCAGAGTGGTAGTGTGAATAGTGTTTGTTAACTACATAGCTTTGATAATAATGTCCTTGTAGGAGCAGTGGTAAAATCCTGTCCTAAGCACTGTGGAATTTTTATCTTACATATGTGAAAATTAGAACTCAGATTGTAACAATTTTTTTTTGTCTGTAATACTATTTCAATTTCTAAAACTCCTTGCTGAGTCTAAGGTGAAAATCAAGCCATACTCCTTTCTTCAGGATACCTTTGAGCGTCTCTTTTTGTGTTCCTATCTCTGACTCAGTCTATCTGCCTGTCTCTGTGTTTCCCTGAGCGTCTCTTCCAATGCAGTGTGCTTCCTAAGTGCGTCTTTATTCCACATCCCCGACACTCCCTTTCGTCAATAACTTCAGAACAAGAAGCGCCTTTAATAATCTTACCCCAAAGATTCACTCTGCCTCAGTTTGTTTATTTCTCCCCTTCTCTCCCACCATTCCTGTCTAAGGACTTTTCTTACAGTAGAAAAGCCTGGGTTTTTCTATTATTTAGAACTTACTCAAATCACAGCTCACAGCCTGTTGGCTCTGTGGCCTTGAGTGAGTTACTTAAATCTTTTTGCCCAATTTTTAAAATGTGTAACATGAGATAATAATACCTATCCCCTACGATTTTCAATCATCAAAGGAGATAACCTTTGTGGAATTCCTAGAATGTCTCCTTGTTCTTTCTTAGTCTTCCTGAACTTATCCGTATTTGGTAACAGTGTTCATGCATGTGTGTACCCATATGGCTATTTCTCTATCTATGTACCTGCTGATTATCTATCTACTAATTAGCTATCCCATCCATCCATCAGTCCGCCCGTCCATCCATCCATCTATCCACCCACCCACCCACCCACCTCTCTACCTACCTTCCCGCCTAGTCATATCTTTCAATCACCTATCACTTGGTTCCTCTTTTCTCCTCTTTCCTTGGTCTCTTAGCTGAGCTCACTCATATGTTCAGCTTCTCTAGTCTTCCAGTTTGATGTGAAGACCTGTAAGAAGATGAATAAGTCAAAACAATGATGAGATCCTAGATCAGTCTATTCATGTGATACAAGGAAAAATAATCTGTCTTGTTTTCCTGGGCTCTCTTTGTCTTCTTTAGTTTTTCATACCAGTCCATCTTCATCTTTCTACAAACTAAACCCTTCCTCTCCCCTCTTAGGTGGCTGGGCTAGCAGAGCCTTTCCGTCTGGTTTCTCAGTCCACATTTCTACTCCTGTTCTTTGCCATCTGCATCCCCTGAGATTCTCAGGTACAATTGTATACCTGGGCTTGGTTCCCAGAGTCCCCTTTCTGGGTCCTTCTCCTGGCTCTTGTCATCTTTCTGGACTAAGACTTTCACCCTGGGTAAGATCTCTTGAGCTGCAAGCCTCTGTGGTGGATTTTTCTATTCTTCCCCTCCTCCACCCAGCTCATTCCTTCTGCACCTCTACTCTTTCTAGTTCATGTTGACTGTGGTCCCCACCACCCTCAACCCTTATCAGCAGAGTAGCATTAAAACTTCCAGCTCCGCCATTATTCTAACCCATACTGGGAACCTATACCCATGTCAAGGGTCACTAAAGTCCACCTCTGGCTGCCAGTATCAGCATAACCCACATAATCCACACTTGATGTCCAGTGATGTGCAGTCACACATTTGCTTCCCAGATGCACTTTGGCTTCTCTGTCTCTGGCAGTCTGGATTGCCTTTAAATCCACAGTCATCTGTAAATGAAGGTGCCCATCAGTGCCCCAGTGGGAAAAAAAAAGTTCTTGATGATCCCCTTAAGCCATTAACTAACTGAATTGCATAAGGACTAATCACACACACACATAGAAACACATAAGAAACATGTCATATATAGCACTCTGTCTTCAGAGATCCATCCCTGGTCATCGTCATGTGGTATTTGGCTCTCCCGAATGCAAACTTTTTAATAGGAGCTAACATTTTTTTGAGCGCTAACTGGATGCCCAATGCAGTTAGAACTCATTTATATACATTAGAGAATTTAATCTACTGCAGTCTCATGCCACATGTGCTAATTATGATGCCATCTCATGGATGAGAGAACAGTCACACAGAGGTAGGTAACAAGCCCATCATCACAAAGCGGGTGTGTTCTAATAGATGTCACAGCTGCTACTCAGATCCCGGCAGCCTGAGTTCATGTTCCTATGCAGGAATCCCTTCCTGACATTTCTCAAGGACCTTATCCGCTTTTTCAAATCTCCAATCCTGGAAATAATCAGTGGAGAAATTGAGGAGATGTGTGGCAGTTCTCAAGTGTGAATGAAACCTTAACTATCCACAGAGATGTGTCTAGATCAGAAGAATCCACGGACATCACGGGAATACACAAGCACAGGGAACACAGAGAAGGGCATCCAGCATCAAAGTTAACATTTGGGGTCACTGGGACAGGAGCACGTAGAAGTAGAACCCGTATGATTTCATGGGTCAGTCTTGATTGTAGTTGTGGCCGTACTATGATGTCTGCTGGTGGCTCTGTCTGCTGCCAAAAGTGAGTCATTGTTGCTGATAAAAGAAAAGCTAATACACTTGCAGTCATAGTATACTTTATACACACTCCAGGAAGGATGTATCAAAAATAACACACCTTGGAAGCAAGTAAGTCCCTAAATTGGCAATTTTGACACCCAGTTCTATGCTTCTATGCATCACTGCTAATCTTAATATGAAATCCTAATCGGATGTTTTCTAGAAACTGATGTTTTACTGTGTTTGAATGCGTGCTGGTGTTTTACAGTGTTTGCCTGTTCACTATAGGCTACAGATATTTGTAAATGCAACTTAACTGAATATTTCTGATCTGTTATACATGGATAAAAGTGAGTAAAAAATATGAAAAACATTAAAAATGTTTTACGAATAACCCATGATTTCATGAATCCTTGAGAATTCCCGGGAATTTCCTTTTCTTCTCTGAATTCCAAATATTTACATCCCTTAAAATTCAGAAACACTAACTTGAACACAGAGCCTTGCTCCTGGCCACTTCTCTAGAATTCCTCTTGGCACACTTTTGTCATTGTTCAAAATAAGTATTCCCATCTGAAATGGAACGCATCTTATTATGGTCTGTCTTGCTCACTGGAATGGAAGCTTCAGGAGAGAAAGGCTCTGTCTGTCTCATTACCTGCATAGCATCAGTACCTAGAACAACTCCTGGGAAGTTCTCTGAGCTCCATAAACGTTGGAGAGATCAGTGACTGAATTTGCATGACTCATTGTTAAGTGTGTCCAAAGAAATCATCGCAGAAGAGGAAAGATTTTCTAAACCTGAAGACTGCACAAAACAAATGCTTTCTTGATATTTTCACTGCAGACAGGCTCCTCTCATGAAAGTCCAGCGATTACCAGGCCTCACTCTGCCCTCATTTCCAGGTGCAGTGCTGAGCCATCCTGGAACATTAGTCAAGCAGGGTCTCACCATGAGCCAAGGTGAAGGGAAAGTCACAGAGACCTTCAGGGAGGAGGGAAGAAGTGTTCCTGGTGCCATTACAACCCGCTGAGCACAGAGCCCTGATGTGCTTATTCTGGAAGCATGTGATGTTCCAAATCTAGTTCAGCAAAAGCTAGCCTTAGGATTTTTCTTGGTAATTGAGAAAAATGCCTTTTCTTTTTCTGTATAATGGAGAGAGTGGAGACTGAGGTTTCTGAGATGCCTTCCAGCTCTGACATCCAAGGTTCAATGGGTCTTGGATACCACCCCGTGAGCTGAGTGTCATCTCTCTCCACTTCAACTGGGTGAAACCGTGTCAGAAATCAAGAGCTGATTTACGTGTGTGTTCCTTCCCTGTCTTCGGCGCATCGGCCGAATATGAGCCTGCTCAGGGAAATAATTTAGCACCTGCTAGGGGCCCCGTCTGAATTCCATTGTTTAGCCCACTGCCAATTTCCTGGACTATTTAATTCCTAGCTGTCAGGTTGTGAGTTCAAATCCCCTTAGGTCCAAGTTTCATTAGCGGTTTTTACAGATCTATTTCTCTCTCTGTGTGATGCCCACAGTCTCACTGTGTAATTATCCTTATCAGACCAGACACATCTGATTAAACCATTTGAGACGGTCTTTTCTTAGAAAAAGCAGCAAATCTTAACAAATTTAGCTTGTGTCTTATGGTATCATTATCAGTGAACTTAAACTCTATCTAAAAGACAAAAAAAAAAAAACCTCTGCCCACTCTGATATAGGCAAATGCTAGCTTGTGAAAGGCCAACACCATTTTTTATTGTTTAAATTTTTTATATCCTTTGCAGTGGAGAGGGAGGACTTACACCCAAAGATTAGTAGCCCAGCTGAGACTTTTGCTCCTTTTATTGTTGTTGCAGTCAAGAACTCAGCAGAGAAGAGAAGAGACACTCAGCTAGGGAATAGAGGAAAATTTAGTGGAGGGACTATTTACAGAGATGTGGGCACCATGTAAGACCCAAGAGGGGACGTTGAGGCACCAGAGACTAGAGGAGCTGTCTCCTTTGTGTCTGAAAGGACAGGGGAGAGTACGATATTATCAGAGGCTCATCAGAGCTGGAGGCCTGGAGGAAGTGCCCGTGGGTAGGTGTTTCTCTAACCATGGAGAAGCACAGCTTCTGTCCAAGATCAGGCAATGCACCAGGGAGGAAGTGGGGAATCCATGCCTGATATGGTTTGGATCCGTGTCCCCACCCCAATCTCATGTCAAATTGTAATCCCCAGTGTTGGAGGGGAGACCTGCTGAGGGGTGATTGAATCATGGGATCAGACATCCGCCTTGCTGTTCTCATGATAGTGAGTGAGTTCTCATGAGATCTGGTTGTTTGCAAGTGTGTGGCACCTCCCTCTTCACTCTCTTTCTCTCTCCTCCTCTGCCATGGTAAGACATGCTTCCTTTTTCTTTGCCCTTCCGACATGATTGTAAGTTTCCTGGGGCCTCCCAGCCATGCTTCACATATGGCCTGTGGAACTGTGAGTCAATTAAACCTTTTTTCTTTATTATTATTATTATACTTTAAGTTTTAGGGTACATGTGCACAACATGCAGGTTTGTTACATATGTATACATGTGCCATGTTGGTGTGCTGCACCCATTAACTCGTCATTTAGCATTAGGTATATCTCCTAATGCCATCCCTCTCCCCTCCCCCCTACCCCACAACAGGCCCCGGTGTGTGATGTTCCCCTTCCTGTGTCCATGTGTTCTCATTGTTCAATTCCCACCTATGAGTGAGAACATGCGGTGTTTGGTTTTTTGTCCTTGCAATAGTTTGCTGAGAATGATGGTTTCCAGCTTCATCCATGTCCCTACAAAGGACATAAACTCATCATTTTTTATGTCTGCATAGTATTCCATGGTGTATATGTGCCACATTTTCTTAATCTAGTCTGTCATTGTTGGACATTTGGGTTGGTTCCAAGTCTTTGCTATTGTGAATAGTGCCGCAATAAACATACGTGTGCATGTGTCTTTATAGCAGCATGATTTATAATCCTTTGGGTATATACCCAGTAATGGGATGGCTGGGTCAAACGGTATTTCTAGTTCTAGATCCCTGAGGAATCGCCACACTGACTTCCACAATGGTCGAACTAGTTTACAGTCCCACCAACAGTGTAAAAGTGTTCCTATTTCTCCACATCCTCTCCAGCACCTGTTGTTTCCTGACTTATAAACTGCCCAGTCTCAGGTAGTTCTTTATAGCAGTAGAGAAAAGTCTAATACGATGCTCCCTACTCTCTTTTCTTTTACCTGTTAATATCCTGCTAGTATTTTCCTCTGGCTGAAACCAACCAGAAACACAAAACCAGGAACCCGAGAGATGCAGCTCGTAGAGGAGAGAAAACAAGAGTGGACTGGGATGACCATTGGGTGGATGAGGAATCAATAGAGAAACAAACAGTTCCATCTGCCGTTTATGGGTAAAAGAGAGCAGATGAAGAAGACATGGTTACCTATGGCTTGGTGATTTGGCCACTTCCCTTTTCTGGGACAAACTCAGATTGTCAATTTTGTGAACAAAGAACAGTTTTTATTCTACCTGCATCATGAGAGCCACATGGAGGGACAGCTCCATTTGCCCCTGGAAGAATCTGGCAGACACTGGGAAGTCAGCGGTAAGAAAGAAGTGAAGATATTTGGGTTGGTCAATGTCAAGCCATAGCATCCTGGGAGACAGCTTCACCAGTAGTGGGAGAACTAGAGACTCAACTTCCATCTGTTCTCTCTCCTCAGCCATGGTCACTGGATTATAATAATAATGACAACAGTGATAAAATTGGTGGTAACAGCAGGTAACGTTTGCTGAGTGATGTCCCTGTACCTGGCACTGTGCTCATATACTCTCTTATTGGTGATCTTGAGAAAGGACCACTAAAGTTATCTCTAGTTTAGACATTCAGAAATGGCATTAGTGGGGAGAGTAATATATACACACATGATTAACAACTGGCAAAACCAAAGTCTAAAACAGAATTTTTTATTTTACTTCAAAGGTTTTGTTTTAACTTCTCCAATATCCTACCTGCCCATCCACCCGGTCACATGGTTCTGTCTGCTAACATCTCCTGAAACTATTCACCTCCTGCCATTGTATCTTGCCTGGATTATTGCAATAGCCACTTAAATCATCCCCCTGCCTCCACTGTCTCTCCTCTTGAGTCTATTCTTCACATAGAGAGTAGGGTTGTCCTTTAATTAAAAAATGGAGTCAGTGTATAACCCTGTATTAAAACTCTCTGGCTCCCCAGAGGACACAGTTTAACCTCCTTTTTATTAGACATGGTCTCTTCTAATATGGTCTAAACCCATTTTACAAGCAGCATCTCCAGACATGCTCTTTTATGCTTTCTAAGCTCCAGCTGTACATTGACCTTCTTCCAAGACACATAATGTGCTCCTGAGCCACCGTGCCTTTGCACACACTGTAAATCCTGTCTACAGTCCCCTCCTTCCCTTTCTGTCCTTGGAGAATTCCTGGTAATAATACAATACCCAGTGAAATGGTGCCCTCCTTAGAAGCCTTCCCCAGCTCCTTCTCCCAAAGCTATTTTCATTCTCTTTCATGTTTTTACTACTATTTATGTTTTGTCATCAAATTGCATTATAATCACGTTATATACGTGTGCTTCCCCCTCAAATCTGTGTTTTTTAAAAGAGTAACTCTATCATCCTACATACATCATCTCATTTGGTTCAAAACCACGATATAAGATAAATGCTATGATTATCCTTAATTAAAGTTGATGAAATAGAGACTCAGAAAGGTTAAGTACCTTGTCCAAGGATGCAAAGCCTGTACATGATGGACCTGGGGTCTGGATCCAGGATGTCTACCTCCAGAGCTCTGCTCATTCCTACTACTTTAAGGCATTGTTCTTGTCTCAATGCTCTGAGTGTCTTATTCCCATGGCTTTATAGCCTGTCTTTGAATACACTTTCATAATGCTGGAACCTAATAGCATGCTTATTGGATAGACGCAGTTTCCCTTCCAGAATCAGCAGCAGAATTATTCATTGGTGAACACTCTGAGCTTTTGGTCACATGCATCTGTCTGCTGCAGAAGTACCACATGTGGTCCTGAGAGACGGGGCTGAACCATGAGTGTTGATTTGGACCCTTTTTAAGCTTTCTTCGGGTTGACTGTTAATTAGTTGGGTTTCTTCCACTTACATTTGGTTGTCCTTAACTAGAGAAGGGAGGTCACTACCAGGATATACAGCCATGGAGTTCATCAAGGAAAACAGACTGACTGCCTGCCATCTTGGATTGTAATGGCACTTGTGGATGGCTCAGAGCTAAGTGATGACAAACTGGAGATGAGAGGCAGAGACACGGACAGAAAGTCAATCCTCTTATGGTGGAATCAGTTCTTTTGTAGACCCCGCTGTCCTTGGTTCCTGCAACAGCTAAAAAGGTGATTTCTGAAGAGAAACCTCTTACTGTTTTGAAATGCAAATGCAAGGCTTCTTAAGCTTGACTTACACATGAACTCAAGGGCCATTTGGTTTTGCATGTTGTTAAAAATATTGTCCACTTGCCTGTAAAGTATCATTGTGTCTTGGATGCCTTAGCTTAACCATCTGACAGCTCCTTTATCCCCCAACTGGAAGAAAAATAGGAGACTTCTTAAAGCCAGTTACAGCCCCTTATGGGATGTTCTCACAAGGAAAAATCTGAATAAGAAACCCCTGCCTTGACTTCCTCTCTGACATTATTGATCCTGTTGGCTTTGGTTCCCACATCTGTCACCTGAGCCACACCCTCTACACCATTAACATGGAAATGGAACTTTGATACTGAGAGGAGTGCCTTACACCAAGACCTCTAAATCTGAAGTCTAATCTTTTCCATAATTCCATAGTGTAGTCTCAATAGCAATGCTTGGACCTGTCATTCAGTTAAGTGCATAGTATTCAGTGCACTCTGCTTAGCACTCGGTAGGAAACAAAGTTCAATGGGACACAAAAGCTAACCTCAAAGAATTAAATTCTGGGCAGAAGGATAATCAAACTAGACAGAGATTTATAATACATGGTGTAAGCCAAGTGGTGCCATAACATGAACATTGCTGTAGTTGCTGCCTGGTACCCATTTTAGAAGATAACTCCAACTGGTCTTTGGAAAACCATCCTTCTCTTACTCTCAGTTCATCTGGTTAAGGGATAACTGCCACTAAACAAGTTTTAGGGCAGATGTGAGAGCAAGGTGACACCAAACAGAACATCACACACAGACTCATACACAGACACAGGAACACGCAGATGCACACACAGTAGTAGCAGTGATTAGTTCAAGAGGCAAAGAGTCAACGTAGGACGCAAGCCAAGTCAAGGAGAGACAATGAGAATCAACTCTAAAACTGTTAGGGAGCAAACAAAGAAGAGACATCTTCAGTCCCTGGATCCAAGTTCACTGAAGGTGGAGCCTGGAGCTGCTGGGGCCTGCCCACAGCAGTCAGCGTTCGTGCACAGGTGAAGTTGGAGAGAAGACAGCACATCCTCAATACAACCAGAACCTTTGGGTCCAGCCACTGCTAGAGTTTTTCATCACATGTCAATAAATCCCTGTATAAATTACTTTTTTGACTTCAGAGAGTGTGAGGTTTCCATCATTTGTAGCCAAATAATATAAAAATTGTGCTGTTAGTAGAAAAGGAACTCTCCAGTTGAAAGGAGCAGACTTAGCCCTTTCTTTGAATGCAGTTTGGATTTAGAAAGGATGGGACCCTGCGGGAGGGAATTCCAGGCAAAGAGACACCTTGCGCAAAAGCCAGTAGCCCATGCTGCAAAAGCCAGCAGATATGGGCTTCGTTTAGTAGGCACGCCTTCTTAGATCATCTAAAACAGCGGTCCCCAATCTTTTTGGCACCAGGGACTGGTTTCCTGGAAGACAATTTTTCCGTGGACTGCAGAGAGGTGGGTGATGGTTTCAGACTGTTTCAAGCACACTACATTTATCATTAGATTATGATAAGGAATGCACAACCTAGATCCCTTGCATACGCAGTTCACAATAGGGTTTGTGCTCCTATGAGAATCTAATGCTGCCCCTGATCTGACAGGAGGCAGAGCTCAGGCAGTAAGGCTCGCTCGCCTGCCACTCACCTCCTGCTGTGGGGTCCAGTACCTAACAGGCCACCAACCAGTATGGGTCCATGGCCCCGGGGGTTGGGGACCCCTGATCTACAACCTGTCTGGATTTATACTAAGATTGGGGATACAAAGATAATTTTTAAATGTTACGAAAGAAACTATATGTTATACCTGATTTAACTATTGCACAAGAAGGAAGTGCAGGGAGAAGGGTAAATCAGACGAAATTGGCAGAAAAATCTGCAAATTTCTGCCTACCCTTTTCTCTGTCTCTCTCTCTCCCCTCCTTTCTTCTTTCTTTTCTTCTTTTTTTCTTCCTTTCTTTTAAAAATACTCTCACCAGAAGCCATGGATCAACAAAGGTTTTAGAAAAAGAACAATTATCAAATTATGAATTCCCAGGATGTTTACATTAGGATAATGTTAGTGCTGACCTGATAACCCCCTTAATTTACCTGTACATTGACAGGGACCCTCAGTTGTAGACTTGGCTCCCAGAGTATCACTGATGAGGTGTGACAAGGATGAAGCCCCTTGCAAGAATTAAGTTAACATTCACTAAAACTAAGAGGAAGGAATGTGAGCCAAATCACTTTGTAAGCACGGAAGATGAAACAGCAGCTACTTTTTCAGAGATGGCTTCCAGGTTTTACTGACCAACTAGAAAGTAAGTTTGAAATGTTTGCCAAACCCAAGTACGTTCATAGTGGTCCTCACAATTAACAGAGAAATGCCTTTCTTCCGGTGTTCGGCATGTTATTCATTTTTTCCAAGACAGGCGCTATTACGCACTGCCCTTTTCTCAGGCAAAATCCAATCATTCTCTTCACTGTTCTGTAAAGTGGGCCAGATGGAACGGTGTAAAGGTATCATCTATCATGATTCCTGCATGGTGTCTCAGAGGACATGAGGAGCCAGGAAAAATTCACCAAGGCTTAGAAATAGCATTTCGTCTCTTTAAACTGACCTCCAGGAACCCAGATTCAAGATGTCCTGTGTATCCTGGGCTTTATGTCTCTATGGCAGATTGCTACTTGCCTACTCACCATCTTTTCTGCCCTTCATCCTTACTCACTGTAAGAGGTAGCAATGCTCCCAGGTAAAACAACTTCCAGGTTCCTTTGCAGCTAGTATAGCCGTGTGACCCAGTTCTTGCCAATCAAGTGCAGGTGGAATTTTCTAGGTGAGGCTTCTAGAGGGATAGTTTTCAGTGGCATACTCTTTCTGCCTTTGCCCTTTCCTCCTGCCTGGGTTTCTGTTGATATCATGAAGCTGCCATATCAGTCCTGGCTGTCTTTTCTCTGGATTTCTTGTCACATGAGAATAACGTCAATTTGGGCATGCCTCTGTGGTCAGGTTTTTAGTTCTTGACATCTTTAATAAATCCACTTTACCTCTGCTTTATTATTCAAATTTAGTCTTTGGCTTCACATATTTTATCATGAGATTTTTTGCTTAGTATCCACATACTAGTTCTATTTTTCAACATTTCATTAATTTACATGATTTATTTCCCTGTGATTGCTACCCAAACTTCTCTATAAAGCATCTAGTCACTGTAACTAATGCTCATTCTGCAGGAACCAGATATACAGCAAAATGTTCACATGAGAAAGCAAGACACGTGCAGGGGTGCAGCTATGCAGTTGCACAGATCTAGGCTTTAGCGACTCATCTACCATGATTAATGCCTGCTTATCAGAGTTCTAACTTGCCAGCTGGGTAAATTCTGGCAGATTTGTTTCTGTTGTATATTTTTTAAAAACTCTTTTCTAGCATCTGTGCATTTTATTTACCTTAGCCAAGCTTCACATTGTAGGAAGCCCATGAATTGAGCATTTCTGAGAGGGCAGCACCGTCATTTGGATTTCAGTGCATCAGGAAGGAAGAGACGTCACACTTCCAGAGCCCAAGGAGGCCTCATAAGAAGTGATGAAAATTGGCCGGGCGCGGTGGCTCACGCCTGTAATCCCAGCACTTTGGGAGGCTGAGGAGGGTGGATCACGAGGTCAGGAGTTCTAGACAAGCCTGGCCAAGATGGTGAAACCCTGTCTTTACTAAAATTACAAAAATTAGCCAGGTGTGGTGGTGTGGTGGCAGGCACCTGTAATCCCAGCTACTCGGGAGGCTGAGGCAGAGAATTGCTTGAACCCGAGAGGCAGAAGTTGCAGTGAGCTGAGATTGCAGCACTGCACTCCAGCCTGGGCGACAGAGTGAGACTCTGTTTCAAAAAAAAAAAAAAAAAAAAAAAAGAAGCGATGGAAACTTTTGGTTGCTGAAATGACCTTCTGGGTGCTCAGTGATTGCCTGAATGGGCTCTCATGGGGACCCTGTTGCAGGGATGCCAACGAACTTGCAAATCCTGGTTTCACAGCTGATGCTGCCAATAGCACATAAATGTCAATATTTTTTGAAGCATAGTACTGCTTGTTTTTTTCTTTTGAAACTAGAGTGCATTTTACTCTTACTTGAAATTTCATGTAGCCTCTTCACTTACATGGGATTAGACTATGAAATCCAAGCATCATTGAAACTCTTTTCTAAAACTTTTAAGTTCAGGGGTGCAAGTACAGGTTTGTTACATAGATAAACTTACGACATGGGGGTTTGTTATACAGACTGTACAAAAATTCACTCAAGATGGATTCAAGACTTAAATGTAAAACCCAAAACTATAAAAACTCTGGAAGAAAACCTAGGCAATACCATTCAGGACACAGGCACAGCAAAGATTTCATGACAAAGATGCCAAAAGCAATTGCAGCAAAAGCAACAATTGACAAATGGGATCTAATTAAAGAGCTTCTGCACAGCCAAAAGAAACTCTCAACAGAGTAAACAGACAACCTACAGAATGGGAGAAAATGTTTACAAACTGTGCATCTGACAAAGGTCTAATATCCAGCATCTATAAGGAACTTAAATTTACGAGAAAAAAACCCGTGCAGAAGTGGGCAAAGGACATGAAAAGACACTTTTCAAAAGAAGACATATATGTGGCCAACAATCATATGGAAAAAAGCTCATCACTGATCATTAGAGAAATGCAGATCAAAACCACAATGAAACTCTTTTAGAGTCAAAATTGTTTTTGAAAATCTTTTGATCACAAGACCCACGGACTCACTTCAAACTGATCCAACATATCCATATGTCATCCAGCACCAAACAGACCATTGCTTCTGTCTGGGGAGTCGGGGTTGCTGTGTTTTGTGTGTGTACCTGAGGAAGTAGTTGGCTTTCCCTGAGGACCACACGATATCAAACTTACAAATTTTAAAATACTGGATTCACACTTGGTGTGCTGAGATTTTTCACACAATGAGACGCTGGAAAATGGGACATGAATTCCACCTCCTGTCACTCCTGGTGTTGTATGATTTGGTGGTCGATACCATCTGAAGTTGAATTTGGACAAGTAAACACTCATGTGCAGAGACTCCGTGTACCCATATTGCTGTCTAGCCTGACCAAGGAGAGAACTACAAAAATCTGAAGCTGTCAATATGTGTTGCACCACAGTACCTAGAACTCCTGCTCTGCAGGCTCAGAAAGTCTGGCGGGTTTAGTGGAAACTTAGACTACAGCCTTACCTAACTCTGCACGGTGATTAGAAGCTGAGCTGGTTGGTTACTCATTCCTTAATTATTCATTCCTTAACACCAGGCAGGACTAAGCATGGCTCTAAACATCACCTAACTTATTCTCAAAGCATTCCTAAGAAGTTGATTTATTTTCATTTATATCATCGAGTAGGTAAGGGTCCAAGTGCTTACACAGTTTTCCCCAGGTCAAACACTGATGCGGTGACTGCTCTCACATTTGAACTCTGGAGCTCCTAAAGCCAATGCATAGGGTCTTCCCTCTTAACAATACTCCATTCCCATTGTGAACCATGAAATCTCACTTTATCCGGAAGATAAAAGAAAAACAAACAAGAAGGTGGCCTGCAGGTAAGGCAGAGCTGCAAAGTCTTCACCGTTATCTTATTCACTACTGATGCCTGGGTGGAATTCCAGGAGGCATTATCTTTCTTTCAGAGATCCAGGACACCTACTATGTCTCACTACTTTTGAGCATTTAAAAATATTTGATTTATGATACGTTACTGGCATTGGGACAACTAGTAAATATAGTGTAGAAATTACTAATATGCTTCATGTAAATTACTTCAAAATACTTTAGGCTTGGAGCATCAGATGAGCAGACATGGTAGAACTCATGGCTGTTAACACGCAGGGCAAGTGTTCATTGTATCAGCCCCTTTATTTTTCCTGTATGATTAAAGTTTTTTAAAATAAGAATGTTTTTAAAATGTACTTCACTATTTATTATATACTTTGAAAAAAATTGGAATCAACGTAAATGCTCACCAATGACCGACTGGATAAAGAAAATGTGGCATGTATATGCGATAAAATACCATGCAGCTTTGAAAAAGAACGAGAATCAAGTCCTTTGCAGCAACATGGATGGAGCTGGACTCCATTATTCTTAGCAAATTAATGCAGGAACAGAAAATCAAGTTGTCTGAATGTTCTCACTTATAAGTGGGACCTAAATGATGAGAACACATGGACACACTGAGGGGAACAGCACCCACTGGGGCCTACTGGAGGGTGGAGGGTGGGAGGAGGGAGAGGATCAGGAAAAATAACTAGTGGGTACTAGGCTTAGTACCTGGATGATGAAATAATCTGCACAACAACTCCCCGTGACATGAGTTTACCTGTGTAACGAACCTGCACATATACCCCATAACTTAGAAAAGAGAAGAAAAAATCATTTAGCCAGTCTAAGCCTCAGTTTCTGCATCCGTCAAACATAATGGGCACCACACTGTATGATTGTAAAGAATAAAAAGATTAATGAGTGAGGTGCTTGCTGAAGTGTCTGACATAGACTACAGTCCGTGGGCCATATTCCCTCATGCATTCATTCTGCAGAAACTTCCTGAGCATCTACGAAGCCAAGCACTACGCTGAAAACGCCACAGACGATCTCATTTCATGCTTATCCTGAAGATATAGATAAATAAGACATAATTCTTGTTGTCAAGCACTCACTGTTTGCTGGAGGCTGAAAGACACCTTGCAGATTATAACAAATCAGATAAATAGTACCCAGATGGGCCAAGTGATTAAGCCGGCATCACTCAGCTCCTTAGTGGTGGAGTTGACAAGGAACCAAAGTCTCCTGAACCTGATGCTGTTTCCACATCACCACACACTCTGGTTTGCGGAAGGACCGTGCATTTATTTTATTGCATATGTAGAAAACTTCACTACTACCCCAGTGTTCTTCAAAAGAGAGTGAGCTAATTTGTACAGTGCACAGACATCATTTAGATAGCAATGAACCTTTTGGCAAGAAAGTTAACCTCTTTTCAGCTTTTTTTCCCATCATTCTGGTTACCTCAAGGAGAAAGGCTTTGTTCCATACAAGATGTCTTTAAATCCTCATGTTTGCTTACGTTATTCTTCATGGGAGAGTACGAGTCCAGATGCGGAGCCCTCGGCAGGCAGTATGTAGTTAGGATTAATAACATCACTTTATTTTCTTATTGGTTGTGTTTAGGGCTCCCTTCTATTTATTGCAAACGATACCAGTTTTCACTTAACAGTAGTGTAATAATGCTTCCTTTCAAAATGAATGTATTAGTAAAGAAAGCAAGTGAATTGAATGAAAGGGTTACGTTTGCATAATAGTGTCAGTTACAATGACTGAAGTGAGAAGACTGACCTAGACAATTTCCTGAGATAGAAATGCCTCTTCAGTAAAAAAAATTGGATAAAGTGCTGGGTTTTGGACGGTGGTTGGAAAAGCAAATTGAGAGTGTGGCTGCAATTGTTTCTACTCCACCAAGTCACTTTCCCAGTGTCAGGGAAGATGAGAGGAGAGAGACAGAGAGATGGTTGGTTTGGGCTGGTGAAGGGCAGGTTCTGCTCTGGGGACTCTGGTGTGAGTAGCAGGATTCTCTACACTGCAGATTAGCTTGTTTTAGATTTGAATTGATGGTTAGATAATGCTCTGTGTGGTCCGCTTGGGGACTTTGCTGTGTGCTTGCTAATACTATGCTCCATATCCGAAGCATTTATTTCCTAAAGACAGTTAATGCCAGCCGGGTCTCACGGCCAGGCGAGTTGATTAAAACTTGGCAGGCACAATCGCTGTTTCTAATAAAGAAATCACCACCACAGCATTTTTTCCTCCTTTAAGTAAGAGAGGGGGAAATTGTGAAAAATCAAAGCCTGGAATATATTTTTGACAGCAGCTCTTAATTTCCCTCTTTTAATCAGTTTTACACAGCACCTGTCCTCACCATGGCATGGGAAGCAGTAATGCTGTGAATATTTTTATCATTCATCTCTGCTCAGGAGGTAGGGAGGACTGAGATCTTCAAGAGCAGAGATTTGAGAAGTGTTAACGGGACAAAATGGACATTAAATATCAATTAATAAACATGGGTTATGTGTGTAAGGATTTAATGCCTTTATTCCCCATAAGGACAGAGATCTTGTCTCTCTCATTCCTGCTATGACCCAATTCCTGAGACATCGTATTCTCCATAAATATCTTTGAATGAATACGCCAGAGTGTTTCTGCTTAGGAATTAGCACAGCTCCGGAGGGTACAGTGCACAACACCTGTTGCAAAAAGCCTGACATCAATATTCTGCAGGGATACCTGATATTCCTAGGAATTAGGGATGGAAGGGCTAACCAAGTCACACCACATCCTCTCTAACAGTGCCCCCTTCTGTGTGCCCTCAAGGACTCAGCATACCATGGGTGAGTGGCTTTGTGACCACCCAGTTCCACCAGCTCAGTATTCTGGTTCTCAAATCCCCCTACATCCACCAGCTGCTAGAAGCATTGAGAACCAACACCTATCACCTGAGCCCGTCTTTTGCACTTGCCCTCAACAGCAGGGAGCCACCTTGCTCAAGCTTCTCTCCCTTTTCTGAGCCAGCGACTGGTAGAGCTGTATAAAGTCCCAGCCCCTGGTACCAATTTGGAGTAACCCTGCAGGGACACCTCAGGTCTACACCTCCCCGGGGATACGCTGAGGACTTTGCTGCACCGGCATCACAGTCTGATTTTTCCCTCTACCTTGTTCTGCTTCCTTCATTCCCCTGCAGAGGTTTATCCCAATAACTTCCTGCACATAAATGCATCTCAGCGTCTGCTACTTGGGAACCTGACCTGCAACAAGTAAGAATACAAATTGCCAATGGAGGTGATACTGTGAACTGTGACTATGGGTGGTTTATTTGGGTGAACTCCAGAGCTTTAAGATGGAAGTGACAGAAGTCCAACCCATGCTGGCTTAATGAACCCATGACCTGGAAAATTCAGAGGGAGGGGCTTCAGGCACAGCTGGATCCAGGGGTTCATGGGATGAGATTATAATTTCACCTCTCTCCTTCATCTCCCTTTCCTTTAGGTTAGCTTCAGTCTCAGACAAACAGACAAGGCAGTGAAAAGACAGTCCCCAGAATCTAGAGGCTTACAGTCTAGTACCTTTTTATAAAATTTAACTTAATTTGATTTTGAGTTCAGGGGTACATGTGCAGGATAGGTAAACTTGTATCTTGGGGGTTTGTTGTGGAGATTATTCAGTCACTCGGGTATTAAGCCTAGTACCCATTAGTTATTTTTCTTGATTCTCTCCTTCCTCCCACACTCCACCCTCCCATAGGCCCCAGCGTGTTGTTCCCCTCTTTGTGTCCATGTGTTCTCATCATTTAGCTCCCACTTATAAGTGAGAATATGTGGTATTTGGTTTTCTGTTTCTGCATTAGTTTGCTAAGGATAATGGCCTCCAGCTCTATCCATGTTGCTGCAAAGGACATGATATTGTTCTTTCATGGTGTTTATATACCACATTTTCTTTATCCAGTCTTTCATTGATGGATATTTAGGTTGATTCCATGTCTTTGCTTTTGTGAATAGTGCTGCAATGAACATTCATGTGCATGAGTCATTATAATAGAACAATTTACATTTATCTGTGTATATACCTAGTAATGGGATTTCTGGGTCAAATAGTAGTTTTGTTTGTAGTTCTTTGAGGAATCATCACACTGTTTTCCACAATGGTTGAACTAGTTTACATTTCCACCAACAGTGTGTAAGCATTCCTATTTCTCCACAACCTCTCCAGCATCTGTTAATTTTTGACTTTTTGATAGTAGCCATTCTGACTGGTATGAGATGGCCTCTCATTGTGGTTTTGATTTGCATTTCTCTAATGATCAGTGATGTTGGGCCTTTTTCATATGCATGTTGGCTGCATGTATGTCTTCTTTGGAAAAGTGTCTGTTCATGAGAATACACGGACAAAGAGAGGGGAACAACACAACTGGGGCCTGTCAGAGGAGGGTGGGGAGGGGGAGAGCATCAGGAAAAATAGCTAATGCATGTCCAGCTTAATATCTAGGCAATGGGCTGACAGGTGCAGCAAACCACCATGGCACACATTTACCTACGTAACAAACCTGCACATGTATCCCAGAACTTAAATAAAATAAAATAATCTCTGTTCATGTCCTTTGCCCACTTTTTTAATGGGGTTGCTTGTTGTTTTTCTTCTAAATTTGTTTATTTCCTTATGAATACTGGATATTAGGCCTTTGTCGAATGTATTGTTACAAAAATTTTCCCCCATTCCGTAAGTTGTCTGTTTACTCTGCTGGTAGTTTCTTTTGTTGTGCAGAAGATCTATTAGTTTAATAGATCCCATTTGTCAATTTTTGCTTTTGTCACAATTGCTTTTGATGTCTTCATCATGAAATCTTTGCTGTGCCTATGTCCTGAATGGTACTGCCTAGGTTTTCTTCCTGGGTTTTTATAGTTGTGGGTTTTACATTTAAGTCTTTCATCCATCTTGAGTGAATTTTTCTCTGCAGTGGAAGGAAAGGGTCCAGTTTCAATTTTCTGCATATGGCTAGCCAGTTATCCCAGCATCATTTATTGGGGAAAGGGGAGTCCTTTCCCCATTGCTTGTCAATTTTCTTGAAGATCAGATAGTTGTAGGTGTGTGACCTTATTGTACCTTTATTCTTAAGAAAGCAAATCTTTTCCTTGTCAATTCAGAAAACTAAAATTTGCAGTTTTGATGACCGCAGTCATTTGGGCCACGTGGCCATACCAAAAAACAATCATTATCGACAAAGAATGTGAAACGTGTATTGATCAGGCCTGGCTTGCACACTCATATTCAGATCTGAGAAGGACACACATCCTCTGAACTACGTGCACAGAAGCAGGGAGAGATGGCACTCCAGAGAAGGGGGAGCTGAAAGCAGGGAAAGGGAGAACAATGTTGTTTAGGAAATTAAGAAATATATTAACTTTGGGAGAGAGATGAGTGAGGGGTGAAAGGAAATGGAGATGGAAAGAATAGAGAAAGAGGAAGGGAGAAGGGGGAGAGCCAGAACTGGAGCCAGGGACAACAAGTCCAGGAGTGGGAGGGAGGGAGATGGAGAGGGTATCCAAGGACAGCCTTGCGTCACGGTTCCTCGGCTGTGGGCCATCGCTCACCAAACTCAGCTTTTATCTTCTCATATTTATCATCAGATCAGAGTGTGTATAAAGCAGTTTTTGATGATATCAGAATGGGACTTAACAGTTCAAATACTAGAGACTTGCGATGCCCAGAGATTGACATAGACCTTGAGGTGTGGGATACGGTCGGGGAGGCGGCTCACCTTCAGAATCTCATTGCTGAAAGACACACTTGTCTTCAGAGGAGTTGCGCAGGAAGCAGGCTCTGAGATGGAGATTTGTGTGCAGGGTGCTTTGGGGGTTTTACCCTTGGAAGCAACTTGTAGAGGAGAGGAGGAAGCCGGATTGGAAAGAGGCAGGAGCTGAACTCTGAGGCAGTTTCAACAACAGCCTCAGCCGACCCCAAGGGGAGCTCTGGAGTGGGCTGGCCCTTCAAAGATGCCCCACCCTGAAGCAAGGGTGCCTGGCCTCTCCACCCCACCCTGAGGAGTCACTGGAGGATGTGTTCACCTGGGAGGGAGCATGATCTTGGGCGAGGTATGCTGTCTTCAGCTGGGGGAAATTTCAGAGGTTGTCAGCCACCGTCACCTCCCTCCTACAGGAGTGACCTCGGCAGCACACCATGGCGTCCAAAACAGTACCTCTTGCAGACACCAAGATGAATACACATAAGGCGTTTGAAGGACTCTGGGTCATCCATGAGATGTATTTGACTCCTTTCTGGTCCAGTTTTAGGCTATATCCAATCTTACCCAAGTATGACTTACATGAGGCTGGGCATGGATTCCAGTATTATTCATCAGATAAATGCCTTTCTAGATTTTGCTGAGCTTTGAGACTATAACCGCTTCTAGCACATCCCACTAGATGACCATGCTGGTCATACCACTCAAGATACTCTGTGACAAGACGGAAGGAGAATGGGATGCATATGCAGTAGATATTCAGAAGACTCTACCACTCACTAACCACTTTTGGAGTCCTAGCTTCCCCCTTTAATTTGCATATTTCATCTCTCAGGAGGTCGGGACTCTTGAGTGACTTACCTGAGGTTTCAGCATCTGGAAAGGGTAGAGTCTTGGGACTCTTAAGTCCAGGATCGTTTCTCCATTAACACATACGCATGGAGCCTTCTCCCAAGAGCAAGTGCACTAATTACCTGGGTAGATGTAGGACCAGGTGTTGCCCGCACGGTGCTCACATATCCCTTCTCCACACCTTCCCTTCTCTGCTCTGAATCTAACAGAATGTGTCAATGCAAACTCTGATTCTCAGGCTCCATTGCCCACTGGCTGCTGGAAAGATTTGGCCAATGAAAGACAAGCGTTGCAGGCTTTTGTTTTTCTTTTGCAACTTTTGTTTTAGATTCCGGGGGTACATGTGTAGGTTTGTTACATGGGAATATTGGGTAACACTGGGGGTTGGGGTGCAATTGAATCTGTCACCCAGGAAGTGAGCATAGAACCCAATGGGTAGTTTTTCAAGCCTTGCCTCTCTCCTTATCTCTTGCTTCTAGTAGCCTCCAGGCCGACTGTTGCCATCTTTATGTCCATGAGTACCCAGTGCACCGCTCTCATAAGCGAGAACATGCATTATTGAGTTTTCTGTTTCTGCGCCACTTTGCTTAAGGTAACAGCCTCCCACTGCATCCATGTTGCTGCAAAGGCGATGATTTCATTATTTTTTTATCACTGTGTAAGATTCCACAGTGTATATGTGTGACATTTTCTTTATTTACTCCACTGTTGCTGGGTACCTGGGTCGGTTCCGTAGCTGCTATTATGAATAGTACTGCAGTGAGCATATGGGCACAGGGCTCTTTTTGGTAGAACAACTTATTTTCCTTTGAGTATACACCCAGTAGTGGGATTGCTGGATCAAAGAGTGGGAGTTTAAAGGGCAAGGAGAAAGCAGAAGTCAGGCTATTTCTCCTTCTCTGTGTTTTGGACAGTGTCTCACACAGTGGCTGTATCTCCTCTGTACCTCCAGCTCCCGCAAACAGTCTCTGGTTTGATTTCAGCTCCTCGCAGGCGTCTCTAGTTTCTGGTTTGGGATCACCTCCTGCCTGTTGCCTTCATCACTAGAGATGCGCCATTCACAAGTGGCCTTAACAGTTCCTCTTATGGTTTCTAGTTCTTCTCATACCGTGCGGGCAACACCTGGGTCTACATCTACCCAGGTAACTAGTGCACTCGCTCTTGGGAGAAGGCTCCTTGCATATGTGTTAATGGAGAAATGATCCTGCACTTAAGAGTCACGAGACTCTACCCTTTCCTGATGCTGAAACCTCAGGTGAGAGGTTGTTTGGAAGTTTTTACAGAAATGCTGCATATATACAGGTATGTGCATGCAATCTTGCAAATCTTAGTGAACATCCAGCATCTTCTAAACCAGTGCCCTGGATTAAATTCCCTCTATTGAACTCTAGATGGTAGCTCGACTAGACCCTGACTTATATGTCACCCAATGCATCAAAGCACTCATCAAAGCTGGACAAGTGAAGACCTCAACGATAATTGGTAAATGCCATAATAATGGATGCAAATCCGATCTAAAAACCCACATGAGCAAGACTTCACATGATGTTTCCATGGTTATTTTTAATTTCTGTTGCAAACATCCACTCTGTTGCCCAGATGCACATTAGTCTCCATTCTCTCAGGTTCTTCCACGCACTCCCCCTGCCAACCCAGGCTTCAAGCCTGTGTGTAGAACTCTCTATACATCCTGCGTAGCTTGCCATTGTCAGCGTTCGAGAGGGAAGTAAAAGGGTATCTGCATCCGTCATGTAGCCAGCAGACATCAGCAGGCATCTTGTGTCTGCCTGGGCTTCAGCTATGGGTTGGTACAGATTTATCTACACTATGGATATTTCCCATCCACAAGTCACCTCCAAACCCAATAACCTCTTAGATATGCCCATGCTATTATGGGATATATGAGAAGTGTATTCTGCTCTTAGGTCACCGAGCCTAGAGAAACCCCACACTGTTGTTTAAGATCTTATTTGCCTCCACGCGCCACATGATCATTTCCTGTCTGAGTTCTGACTTCTAAGTAAAAAGTGAGTCACAGAATGGCCGTCTTTTCACTCTCCAGATCTCTTCAGAGTTTGTAGCATCCAGTCTCTGGAACACAGAGAAACAGAACTGGCCTTTTGGTTCAGACACTCACCATCTCCATTACCCCCTTGTTTTCCTCTCAAATACCCACCTTGCCCCTTTTGAGGAAGTGTTTTTTCATCCTGAGAACAGAAAGTCCCACTTTCATGTTATCATGGATACTCCAAAATCTTTTACTTCTTTTGTGCTCAGGAGCATTTTGTTTCCTGTTGGACTAGCTTTGGTAAAAGTGAGTTTAGGTAAGAAGTGTGCTGGAATCACGGAGGCTCATGACAACAGAGGTTGGCGTTGTCCTCTCATTGCACACCCGTACTTGGTCAGGCTTCGCCAAATAACACCTCTTTTTCATTCTGGGATGAGAGCAAAATAGCTCCTCCCATTGGGGACATGTTTGTCTTGGGGAACACGGAAAACAGAGATCTTGGAACCATGACATAATCCTTCAAGCATCTGCCCCAGATGCCATACGTCACTTTCGCTCACCTGTCATGGATTAAAGCAAAGCACACATCCAAGCCTGATTTCCACAAGGCAGGAAAGGATAATCCTACCAAAGAAAGGTCAGCACATATTTGGAAAATAAAATTTAGTAAAATTTACAACACTTAAAAAAAACTCCAGGCCAGTCACAGTGGCTCACGCCTGTAGTAATCCCAGCACTTTGGGAGGCCGAGGCAGGTGGATCACTTGAGGTCAGCAGTTCCAGACCAGCCTGGTCAACATGGTGAAACCCTGTCTCTACTAAAAAATACAAAAATTAGCCAGTTGTGATGGCGGGCACCTGTTCTCAGCTACTTAGAAGGCTGAGGCAGGAGAATCACTTGAACCCAGGAGGGGGAGGTTGTAGCAAGCTGAGATCATGCCACTGCACTCCAACCTGGGCAATAGAGTGAGATTCCGTCTCCGTCTCAAAAATAAAAAACAAAAAACAACTCCAGTGCTTGGAGAACAGTTTATGTCCATTCACCTTTATGCTGGACATTGAGAACAGAATAGAATAGTTGATGCTTGAATGGAGGAGAGAAAGGGGGTAAAGAGAAAAAGAGGAGGGAAAAACTAAATGTTTAAAAATAATGACTCATAATAAAATACAAACAGAATATTGACCATCAGATATTTCGGCTGAGCTATTCTTACTGGGATTTGTCTGTTACCAGATATGAGCATTTAGTTTAGACAGAAACTCTCTGACTACTCTCATTTATTCAGTAATTCCCAATGTCCCAAATGCTCCTTCACTCTCTTTTCTACCTGGCTCCCAGCAACATTGACTGTCGAGGAAAGTCTTGCAAGGAAAGTGTACATCTTGTAGCTACTGGACTATTTTTAATCCTATGCTGGGCATAAAACCTGGAGGCTTAGAATGAGAAGATCACGGACAGCAGAGATGGCCAAAGTGATCCTGCAGAGAATTGCAATAAGAAACCTTCAAAGCAGATTCCATGTGTCCTATTGTACATGGAACTGATGAATAGATTTATTGCTCTGTGAAATTACGTCTCAGTGATCCTTTTCATGTTTTGTTTGCAGTTTTATTTCTTTTCGACACTTAATTGAATGGTGATGTAGGGATATTTTTTAAAATTACTCATCACTGAGCTATCCCATGTACAACACAAGCACAAAAGCCGTAATATGCAGTGCAATGAAATGGAACATATGATGCAGTCGCTTATACAGGTGTCAGATCCGAGGACAGAACATCTCCTTCTTCCCAACAGATGCCCTCATGTCCCCTCCAAGCCAGTACCTACACCCACCCCAGGAAAAGAAGTATCCCGACCTCTAAATCCAGGGACTTGTGTCTCTGTTTTTGGACTTCATACAAATGAAGTCATATAGTACATACTATTTTGTGCCTGGTTTCTTTTCATCAAAATAGCATCAGGGAGATGTATCTATGTTTTTTATAAATGAGTATTTTCATTTTGTTGTTGTTGCTGCATAGTATCCATTATATGAATATACAACACATTATTTGTCTATTCTATGGGTGGATATTTGAGTTGCTTCCAGTGTGGGACTGTTATGCATAACTTGTCTCTGCACCTTTCTGCACATGTGTCTTCAGGATCTAGAACCAGAAATACCATTTCACCCAACAATCCCATTACTGGGTATATACCCAAAGGATGATAAATCATTTTACTCTAAAGGCACATGCACACGTATGTTTATTGCAGCACTATTCACAATAGCAAAGACTTGGAACCAACCCAAATGCCCATCAGTGATAGACTGGATTTTAAAAAGAATGTGGTACATATTCACCATGGAATACTATGCAGCCATAAAAAAGGATAAGTTCATGTCCTTAGCAGGAACATGGATGAAGGGGAAACCATCATTCTCAGCAAATTAACATAGAAACAGAAAACCAAACACTGCATATTCTTGCTCGTAAGTGGGAGTTGGACAGTGAGAACACATGGACACATGGAGGGGAACATCACATACTGGGGCCTGTCGGGGGGAGGGGGGCTGGGGGAGGGATAGCATTAGGAGAAATACCTAATGTAGATGACGGGTTGATGGGTGCAGCAAACCACCATGGCACAAGTATACCTATGTAACAAACCTGCACGTTCTGCACATGTATCCCAGAACTTAAGGTATAATTTAAAAAAAGAAAAAAAAAAAAGAAATGAGCATTCAGCTCCTGAAGGTGTGTACTTAGGAATGGAATGTCTGTATCCTATGGTATAGGGATGTTTAGCTTTAGTACTGCCAAACACTTTTCCAAAGTGGTTATGCCAGTTCACATTCCTACCAGCAGTGTAAGAGAATTCTCATCACTTCACATCCTTACCAACATTTCATCATGTCAGAAGGTATTTTCCAAAATTTATGTCTAAAATTTGAGAAGTATGAAAACGTGCAAAGTAGAATTAACCACTGGCCATGCCCGTTCATTCATACTTAACCTCTATTAACATTTAGGCATTGTGCTTAAATAGGCTGTTATACCCCAAATACTTAAAAATACAGTGGCTCTAAGCAGACAAAGTGTATTTCTCTGTCATGGAGCTGTTTGGGGGAAGGTGCAAGGGCTCTGCTCCCTGGGAGTATTCAGGGCTCCAGGATGGTGGGGAGGCTCTGTTATTCCTAACCTGTGGCTTCAAAGTCATTATAGTTGCTCCGTTCCCAACTGGCAGAAAGAGGGCATCTCCCTCCTCAACTTCCTGGGCAAAGGACCTTATCATCCATGAAATGATTCAAATTCTCACATTCCATTGACCCTAACTCTCAACAGCCACACCTGGCTGCAAAGAAGTCTGGGAAATGTGGACTCTGGCTAGAAGACATGTCCCCAACTTAAATCCAAGAGGTTTTATGATGAAAAGGAAAAAGAAACAAAGGGGTTAGTGATGGAGCAGTCTCTATGATAGACATTTATCCTCAGTAATTGTTCTGTGTATAAATGTGGTAAATACATTATTTACTATTTTTTAAATGTATCAAATTATAGGAAAAATGAAGACTTTTTAAATCTCATTCTTGCTTTTTCCTCACCTGACCCAAGCTGAGGAGGTAACTATGATAAGTTGAATGTATATACTTCAAGTTCATTTTTATGTCGGTATACATGTATGTGTACCATTATAGAAAAATCACAAACGCACACACTTGGTTTTCTATAAGTGACGTGTTAAAATATTTTAAAACTTGCTTTCATCCCTCCTAATATGTTTTGGAGATCTGTTCATGTGGATACAAAGGCATCTAATTCATTCCCTTCATCTGCAAAAGAGTATTCCATTATATAAATTGTTTAAATACCACTCAGAAGTCCCCTCTTGATGGAAACTTACAGTGTTGTTGAATCGTCACTATCACAAATAATGCTGCAACTAAAAGTCTTGCATATCAGTGCTCATCCTCACCCAGCTGCCTCACACCACTGCTACGCTTGGTCTTTTGAAATACAAATAAGACCATATTATCCTGTTTTAAAAACTCCTGAGTATAAAATAAAATATAATTATATATATATGAGAATGTCATACCTTTCGATGATGCATGCGGTAGCTATGATTAGTTTTGACACCATGTATCAGAAAACCCAAATAACAATTTTTTAGAAAATGGAGTGATGGAATACTATTCTCTCGTAGGAAAGTAGTCTGGATACAAACTTTCAAGGGATTCCAGGACTGTTTTATGGTCTTCATTAAATCATCAGGATACCAGATTCTGAGAAGATAGTGGCTTTTTCCTCTGCCAGATTTAGGCTGAGATTCTCATCCACGTGCCCTCAAGATAGCTGCCGTGGCTCCGACCCTCACAGCTGCACTTCAGACAGGAAGAAAGGGGAAGACTGAAGAGTAAATTACACATGTCAGTTGAGTCATCCATATTCAAAGAGCTGTTCCTAAAATCCATCCAGTGTGGTCTCCCCACTTGTATCTTATTGACCAAAATGATATCACAATTGTTCCTAGCTACAAGGGACGCTGGAAAATGTAGTTTTTGGCTGATCAGAGTAAAATCAGAATTCTCCTAGTAGAAAATACATGAAGAAACGATATTTGATAATCATATTGTAGTCTCTGCACTGTCCTCATTCCAAATAATATAGACATTCCCTTTTTATGCAGTGCATTGGTCAGAATTTTAAGTACAAGCAACAAATATCAGCACTGAATGACTTAACCATAAAATGAAGGTTAAGAAGCATGGAGAATCTTCAGGGGAGAAAAACTAGGCTTGGGATTCATCATCCTGGAACAGAGGTAAACATCGTACTGCAGAAGCAGGATTCCTTTGCTGGAGGTGGCAAGCAGAAAATGCTGAGGTTACCTGGCTGATCATCAAGGCAATGCCAATCAAAACCACCATGAGAAATTGTCTCACCCCAGAATGGTTATTATCAAAAAGACAAAAAATAACAAATACTGGCACAGATGTGGAGAAATGAGGACACATATACACTGTTGGTGGGACTGTAAATTAGTATAGCCGCTATGGACATTAGTATGTAGGCACCTTAAAAAATTAAAAAATGGTATGCCCGTAAGATCCAGAAATTCCACTTCTGGGTATATATGCAAAGGAAATGAAATCAGGATGTTGAAAGGATTATCTGCACTCCAGTTTTTATTGCAGCAGTATTCACAATAGCCAAGATATGGAAACCACCTAAGTGTCCATCAACAGATCAATGGATTAACACATTGGTCTATATTATACACAATGGAATGCTAGTCCACCATTAAAAAAGAATAAAATCCTATCTTTTGCAACATGGAAAAACCTAGACATTGACTCAATAGTCAGTGAAATAAGCCAGGAACAGAAGGACAAATACGGTACATTCGCACGCCTGTGTGGAATCTAAATAAGCTGATCTCATAGAATTACACAGTAAAGTAGAGGTTACCAGAGGCTAGGGAGGGTACTGGGGCTGGGGGATGGTGAGCTATTGGGCCATGAATACAAAGTTACAGTAAGATGGGGGAATAAGTTCTGGTGTGCTGCAGCACTGTAGGGTGATATAGTTAACAATAGTGTAGTGTATATTTCAAAATAGCTAGAAGAGAAGGTTTTGAATGTTCTCACCAAAGAAATGACAAATGTTTGGGGTGATGGATATGGGTGATGGATATGCTAATTACTCTGATTTGATCGTTATGCAAAGTATGCATGTATCCAAACAGCATATTGTACCCCATAAATATGTGCAATTATTATGTGACAGTTAAAAAAAAAAAACTACAACTTTAAAAATGTCTGCGTCTCCTTTTTACATGGCTAAATCCTGGATTCGTCTCAGGACTTACCTCCTCTGGGAGCCTCCTCTGCAGCCCTGGGTTAGGTGGCCTGGGTCAGTACTGAGACACGCCCCCTTAGCATGCCATCTGTTGTCAGGCTGTGTTTTAAGAATTTTATGTAGAACAACTTGTAGTAGTCACAGCAAACGTATGAGGAGGGTATCACTATTGGCACTCTCAAATACAAATGAAGAAACTGGCACCGAGATTTTAAGTAACTCGTCCATATTCATTCGGCCATGTTCATTCAGTCACAATTTGTGCTCAAGCTACCTGACTCCAAATTTCATGTTCTCATCCGTTACCTGATGTTATCTCTTGTACACTATTAAAGCAGGTTGGTCTATTTGACATTCTCATTCATTAGGGGGAGAAATCCCAGAAGGGAGGGAGTTTGTCTCTTCCATCTTCTTCTGTCACTGGACCTCCTCTTCCAACCTAAGTAGAACATTTTTCCTCCTACAGGTCGCTCACCTCTGTTATAAACGAGATCTAGAATGTTGATCATGTTTGCATAATCCTAGAAATAATATGAGGAATGACGTTCCAGCCTGTTTCCCTGCGAAAGTATCCCTAGTGACACTTCTCTTCTTCCTTAGTTGCAAGCTCTGAATCTCAAGTCACAAATTTAACAGTGCGAGAAATATCAATTTCTCTGTTTTCTGCAACTCAAATTAATTTCTGCTTCCAGACTCTGACTGTCAGTTTGGTTTGGCATATGGTCTCTTCAGGCCCAGTAACTCTCAGATGCACTCCTGCCATGAGCAGCTGTTATCCAAGACTAGGGAACTCCATCTCCGTGTGTCCCCTCCTGCTGATGGGCATCCCTTCGTGGGGTTTCACCACCTCCCTTAGCACCTCCTGGCAGCCACGCTCTGGCCTTGCTCTTGGAGACCCAGGGTCTTCTCTCTGCTTCCCCAGTTCTGGGGAATGTATTTTTAATTTCTGGGGGATACTCTTGCTTCTCTAAATGTTTCTTTTAGTGGCAACAAGTATAATCTCCACAAAAGCCCAAACTGGAAGAAAGAAGTACCAGCAAGGGAAAAATTGTAATTGTATTTGGGTTATTTTTTGCCCATGTGTCAAGCTCTCCTGACACAAGGAGGATCAACGAGAAATGCTTGAACCAGGTGAAGGAAAAGAAAGCAATGAGGGGAAATAAACAATTTTATATCAAATATTACCAATTAATTGAGAGTGCGGAATTACTGGAACCTTCATACACTGCTTCTAGGAGTTTAAATTGGTATTAAACATTGAAAAAGTGTTTGGTAATAATTACTAAGGTTAAACAGAGGCAGTCTCAATTACTCAGCAATTTTACTTCTATATATATACCCAAGATAAATGTGTATGTTTGTTTACCAAAGACATGGGCAAGAATGTCCCTGGTATCACTATTTGTAATAGCTAAAACCTGGAAACAACGTAAAGTCCATGACCAGTAGAATGAATAAGTAACTTGTGGCATAGAACAGTATGCAGCAAAGATGAAGTGTAAGTGATGGGAATCTAGATGGATGAGCCTCAGAGACATCATGTTGAGTACAAAGGAGCGAAATACAAAAGTGTACACATCATGTGATTCCACTTCTATAAAAGTTTTAAACAGATGAAACTACCCTATGTTGCCAGAAGTCAGGGTAATGTTTACCCTGGGGGTAGGTTCTACCTGCAAGGTGACCCAAGGGGCCATGGGTTTCTGGCAGAGTTCAGCTTGAGGTATGTGTGTTGATCTGTAACATTGTTCACCTTGCACTGACCCATCCATCTGCACACTAATGATTCATGCATTATATGTTTATTATACAAAAAGAAAAGTTTCCATAGAAAACATGTATCCTCCTTAATTTGCCCACATAGAATTAACACACATTTCTTTTACCTGGGCTATGGGTAATTGAGACTTGAGTATTTTTTAAATTAATTAAAAGGAGGTGGCCCAGAAATGGTTACTGCAAATGTCTACTCTTGGTATATATTACTTGAATTTCACGCCAAAGATGTCTCACACTACAGAGTCACATAAGGGAATGCTGAGACCACTCTCATTCCTTTATGGCCCATGCCAATGAAGAAAAGTTGTCTTACTTATACACCCGTATTTGGCAAATGACTGCTATGTCTCAGACATGATTTAAGGCACTTGTAGATGCAGCATTGAACAAAACACAAACAAAAACCCACTCTTCTCTCGTGGAGCTCACATTATAGTAAATGGAAATAAAATCCATCCACCCATCCATCCATTCATCCATCCATCCATCCATCCATCCATCCAAGCATCCATCCATCCATCCATCCATCCAAGCATCCATCCATTGATCCATCCATCCTTCCATCCATCCAAGCAACCATCCATCCATCCATCCATCCAAGCATCCATCCATCCATGCAACCATCCATCCATCCATCCATCCATCCATCCATCCATCCATCCAAGCATCCATCCATCCATCCATCCATCCATCCATCCACCTATCCATCCATTCATTCATCCATATGCAACATAATTATAGTGATAAGAGTCTAGAGATGGGTACAGCAAGGTGATGATATAGAATTGTGGTCAGGGTGAAATGTTGTATCAAGTGATAGGGGAAGTTCTCTCTGACGTTGCAACATCTGAGCAGAGATCTAAAAGATTTGCATATATGTGGGAGAGGAGCACTAAAGACAGAGGAAACTGCAAGTGCAAAGGTCCTGGGGCAGGCATGTGCTTGGTGTGTTCAAGGAAAGCAAGAAAGCCAGTGGGAGGGTGCAGAAGAGCAACAGGGCATGAGGGGAGGTGGACCAAAGACATAGGCAAAGACTAGACCTTATAGGGACTTGAGCAGGATGTGCAGGTTTAAGTTTTTACCCAGAGTGAGATGGGAAACCCATGGAGGTTTCCAGCAGGAGAGTGGCATAATCAGAATTCATATATGGATGTTGCATGAACGGTAAATTGCTGGGCTCAAAGGTAGAAGCAGCATGAGCAGGCGGCTGTTGTAAAATGCAGGAGGGAGGTGACCTTGGCTTGCACCAGGGCAGGAGTGATAACGCTGGTGTGATGTGGTTAGAACCTGGATCTACTTTTGTGAAGTAGAGCCCACAGTATGCAACTCAGTCCCCAAAAGGCATCCCGTGTGCATAGTTCTGGAGAAGCCAAGAGACACTTCGAGCATCTGGATGTGCAGGCTCTCAGCCTAGATACGACAGATGTGTCTTTGCCATAAATCCCCTGTGAGAGATAAACAGGGAAGAAATTTGGCTTCTGGAAAATCTGAAGCAGAGAGGGAGAACGATTTGGGAAATCCAGAGATGTAGCACATGGCAGTGGGAACAACACAGACTCCAGGCTTAGCTGCTGGAACTGTCGAGTAAGTTACTGAAGCTCCGCGTCCTTATCGGTAAACAGGGAATAATGGCAGGAGCTACCTCAAGGGCTACTTGTGAGAACTAAATGAGGTAGAGGCTGGAAGGGAACCATCTCAGCTGCTGTTATAACAATGCGTAGCAGCCGCTCTCTTCTCCATTCCTGGAAGCCCCCTGCCCAAGACAGAGAACACAAGTCTGAATTTCTGGGATTGCACCCAATGGGCCTCAGCTGACTGTGATTGATATTTAATCATAGAGCAGATTCCCTCCATCAGGCATGCGCCTGGAAGCCCAGACAGAGGATGATGCTGGTATCCAACTAATTTGGTTTAAAAGTGTACCTGTCTCCCCCCACTCTCCTGAGCTCTTTCCCTATCTACCTCCCCCATTTTAAGGAGTGAATAAAAGAACACCTTTTTCTTTCTGTAAGCCTCCATCCCATCGACTGCAATTATTGGCAACTGGGGAAGTCTGAGGCGCAGGGAAGGCCAAGTTCACCAGCGTTTATTATGTATCTGCCTGATGTCAGGGACTACTGAATTCTCATAATCAACCCTCTAATGTCACCATTTCACAGATGAGAAAACTGAGGCTGAGTGGGATTTAGGGATGTTACATACTAGTTAAAGAGTAGAACTGGGCTGGGTGTGGTGGCTCAATCCTGTAATCTAGCTCTTTGGGAGTTCCAGGCAGGAGTATCGCTTAAGCCCAGGAGTCTGAGACCAGTGGGACCCCATCGCTACAAAAAATAAGAAAAACAAAGGGCTAATATGCAGAATCTATAATGAACTCAAACAAATTTACAAGAAAAAACCCCATCAAAAAGTGGGCGAAGGATATGAACAGACACTTCTCAAAAGAAGACATTTATGCAGCCAAAAGACACATGAAAAAATGCTCATCATCACTGGCCATCAGAGAAATGCAAATCAAAACCACAACGAGATGCCATCTCACACCAGTTAGAATGGCGATCATTAAAAAGTCAGGAAACGACAGGTGCTGGAGAGGATGTGGAGAAATAGGAACACTTTTACACTGTTGGTGGGACTGTAAACTAGTTCAACCATTGTGGAAGTCAGTGTGGTGATTCATCAGGGATCTAGAACTAGAAATACCGTTTGACCCAGCCATCCCATTACTGGGTATATACCCAAAGGATTGTAAATCATGCTGCTATAAAGACACATACACACGTATGTTTATAGTGGCACTATTCACAATAGCAGAGACTTGGAACTAACCCAAATGTCCAACAACAATAGACTGGATTAAGAAAATGTGGCACATATACACCATGGAATACTATGCAGCCATAAAAAAGGATGAGTTCATGTCCTTTGTAGGGACATGGATGAAGCTGGAAACCATCATTCTCAGCAAACTATTGCAAGGACAAAAAACCAAACACCGCGTGTTCTCACTCAGGTGAGAATTGAACAATGAGAACACATGGACACAGGGAGGGGAACATCACACACCGGGGCCTGTTGTGGGGTCGGGGGAGGGGGGAGGGATAGCATTAGGAGATATACCTAATGCTAAGTGACGAGTTAATGGGTGCAGCACACTAACATGGCACATGTATACATATGTAACAAACCTGCACATTGTGCCCATGTACCCTAAAACTTAAAGTATATTAAAAAAAAAAAAAAGAAAGAATTAGCTGGGTGTGGTGGCACACACCTGTGTCTCAGCTACTTGGGAGGCTGAGGTGAGAAAGGTTTCCCAGTTTTCCTGTTTCCTTGTGGAAGCCAAGGCACCAGCTCCCTGGGGGGGCCTCTTCTTTGGGGTTTTTCTAGAAGTCATCCCTAAATCCCATAGCCTGTTTCTTCAACACCAATGACAAACAAACAAACAAACAAACAAAAAACTATAAAGCAATTTCCTCTATTAAATCCCTTTCTGCTTACACTACTAGAGTGGTTTCTGTGAATGGCAGCTGTCCCCTGACTGACAGATTCAGCTCGTCTAACTCTGAATCCAGGCTCTTCCCATCAAGTGCAGAGCAGAATCCACAACTACTTGGTCAGGCCAACTTGAAGGACTTTGGACTACAGTGAGGAACTTGAAGGACTTTGGACTACAGTGAGTAACTTGAAGGATTTTGGACTACAGTGAGTAACTTGAAGGACTTTGGACTACAGTGAGTAACTTGAAGGATTTTGGACTACAGTGAGTAACTTGAAGGACTTTGGACTACAGTGAGTAACTTGAAGGACTTTGGACTACTGTGAGTAACTTGAAGGATTGTGGACTACAGTGAGTATAAACTGCTTAGTGCAACTAAGTGGCAAAATTCACACTTCCTCATTTACTTTCACGGAGTCTTCTGTTTCCAAAGATTTCTGCAGCTATGCCCAGGCCAAATTCTGGGAGCCTTCCAAGCAATTGCTGAAGCAATTTTCCCTGGTCCCCTCTCGCTCAGTCGTGATATTAATTCATGGTTCTCATCAAGTGCTTTCTTAGGGAGTAAGGACTAAGTGATGAAACAGCTTTTCCCTTGAGAAAATGCCCAAGACACACATTTACATAAAACACATAATGCCTCTGGAAGCCAAATACCGTTTTATATCAGCTACCATGAATATGTAAAATTGAGAGCTGATGCTTGCTAATATATTTCTCAGCTAAGGAAAATAAGAATTTTGTCCCAGGGCTACAAATAAACAAATAAATAAAAAATCAAAGTCTCTGAAATCTCTCCAGCATACGTAGTGGTGAAATTCCTCCTCCAAGTAATAACACAGGTTAAGAATTCTTTAACATGTGTCACATTAGACACAAAGTTGCAAAATAGAAAAATGCAAATTGGAATCCTTCAGTGCCTTGGCATTCAGCCTTTCAATTTCACACTCCAGCCTTGATGGTTTTTGTTTCTTGTTGTTACTACTGTTGTTGGTGTTTTACACAACAGATTTTTCTGAATATTCATAAAAGTAAAAAGATGCTGTTGTGCTGTAACATCTTTATGTAAAGCACACCTGGATGCTGAATTATCCCATTTAAACAATAACTTTTAAAGTATCCAATTTTAAAATGGGTTTCCGTATTTGTAAGAAAGAACAGATTTCTTATTTTCTAGGACATCACCTCTGACCTTTCATCTTCCTGGTTTTCTCTTTTGTTTTTGTTTGCTTGTGGTCCCTGTTTCCTCTCTTCTCTTTATGGATTTTGTGTTTTTGTTTATTGGGTAGGTGGAATCATTCATTATTATATATGAATTTTTATAGAAGTGTAAATTTCCCATGGAGAAATTTCTGTTTATCCGAGAGAGGATTGAAAACACAGAGCAACTGCAGGAGAGATAAGATAAGATAAGGTGTTTCGGATCAACTCAGCGGGACTTAATACCTGAAAGATCTGTTAATACAGCAATTAAAGTAAAATTTTCCCTTAAAGTAAAATCAGTTTTAATATCTATTGCATTGCGGTACCCTAAGACCTGGTTTTGTTTTGTTTGGGTTTGGTTTTGATTTTGATTTTGGTTTTGTTTTTTTTTAATTTTCCTCCTCTAGAAAATTTACAAGATTTTCTTTCTTCCAGGAATGTGATTTTTTAAAGTGCACTTTAGTTTTACCTTTTACTAACAAAAACTGGGATGCATAGTGCATCCGAATGACTAGGACCAGTCTCAACACAGAGGCTTCCTTTCTTTTATTTATTTATTTCTTTATTTTTATTATACTTTAAGTTTTAGGGTACATGTGCACAACGTGCAGGTTAGTTACATATGTATACATGTGCCAAGTTGGTGTGCTGCACCCATCAACTCGTCATTTAACATTAGGTATATCTCCTAATGCTATCCCTGCCCCCTCCCCCGACCCCACAACAGGCCCCGGTGTGTGATGTTCCCCTTCCTGTGTCCATGTGTTCTCATTGTTCAGTTTCCACCTATGAGTGAGAAGGAGGCTTCCTTTCTTGATGCGTCCTTAGCATTGGACTTCATCTGAAAAAGAGAAGGAATGATGCTGCGTGATTATGATGCCCCACCTGAGGCTTCACCCCGTATGTTATTTGTTTTCCTGTCTTTTACCATCCATATAGTTTTGTTTTAACTCTAACTAGGATTCAAATCCATACATATAGATGGTAAACATGCAAACAAGAGTATATTTGAGCACTGACAAGACAAGGATCATCCAGCATGTGTGCTTCCCATATGGGATCGTATTTATTTCTTGCAAACATCCTTTGAGGTTGGCTCCACTGCCCCTGTCTTATAGGAGCAAATTAAGCTTTAGTAAAGGAAAGTGACTTTCCCAAGGCCCTATAGCTCTCTAGCTGTGTATCTCTAAGCTAGCCTGCACATTCCACCTATGAGAGGCCACGGGTGAGAATGAGTAACACATGCGCTTTGAAGGCGTGCTGCATGCACAGTGCCACAGCTCCCGCTTCTGCCACCTCCTAGCTGTGTGACTTTGGGGGAATTACTTCTCTGTGCCTCGGTTTTCCTCTTTGAAAAACGGTGATAATAATCCTTCCCTCCTGTGATTGTTGTGGGATTTAAATGTAGTTAATATATATAAAGAGTTTGGCTTAGAGTAAGCACATGTGTCAGCTGCCAATGTTGGTATTATTATTTCGAACCTTATGCTCAATAAGCGCTTGCTCCAATGTCTTAACCATCTGAGACATGATGGAGAGGGAGTGTGCTCAGCCTCTTGGCACAGTGATGGAGATTCCTGAGATAGTTCTAGGACCTTTGGAGCCTGAAGATGACCTGACTGAGACATCAGTGTGGCAACCACTGCCAATTGCTTTCCCCAAACTCTGCTATCCTTCTTCTTACTTACAGAATCCTGAATGTGTGCAGGAGAATAATAGGCATTTAAACTGATTTATTTCTGAGCCTCCTTGCTCCTAGGTGTGGTCGTAGGAAACAGTTCCCCAGCGGTTTCTGGAGAGGTTTTGCTTGTCTGATTAGGGAACCTCCTTTCTCCTGCTGTTTTCTTCCTCATAATTTCCCTTCCTAAATATTGGCAGGGGGAGGGAGATGGTGTAGCCATCTCATAACCATGAGGCAGTCATGGGATGAAAACCATGCAGGGAAGACAGCAGGACATGAAGAGAGAAGGAGCTGCCATGCAGACCCTTCGAGAAAAATGAATTCTTCCTCTGATTTGAGTTACAGGCAGCTGAACACAATCTCCATCTAATACAAATAGCGATCTTCAGTGCAGCTGGCTGGAGAAGTGGTTATCTTTCTGCTGCCAGTGTTGTGGGTCCTGCAAATACTGGGCACTACCCATAGCAACATCCTATTCTCAAAGCATCTGCCATTTGTCATATTGTCCTGCCAAAGCTTTCGTGATAAAACAGCTTTTCTTTCCATGTTGGCTCGTTGCTCCATTGCCTATGTGGCGTTGGGAAGTCGACTCAACTTTTCCAAACATTAGTCTCCAAGTCTGTAGACTAGAGACGATTATCACTACTTCACATGGATCTTTATTGTTTACGCACAATGAAGCAGGTAATGACCTCAGTAGAAACCTGCTCTTAGAAAATGTTCAATAAATGTCAGCTGCAAATACCACATCCTCTCCCCAACATCAGTGTTCCAGTGTTACCTCTATTGATTGGCTGTGTCAGATAGGAGCAACATTCCACTCCAGAAACAGAAGGCATTTTAGGATGTATTAGGGGGTTGTGTGGCCACTTTGTTCTTGACTGCCAGGTTGTTCATTAGTCATATGCGTGTTTATTGTGTTTCCAAGATGTTTTGCAAAGAACATTAAGCCAGTCATGTCAATTAACGTAAAGTCAGGAAGACTGTAAATGTTTCTACTATGATGGAAGCAAAAGCAGAGATTAGAAAAAAAAAAAAAGTGCAAGCATCTGGGGAAACAGGAGCCCACGTATGTTGCTGGTGGGAATGGAAAATAGTGCAGCAACTTTGGGAAGCTTCCTCAGTTTCTTAAAACATTAAATACAAAAATTTCCCATATGGGCCAGCAGTTTCAAGTGCTAGATATCTGCACAACAGATGAAATTACAGATCTACCTAAAAACCTGCGCATGAACGTCCTTAGCACCATTATTCATAATAGCTGAAAACTGGAACGAACACAGACATTTTTCAGCTGATGTATGTTATATCCATAAAATGGAATACTATTCAGCAATACAAAATAATGGATTACTTATACGTCCTTTGACATGGGTGACCTCAAACTCATTACCCTAAGGGAAAGAAGCAGACACCAGAGACCGCATGTCCAGAACAGACACATCTATAGAGACAGAAAGTAGATTGATTAGTGGTTGCCTGAGGCTGCAGGTGGGGAGCGGGATGGACTGTAAATTGGCATTAGGAATCTTTCTAGGGTGATGAAAACGTCCTAAAATTCACTTAGGATGATGGTTTTACAAGTTGACGAGTTTAAAGTCTTTTTATACGCTTTAAATAAGTAAATAATGTTCTAAATATGTCTCAATACACTTGTTTTATAATCCTCAAACAGATTCAAAGTGAGGAGTTCATTATGTGTGTTGAGATGTCTTTTTTTTTTTTTTTTTTTTTTTTTGAGATGGAGTCTCGCTCTGTCACCCAGGCTGGAGTGTAGTGGCGTGATCTCAGCTCACTGCAAGCTCCGCCTCCCGGGTTCACGCCATTCTCCTGCCTCAGCCTCCCGAGTAGCTGGGACTACAGGTGCCCACCACCACGCCCGGCTAATTTTTTTGTATTTTTAATAGAGAGTAGAGACGGGGTTTCACCATGTTGGCCAGGATGGTCTCAATCTCCTGACCTCATGATCTGCCCGTCTCGGCCTCCCGAGATGTCTTTGAAAACAGAAAGCATCCTGCAAGGTAGAGAGTATCATCCAATGGGTGGAAAATGCCTTCCTAAGCAAAAATCATGGAGAAGGAAAAGAGGATGTATGGGAAAACTTTTGAGTGCGTGACTAGAGAATGTGACCACCTACATTCTTGGTGTGAACTAAGGAGAAACTAATACTTTATTGAGAAACAGTGTTTAAAAACTATGCTTCCCGCTCATGCGATATTTGTCATAGATTTTTTTTTTTTTTTACAAAAAAATTTACAGATCGCTTCTTTGAAAGTAAATCATCCATACAGAGAGATGCTCCTACATTTCATTAGAATTATTAGTATGAATTATAGTTATAATGATATATGTTAATAATAGTCAACTGTCGTTAGTATCAAAAAATGTAGTACTTATAGAAGACAATAAAGGCTTCTTTGCTGAACGGGTAACAAAAGGCTGGAAAATTTTTATGTCATTTTCTAAAAATGTCAAATATTTTCTCAGCCAAAGCTACCTGGGCAGCCTAACCTATGAGGCTGTTACGAACTGAAGGAATTTAAGATTTATAATTTCTTTGTCATTAATGAAATTTATTTCATGCTCTAAATTGCTCTGATTGGAAAACATTGCTTTTTAAAAATTAGGAAGCAGTGGGTGGTAGCTTTCCTTGTCAAAAGCTGTGACATATTTCTAGTCCGAGTCAATGGGTATTACCATAAATAATATTGAAAGTTCGTGTTGAGGAAGGCATTTTCTAAGGGTCTGTCCGTATTAGCATACTAGCTCTTCTACTCATGAGTACAAGCGCTTCCCTTTCCCGTCATAGAATGCCTACCTGAACAGCATCTTGGGCTAGGTGAGTGACACAGACTCTCATTCACCAGTCCCCTTCCCCTCCTGTGGAAGACATTGATAATTAATCATGGTGTCCTTTTCCATAGAGCCCTACAACCCCTACATCCCCTACAAATCATCCAGATTTGGCTCTTGAAATCCATTTGCTAACCCAACCCTAGAAGAACCAGATCCCCAGTGAGCGTGTTGCCGGATGTTGCAGAAGAGAGTGGCTTCCTCTGACAAGGCAGTGCAGGCACAGTTATCAGCGGCTATAGGCACTCAGCCAAGTTATTCCACCTTGGCTGATTTTCCTTAGTTTTATTCTAGTTTGCAGAGCACTGTTTCCTGTTTATGTGTAGGAAAAGGAAAACAAAGGAAATCATCACGTGATAGATTTCAGACTTAAAATGTCAGACATGTGACTCTAAATGAGGGTTTGTATATGTGTGTATGTGTGTGCATATGAATTGAGATTTATTTTTTTAATTTAGAAATTGTTCTGTGTACTCTTCCAGGTAAATATATAGAAATATCTATATTTATATAAAGATGTACATATATATATATGTATATACATGTATATGTGCTTTCTCTGATGAGGCAGTGAAGACACAGTTGTCACTGGTTGTAGACAGCCATGTTGTTCCACTGTGGCTTACTTTCCTTCGTTGATTCTAGTTTTCCTTGGTTTTATTCTGCATGTATGTATGTATACATAATACGTATATGTATACATATATATATATATACACATATATGTATGTATAGAGAAAGATTGAATTCTTTCTCTTTGAAATACCTGCATAATAAACAGAATCATTTTATCATAATGTATTCAATCATTTACCTGTTGACAGTAGTCTTTTCCTGATATTTTTATCAGTATAAATAATTCTGCACTTATCCTTACTTACTGGTGATTTTCTTTGTGTAGATAAATTCACAAGTGAGATTTATGGCTCAAAGAATATGTAAATTGTTGACTTCGATAGACATGGCGAGATTAATTTCCAGAAAGTTAATGCAATTTATTTGCCTGACATTGTTGGCAAGACACTAATTTATTTGCAACCTTTTCAGACCTAGATGTTAATCTAATTCTTGCTAATCTGATGAGGGAACTGTTATCTTTGTGGTTTTATTTTGCATTTATTTGACCACTGATGAGAAAGAGCATTCTTCAGATGTTTACTGGCCTTTAGCAACTCCTCCTCTGTGACTTGCCCATTGACATCCTCTGCTAATTTTTTGTTCTATCAAGTTGTTTATCTTTATCACTTTGGAGGTGTTCTCTTCTTATTATGTGAGAAGCAATATTTGTGACATTGATACAGCAATAATATACCCCTCTTTCTGTTTTGTTTATGGTGATTTTCGCCAATAAAATTTAAAAAATTGTATAGATATTCTTTTTTTGTCTCTTGCTTAGAATGTTTCGTCAAACCCAAATATGTAAACGTTCCCTTAAATATTAACATTAGTGTCAGTAGGAGATGAGAAGAAAAGTAGAAAAGCTTTTTTTTTTTTTTTAACATTGCTGTATGGTTTAATTGCAATGAGCATGAGTGAATTTTATAATTGAAACTATAGTTTTAAAAAGGGAAGATGGGGAAGGATTTGACCGCGAAGGCACAGGAGAAGGAAAGAATCTGGGGGAACGATGGCATTGTTCTGTACCTTCACTTTGGTAGACACACACCTGTGCATTTGCCACAACTCAGACTGAATTTTATTGCATGCTAATTAAAACTTGCTTTAAATAAATTTGAGATGAGGAAAGATTTTCCATTCCTGTATGAGTCTATCTTTACCATGATGACAAAACTTGGCAATCATTCAAAAATGAAGAAAAATGTTTGCTATGTCATTTATAAACACGGGTACAAAAGCCATACATAAAACATTAACAAACAAATCCAGCAGTGTATCAAAAATATAGCCAAGTAAAGTTTATTTTAGAATGTAGCCCATTAGGAAGTCAACATTAGGACATCAGGGCTGCTAGTAGAAAATCTATTGATTCAGGTTTCTTAATCTCAGCACTGTGGACCTTTTGAAATAGGTAGTTCTTGTTTCTAAGGGTTGGGAGGATAGTTGTTCTGGAAACTGAAACATGTTTAGGAGCATCTCTGGTCTCCACCCAAGCAATGTCATAGCATGCTCCCCCATGGGGTGCGACAAGCACAAATGTATCCAGACATGTCTCTAGGGAGAGCAAAAATCTCCCTCACATGAGAACCACTGGATTAGTGTAGCTGATTTGTGAAGTAAATGAAGAAACCTTTGGTTATTTTAATGGATGCTGAATACAATTGTCTTGTGATACATACTATGATCTCCTCACTTTAAAAATAGATCCACTAGGCCAGGCATGGTGGCTCACGCCTGTAATCCCAGCACTTTGGGAGGCTGAGGCAGGCGGATCATTTGAGGCCGGGAGTTCGAGACCAGCCCGAACAACATGGTGAAACCCCATCTCTACCAAAAAATATGAAAATTCGCTGGGTGTGATGGCGGGAGCTTGTAATCCCAGCTACTCAGGAGGCTGAGGCAGGAGAATCTCTTGAACCCGGGAGGCAGAGGTTGCAATGAGCTGAGATTGCGCCACTGCACTCCAGCCTGGGTAACAGAGCGAGACTCTGTCTCAAAAAAAAAAAAAAAAAGGTAGATCTACCAACAGCTCGGACTGTTAGATAAATAAAAGTAGAGGGGAATTAGCCAGTTAGAGATTATATAAAAAACCCACATCAAACTCCATACCTAACAATTGTATTGGAAACACAAAAACATTCCTGGGTTGTCTCACCAGCAAATACATTCCCACGAAGTGTTCAATGTCAAAAGGTATTAGAGGTTGCAGTTAACTTTGTGTGATTTTAGTTGGAGACAGATTTCAGAGTGAAGCAAAAAATGAAGGTGTTCACCAGGGGTCTTTATCGCTTGCCAGCTTGCTGAGCGTTGGTTGGGCTCCACACATCCTTGGCAGTGGGGTTAATTATTTGCCTTTGTAACTTCCTGCAGGACTTCAGATTCTTGAGAAGCACACAACCAACCCAGCACAAGAAATTGCTTTCCTTTTGCCTGTTGCGGCTGTCCTGTTGGGTAGAATTTTTCCCCTGCTGTTTTCTTCATTTATTTGACAGCCTTCGATGATACTCTGTCTGGAAACTGTGCTTCACGGTATTTGAGATGGTTTGGGACCGGACAGCACTCATTTGTAAACCTGTCAGAAGCAGGTTTTGTAGGAAAGATGATTGACAGTTATCCTTACAAATGGCAGTGGCCCAGATACTGCAAAAAAAAAAAAAAAAAAAAAAAACAGAGAACGTGCAATAATTTGAAATTAACTTCATAATGTTGTTTGGGATACTTAGAGAATATGAAACACGGTACAGTGTCTTGGCTGTGTGTTTTCTATAGCCGGGACACCATCGGTGGGAGCATTCTTCCTGCTGATGCTATCGCAGACACCAGCAACTGCCCACAGCACACCTTTCCTCTGAGCTGGTGTGGGCTCAGGTCCTCCTCAACACAGCCCTCTGGGACCTCAGTACCAAGCTCCAAGTGTGGCCTTTTAAGATGAAACTGATTCACCCAATGTGCCTTAAATGTATATTTACAATAATGTTAATTTTCTGAGTTCATTTTGGGCAGATGATGACCTATGGTCAACTGGGAATATTTTAAAAACTTCCCTAGAAAATAAATTAGCCTCAAGTGACCCACCCCCTCCCACATAAATTAGTTTACCTTAAAATCAGTTGAGACACAATTATATGAAATCTCTAAACATAACTTGCCACATCTAAAACAAAAGGCCATAGACTTGGCATTTTATATTCATATAGCAGACAACTGCTTCCAATGGGGCAGGATTCAATTATAGATGCAGTAAAGACATCACAATATAGACTTATTCAAAAGACATTATATTTAGTATTCTCTTCATTGTAAGTAGCAGAAAATGCAACCGGAGGCAGATTAGCCATAAAGAATTATATTATTAGCTTATGCAACTGAGAAGTTAAGTGGTATTTCTGGTTTCCAGCAAAACTTTAATGAATATTTTAAAGGATGTTATCAGGAACAGTCTCTCTCTCTCTCTCCTTCTGTCCCTTACCATCCTCCTTCTGCTAAAGTTTTCATCCTTACACTGTGCACAGTGCCCCTCCTAGTACCTGTCTCCCTCATGGTGGCAAAATATTTGCTGCTGTTCCTGCACGCTCATCTTCATCCCCTAATACGCAGGGAAAAGAGCCTCTTGCAGGAGGTCCCATGGAATTGCTAGGATTTACTCTTGCTGGCTGAAACTGGTCACATTCCCGTTTCTGAACCCATCACAGTCATTACTGATTGGCCAGGCAGAGGTTCGGTGACCCCACCCCCAAGAACATGGAGACAGCCTGAGTCCCACCCAAACTTGAAGGTGTAGCTTGGAGTTGGGGACTCTCAAGGAAATAGAAGAAATAGGGTGTATTAGTTTTCTCCACCCATTTTTTACATAACGAAGTCCCACAAACTGGGTGGGAAAAGGCAACAGAAGTTTAGTGTCTCACTGTTCTGAAAACTAGAAGTCTGAAATCAAGGTGTCAGCGGGGCCCTGCTCCCGTGGAAGGCTCTTGGGAGGTTCCTTCCCTGCATCCTCAGGCTGCGGTGGGGCAGCCCTTGGCCTGTGCTGGCTGTCGTTGCTTCACTTGATTGTCACTCGGCATGACTCTGCTATCACATTGCCCTCTGCCCTGTGTCTCTATCTGTATCTCTGCATCTTTACCTGGCCTTCGTATAGGAACACTGACTGTTGATTTGGAACCCACCCGTATACAGCATGGCCTCATCTTAACTTAGCTAATTACAACTGTAGAGGCCCCACTTTTCTTTTATTATTATTAATTATTATTATTATACTTTAAGTTCTGGGATACATGTGCAGAATGTGCAGGTTTGTTACATAGGTATACATGTGCCATGGTGGTTTGCTGCACCCATCAACCCATCACCTAGGTTTTAAGCCCCACATGCATTAGGTATTTCTCCTAATGCTCTCCCTCCCCTTGTCCCCCACCCACCAACAGGCCCCGGTGTGTGATGTTCCCCTCCCTGTGTCCATGTGTTCTCATTGTTCAACTCCCGCTTATGAGTGAGAACGTGTGGTGTTTGGTTTTCTGTTCCTGTGTTAGTTTGCTGAGGGTGATGGTTTCCAGCTTCATCCATGTCTCTGCAAAGGACATGAACTCATCCTTTTTTATGGCTGCATAGTATTCCATGGTGTATATGTGTCACTTTTTTTTATCCAGTCTATCATTGACGGGCATTTGGGTTGGTTCCAAGTCTTTGCTATTGTAAATGGTGCTGCAATTAACATACACGTGTATGTGTCTTTATAGTAGAATGATTTATCATCCTTTGGGTGTATACCCAGTAATGGGATTGCCAAGTCAAATGGTATCTCTGGTTCTAGATCCTTAAGGAATCACCACACTGTCTTCCACAATGCAACCATTAGTTCAACAACTAATTTACAGTTCCACCAACAGTGTAAAAGTGTTCCTATTTCTCCACATCCTCTCCAGCATCTGTTGTTTCTTGACTTTTAATGATCGCCTTTCTAACTGGCATGAGATGGTAGCTCATTGTGGTTTTGATTTGCATTTCTCTAATGACCAGTGACGATGAGCTTTTTTTCATATGTTTCTTGGCCACATAAACGTCTTCTTTTGAGAAGTGTCTGTTCATATCCTTTGCCTATTGTTTGATGGGGTTTGTTTTTTTCTTGTAAATTTGTTTAGGTTCCTTGTAGATTCTGGATATTAGCCCTTTGTCAGATGGATAGATTGCAAAAATTTTCTCCCATTCTGTAGGTTGCCTGTTCACTCTGATGATAGTTTCTTTTGCTGTGCAGAAGCTCTTTAGTTTGATTGGATCCCATTTGTCAATTTTGGCACTTTTTTGCCATTGCTTTTGGTGTTTTAGTAGTTAAGTCTTTGCCCATGCCTATGTCCTGAATGGTATTGCCTAGGTTTTCTTCTAGGGTTTTTATGGTTTTAGGTCTTATGTTTAAGTCTTTAATCCATCTTGAATTAATTTTTGTATAAGGTGTAAGGAAGGGGTACAGTGTTAGTTTTCTGCATATGGCTAGCCAGTTTTCCCAGAACCATTTATTAAATAGGGAATCCTTTCCCCCATTGCTTGTTTTTGTCAGATTTGTCAAAGATCAGATGGTTGTAGATGTGTGGTGTTATTTCTGAGGCCTCTGTTCTGTTCCATTGGTCTACGTATCTGTTTTGGTACCAGTATCATCCTGTTTTGGTTACTGCAGCCTTGTAGTATAGCTTGAAGTCAGGTAGTATGATGCCTCCAGCTTTGTTCTTTTTGCATAGGATTGTCTTGGCTATAGGGGCTCTTCTGAAATTGAGGCAGTAATTAATAGCCTACCAACAAAAAAAGCCCAGGACCAGATGGATTCACAGCCGAATTCTACCAGAGGTACAAAGAGGAACTGGTACCATTCCTTCTGAAATGATTCCAAACAATAGAAAAAGAGGGACTCCTCCTTAACTCATTTTATGAAGCCAGCATCATTCTGATACCAAAACCTGGCAGAGACACACCAACAACAAAAAAGAAAATTTCAGGCCAATATTCCTGATAATCATCAATGTGAAAATCCTCAATAAAATACTGGCAAACTGAATCCAGCAGCACATCAAACAGCTTATCCACCATGACCAAGTTGGCTTCACCCCTGGGATGCAAGGCTGGTTCAATATACACAAATCAGTAAACATAATCCATCACATAAACAGAACCAATGACAAAAACCACATGTTTATCTCAATAGATGCAGAAAAGGCCTTCAATAAAATTCAACATCCCTTCATGCTAAAAATACTCATTAAACTAGATATTGATGGAACATATCTCAAAATACTTATGAAAAACCCATAGCCAATAACATATTGAATGGGCAAAAACTGGAGGCATTCCCTTTGAAAACCGGCACAAGACAAGGATGCCCTCTCTAACTACTTCTACTCAACATAGTATTGGAAGTGCTGGCCAGGGCAGTCAGGCAAAAGAAAGAAATAAAGCGTATTCAAATAGAAAGAGAGGAGGTCAAATTGTCTCTGTTTGCAGATGACATGATTGTATGTTTAGAAAACCCCATCATTTCAGCCCAAAAACTCCTTAAGCTGATGAGCAACTTCAGCAAATTCTCAGGATACAAAATCCATGTGCAAAAATCACAAGCATTCCTATATACCAATAATAGACAGAGAGCCAAATCATGAGTGAACTCCCATTCACAATTGCTACAAAGAGAATTAAATACCTAGGAATACAACTTACAGGGGACATGAAGGACCTCTTCAAGGAGAACTACAAACCACTGCTCAAGGAAATAAGAAAGGACACAAACAAATGGAAAAACATTCCATGCTCATGGATAGGAAGAATCAGTATTGTGAAAATGGCCATACTGCCCAAAGTAATTTATAGATTCAATGCTATTCCCATCAAGCTACCATTGACTTTCTCCACAGAATTAGAAAAATGTACTTTAAATTTCACAAGGCCCTATTTTCAAATAAGGCCTCATTCTCAGGTCCTGAGTAGGCATGACTATTTGGAAGACACCATGCACCTCAGTACAGAAGGGGGAAGAATAGCAGTGTTAAGCCGAGCAGAATGTGTCTCTAAGCTGAGAATGGCCAATGATTAACAGAGAAGAGCAAAGATCTGAACTCCCCAAAGGAGAACCAGGCTCTGGTTGAAAAGGAAAGGGAGGGTTGGGTGCTGGTGTCAGCCACCATGCCAGTCTGATCAATGCATTTCCCTGTGTGGATGGTCCTTAAGGATGGGCATTGTTTGCCCTCCCTGCCATCCTCAGTGAGCTTTGTGGCCTGACTGGAAACCGAGATAGACAACATCATTGCAGAGGAGGTGTTTCTGTGGCACCACCTAAGCCCTGACCTGAGCAGATGGGATGTGCACAGGTAGACTCTGCTGAGAAAGAAAAGCACTTCCACTTTGGCCTGATCACAGCAGGCATCTTGTGAGTCACAGTTCCTGTGGGTCAGATGTGGTTTGAGAAGCAAATCTCATCTCTGGCAGAAAATATTAGATATCTATGTCCGCTCACTTGTGTTTCTTATGTATTTTTCAAATGGTAGGAACAGAACTTCTTTTCGGCCTGGACAATTTTTCTATCAAAAATGGCCCGTATACCAATCTACTATGAGATAGCCCCTCACATACCTGTTAGAATGGCCGTTACCAAAAAGACAGAGGAAACAAGTGTTGGTGACGATGTGGGGAAAGGGAAGCCTTGTACACTGGTGCTGGGAATATAAATTGGTACAGGCATTACAGAAAATGGTAGGTAGGTTACCTCCAAAATTAAAACTAGAACAACCATACGATCCAACAATTTGACTTCTGGGTGGACTTCCAAAGGAGATAAAATCAGCATGCTGAAGGGACACCTCCACTCCCACACTCATTGTTCATCACAGCATAATTCACCATAGTCAAGATACGGAAACAACTTAGGTGCCCATCAGTGGATGATGCATAAAGGAATGGAGTGTGCACATGTGATGGAATTTTATTCAGCATGAAGTGAGAATGAAATGTCATTTGTGACAGCATGGATGAACCTAGAGCACATTGTGCTAAGGGAAATAAGCCAGGCACAGAAAGACAGATACGGCATGATCTCACCTATATGTGGAATCTAAAAGAGTTGAATTCACAGAAACAGAGAGTAGAATAGTAGAATGGTGGTGACCAGAGACTGGGCGGTGGGGTGGGGGAACAGATACAAGGAGATGCTCGTCAAAGTGTCCAGCAAATTTTCGGTTGTAAAATGAGTAAGTTCTGGAGATGTAATGTGTGGCATGGTAACGATAGTTAATAGTCATGTATTGTAAAATTAAAATATGCTAAGAGAGGACATCTCAAGTGTTCTTACCAGACCAAAAGAAAAATGGTAACTAGGTGAAGTGATGAATATGTCAGTTATCCTGATTGTGGTCATCATTTCACAACATATGTGTCTATCAGCACATCATGCTGCATCCCCCCATCATAAGGAGGGCACTTGTTGGTTTTTCTTAAGGCTAGGTTCATTGCCAACCCAAATATATACAATTTTTATTTGTCAATCATTCTTTAGTAAAGCTGGGGGAAATGGCCTCTGTGTCAAACAAGACCTTCTAGTTGCAAAGGAAGGAGTGACTTCTGAATAAGTTAAAAAATGACTATCACATATTCACAACTTTGAAATTAATTCATTTTGTCCACCGTATAGTTATTGAATGCATCTTATGTGTTTGCTGCTAGGAAACCATAATGAGCCGGAAGATTCATTCTCTCTCTCATAAAGGTTTCAATTTAATTAGGGTAATGATCACAAAAACAAATGTATAATTTAAAATTGCCAATAAGTGCTAAGAAGAAAAAAGCGTATGGTGTTGAGAGAAAGAATAACACAGCCGCCCACTTTATGCGGAGAGATTCAGCAGGGTGCTCACATGGTAACTGAGTTGAAGTTAGCAAGGCAAAGAAGTTTAATTTTGGTGACCTGATTTTGTTTCTGCATAAGAAAGCACCACAGTGCCCTTGCACTCATAGATTTGTGTCGGTTGTGTTCTGGCTGGAAGTAGGGTCAAATATTTTAATTTCATTTAATTGTGTGAGCACACACTGAGTATGAGGTATTGTTCGTTCATGCCCAGCTAAGATGTTTCTAATATTTTGTATGACTTTTCATGAAAGGAATATTACTTATTTCTGGATATTTCAATAGTGCACTGTGCAAACCTCTATTATAAAATTTACCATATGGTTTGATTGTCCCCTAGAATTGAGTGTAAGCTCCCCAAGATCAAGGTAAGAGTTTCTTACTCATTTTGCAAAGTACCTGGCACACAGTAAATATTTGTGGAACTCAAAACCTTAGGAAATGTGTTATCATTTTCAAAAGACTAATGTTACTAGGAAGGTGCTTGCCAAAAAAAGAAAAGGATGTATCTAATTCTCTCCAATATCAACTATATTTCTCTAGGGTGAGAAAATCACACCATCCCCCAAATCCATTTTATGCCCAAATTGTTGGAAATGACGTCACTTATTATATTAGTCTGTTTTCATACTGCTGACAAAGACATACCCAAGTCTGTGTAATTTATAAAGAAAAATAGATTTAATGGATTCACTGTTCCACATGGCTGGGGAGGTCTCACAATCATAGCAGAAGGCAAAAGGCATGTCTTACGTGGTGGCAGGCAAGAGAGAAAATGAGAGCCAAGTGAAAAGGGTTTCCCCTTATAAAACTATCAGATCTTGTGAGACTTATTCACTACCACAAGAATAGTATGGGGGAAACTGCCTCCATGATTCAATTATCTCCCACCAGGCCCCTCCCACAACATGAGGAAATTATGGGAGTTACAATTCAAGGTGAGATTTGGGTGGGGACACAGCCAGACCATATCACTTATGTTCCTTAGAAATGTTAAATCTCAAACTATTGAATATTGAATAATTACTAGAGAATGTGTTAATTATATACTATTTGACTCTCAGTGGCAGAAACTGGACTACTGTGGTCTATCGTAAGAGATTATTTTTCTCATGGAAATGAGTCCAGGTGAGGACTGCTCAGAACGGGCACATGAGTTCCTCAATGTCATTGGAGGTTGGCTCTGCCTTTCCATTCTTCCATCCTAAAAGTGTGGCTTTCTTCCTCATGTGTTGTTGTTGTTGCTGTTGAGATGGAGTTTTGTTCTTGTTTCCCAGGCTGGAGTGCAATCACATGATCTTGGCTCACTGCAACCTCTGCCTCCAGGGTTCAAGTGATTCTCCTGCCTCAGCCTCCTGAGTAGCTGGGATTATAGGTGCCCACCACCACACCCAGCTAATTTTGTATTTTAGTAGAGATGGGGTTTCACCATGTTGACCAGACTGGTCTCAAACTCCTGATCAAGTGATCTGCCCACCTTGGCCTCCTGAAGTGCTGAGATTACAGGTGTGAGCCACCGCACCCGGCCCCTCATGGTTTTAAGATCTCTCCCTCTTCTTCCTTCTCTGTAGGAAGAATGAGGAGGAGGGGTGGCACTTATAGCAGGAAAGCAAAATGTTTTCAAAATTCCCAGTAGACTTCTGAATTTTAAAATATTAGGCAAAGCCACACCCACCCCCCATCATAAAGAGGGCACTTGTTGTTTGCTTTTCTTAAGGCTAGGTTCATTGCCAACCCAAACAAAATTAATGTTCATTTAGTAAGGGGAAAATAAGAAAATGGATTTTGCATAGACAGCTAGCGATGCCTTCTACAGAAGGTTCCTGAATAAACAAATCAATTTATTTAAGCTGTTCATGCTTCAGGAGACAACCCCATCATATCCCGTCATATTGTCTTCAGGTTAGGAATCTGGACTCTGCACAAGCAATGGGTGTTTTTTTTTTAAATAAATTTGAATGACAGAGAAATATTTTGTATTTTTTTAAAGTGGCTTTGAAATAGGATTTTCTGATATCTTGGCTAATTGTTCTAACATTCTAATGTAGATTACTGGTAACAGAGTAATTTTCAAAAAAATAAAAAATGTGGATTATTAGAGTATTGCATTACAGTCAAAATTTCATTTGGTAATTCTAGTTGAAGGAGGAGGATTAAACAACCCTATTCACATCTTACCCGGCCAAGGTACCATATGCAATATAGGAAAGAAAGGAAGAAAGCAATGAAGATAACACGATGAAAACAATGGGAGTGAGAACATTAGGGAAGAAGTGATCTCGAAATATTTGTGGAAGACGGACTGCCGATGAAAGCGAGATGATGATGTCACAGAATGAGGGGAGACAAGAGCTGAGAGATGTTTTGTCCCCTCAGAGCCTCAGAGAAGGTTATGGCTCAGAAATATCAACTCTAGCTGAAATCTGCTGTTTAAAATAGCAATAATTAGGCTGGGCATGGGGGCTTACACCTGTAATCCCAATACTTTGGGAGGCGGAGGTGGGAGGATTGCTTGAGTCCAAGAGTTCAAGACCAGCCTGAGCAACATAGCAAGACCCCGTCTCTATAAAAAAAAATTAAAAATTAGCTGGGCATGGTCCCAGCTACTTGGAAGACTGAGGCAGGAAGATCCCTTGAACCTGGAAGGTGGAGGTTGCAGTGAGTCAAGATCACACCACTGCACTCCAGCCTGGGCAACAGAGGGAGATCCTGTCTCAAAACAAAACAAAACAAGCCCAAACCAAACAAAGCTAAACCGATAACTAACTAAAGCAGAGTAGTTTACTAAAGTCAGGAACATAACAAAGATATCTGCTCTCTCCACCATCATTTAACACTGTGTTGGTGATAACGAATTCATCAATCAGATAATTAAAAGCAATTATAGGCATAAGAATGGGTAAGGGAAATGTAAAGCTATCTCTCTTACAGGTGACATAATTATGTACCTGGAAAATTGCCAGGAATCAATGGGAAACATTAAAAAGCAGACAGAAAAATTAATAAAATAATGAGTTGATAAAGATAAGCATGAAATTATCAGCATTCATATTTATAAACAACAACAAAACAGTTAACAAGACCCCACTTAAAATGATAAAAAAATTTAAAATGAAGTTCTTCATCATAAACTTAAAAAAATTGAAAACCTAAATATAAGAAACTAATAAAATACCCTTAAATGTCCAACAAAACTGCTAGAAATGAGATGATATTCATGTCCTTGAATTAGAAGTCTTAATATCATGAAGGTGTCAATTCTTAAGTTACCACAAACCCCATGAGACAAGTTTATATATGTAAAGTATGCACATGTAATGTATGCACATGTACTCCTGAACTTAAAAGTTAAAAAAATATATAAATTCAATTCACTTCCAATAAAATTAACATCAAATTTTTTTTCTGGAGTCAGACAAGTACATTAGAAGTTCATTGAGAAGGCCAGGCACGGTGGTGGCTCACGCCTGTAATCCCAGCACTTTGGGAGGCTGAGGCGGGTGGATCATGAGGTCAGGAGATTGAGAGCAGCCTGGCCAACATGGAGAAACCCCATCTGTACTAAAAATACAAAAATTAGCTGGGTTTGGTGGTGCGCACCTGTAATCCCAGCTATTTGGGAGGCTGAGGCAGGAGAATCACTTGAACCCGGGTGGCAAAGATTGCAGTGAGCTGAGATCGTGCCACTGCACTCCAGCCTGAGAGACAGAGTGAGACTCCATCTGAAAACAAACAAACAAACAAACAAACAAAACCTTTTTTTCTTTTTAAATTACCCAGTCTCGAGTATGTCTTTATCATCAGTGTGAGAATGGACGAATACACTAATGTTGCATGCCGGTAAACTCTGTACTGTGTTTTCCTGTGTGGAAACCCCTGTCCCTCTGTGGTCATTTAAGTTAGAATTAACTAGAATGAAAAGCTCAGATCCTCGGTGGCTCTGGCCACCTCTCAAGTGCTCAGGATCCACATGGAACTCATGGCTGCCATAGTGGATGGGCACACTTGGGACACACCCATCATGGGACAAAGTTCCACTGGGTAGCAGTGCTCCAGAAGGAACAAGGCAGAGGAATCCATGTTTCTCTTTAGAGGAGGGTCTATGTTCTAATGAAGCATTTAGAACCTTTAAGTGACGTTCTTAGGCATACACATACTAAGATTCAGAAGTCTACGTTAACTCATAGTCCCCATCAAGCAGAGTCTCTGCTATGTCTGCACGTGTGCAGACATGGAACAGCTTTCTCATGCAAGCATGATGCAGCTTCCTCATGCAAGATTATGCAGATCAGAGGTATTTACGCTCCCTGGAATAGGCAATGGGGAAGCTCGGTAACATAACAATACAAAGTAATATTGTGTTCAAATATGTGTATTTACTCTTTACTGTTTATAAGTACCTCTTGTTTTCACACTCTATATGCAAAGAAATGCTTTTATTTATTTTATAGGAATTGAACAATATAGGAGCATCTCATAATGTTGGTGACAAATCAGCCTCTCAAATTGCTGAAAGTGGTAATTCATAATTTACACGAATGATTCACCCACCAGGTTCTCAGCTCCCACAGGATGAAAATTTCTCTCACATGGTGTGTTTAGCTGCTAGAGCGGAAATGATTAAAAAACGTAGAAAGTTTTTACACATTCTTTGAACATTTTCTCCAGAAGTGCGTCAGAGGCTTGTCCTCTTCTAGGCGCGTGCGTGCATGTGTGTGTGTGTATAAGGGAATGTAGTGTTGTGTGAGTGTCCGACACACAGATTTTTACCTTAGCTTTATGCCTTTCTTTTGTCCCAGGAGAGACCTGAGTAGGCTGGAATACAGACAGACCTATGTAATGAACACTTCAAATAAAAGAGAATTTCTCTGGCCGGGTGCGGTGGCTCATGCCTGTAATCCCAGCACTTTGGGAGGCTGAGGCAGGTGGATCACCTGAGGTCAGGAGTTCAAGCCCAGCCTGGCCAACATGGTGAAACCCCGTGTCTACTGAAAATACAAAAATTAGCCAGGCATGGTGGTGGGTGCGTGTAATCCCAGCTACTTGGGGGGCTGAGGCAAAAGAATCGCTGGAACCCTGGAGGCAGAGGTTGCAGTGAGCCGAGATCACACCATTGCACTCCAGCCTGGGCGAAAGAGCAAGACTCCATCTCAAAAAAACAAAAAATGAAAAACAAAAACAAAAACAAAAACAGAGAGAACTTCTCTCTTTGTATGTGTCCCAGTCTCTCTCCTTAAAAAGTATTGCAGCAGATTTACCTAAGTGTGGTAGATAAATAGGCTTGGAATCCATGAAACTCTGACAAAATATGACACACAAACACACATTTGTGCACATGAGTGTATATGCAAACACAGATAGATATATACATACCTTTATTATTACAGAGAGTTCATAAATATCGTAAACCCTCTTATTCTCAAATAGGTTCGTGACCCAGAAATTTTAGGACCCATGGACTTGGAGCATTTTTTTTTTCTGAATAGCTCTCAATGGTATATAAAAATTGCCTTGTGTAAAAATTTAAACTACCAAAGAATAACCTCAAGAAAAACTTTTTGAAAACAGTAGAAAAAAAGCACTCCCCAACTTTGCTAAAGGGGATAAGGATTAAGACATCAGTATTGGCATTTCCTATTCTGAAATGATAAAAAAAAAAAAAGCTACTATCAAAAAGTGATTGACTCACCACAAAGTAATCTATAAATGCAATATGACACTCATTCAAATGCTAGCAGTTCAGTGTTCTTACTATAATTTTAAAAAATTCTAGCAGGGTTTTCAGAAAAATAACAAAATAATTCTAAAATTCCTCTAGAAAAACAGATGCTTAAAATAGCCACAATTAGTTATAGAATAGGCATAATGAAGAAAAAGCAGTTTCTCCAAATTATAAAACTACATGCTTTCATGCCATTGATACAGGGATAGAAAAACTCCTGTTTGGTGGATGTGTGTTAAAGGCTAATGCATGTCAGGTGCTATCCTGGGTCCTAATATTAAACCAGAGGGGGGAGATCACTTAGATTCTAATACAGGCAGACGGAGGGACGCAGGCAGCAGAAAGACTGTGAGAGTATAGTGAAGCCCCAGGGTAAGAAGGAGGTGGGGTGAAGTTAGGCTACAGGTGAAAGCTCTCCAGTCTTTTCCAGTATGGAAACCACTGTCCATCTGTGGTCATTTACCTTAAAATTAGCTTTTTTTTTTTTTTTTGAGTCGGAGTCTCGCTCTGTTGCCCAGGCTGGAGTGCAGTGGTGCGATCCCGGCTCGCCTCCCGGGTTTGCACCATTCTCCTGCCTCAGCCTCCCGAGTAGCTGGGACTACAGGCACCCGCCACCACACCCGGCTAATTTTTTTTTTAGTAGAGACAGGGTTTCACCGTGTTAGCCAGGATGGTCTCGATCTCCTGACCTCATGATCCGCCTGCCTCGGTCTCCCAAAGTGCTGGGATTACAGGTGTGAGCCACCATGCCCGGCCAAAATTAGCTGATTTTTAACTTAAAGATTAAGAAAAATGGGTCCCTGGCTTAGATTTTCAAAATCCAGAAACAGATTCATGTATTTTAATAATTTAGTATCTATTAGTGGTGATATTGAAGGTCATTCCACTAAGGTTATTTAGAAATTTTTATACTTAGTTCTGATAAAATAAATAACGGAAGTTAAAGCTCCACCTGGTGACTTTTCCTCTAGGCTTCCCAGAGACGGAGAGAGGATAGGATCACTTCCCATTTCCAAGGATCCCAGAATTCTGACAGACGAAGAAGTGACAAAGAGTGTTACAAGTGTTGTGTTGTATTTTAAAGGTTTATACTTCACAGATTAACATTTTTCTCCTCTGTATTCATTATATTAATTCGATATGGAGTTGGGCTGCAGTCTTTGTGTTTTTCCTAAGAATTAGCCTGCGGTTGTAATTATAAGCTAATGTTGCTGAAGTGCTATGAAGCAAGCTAATTTAATAATTTTAGCTTCATTGTCCAAGTCTTAATCAAAGCTTTAAAAATTTCTTTTCATTTTTGACTTTGAAATGTTGGAACCTGGTTTAAAATTCATTCAGAGTAGCCTTTTCCTGTAGCGGTTATTCTTTGATCAAGTACCTTCTGCTTTATCTAACAGAGACCATTGTCAAAGGAAAATAAATCTGTCATTAATATGCACGGTGGATTGGAAGCAGGCAGATACGAGACAGGGAGGAAAATTAAGAGGCTGCAGACAAAATCTTTCAGTTTCGTGCATAACCAGGGATACTTCTGCTGGGCGTACAGGCTATAGGATAGCCGTGCACTTGCACAGCTCAGAGTGAGTGGAGGCGCAGGGCTGCCATCCACACTGGAGTCTAATTTAATTACACAAGGCATAGCCTATGAGGCATACGAAGTAGCCCATTTTCTGTTATCTCTTTAGTGAAAGTCCGTGTGCTTGCCCAGTACATGGTGTGTATGTGTGTACCCATGTGTACATATCTTTTTTTTTTTTTTTTGAGGTGGAGTCTCGCTCTGTTGCCCAGGCTGGAGTGCAGTGGTGCCATCTTGGCTCACTGCAACCTCCGCCTCCCGGGTTCACGCCATTCTCCTGCCTTAGCCTCCCGAGTAGCTGGGATTACAGGCACATGCCACCACACCTGGCTAATTTTTTGTATTTTTAGTAGAGACGGGGTTTCACCATGTTAGTCAGGTTGCTCTCAATCTCCTGACCTCGTGATCCACGCGCCTCGACCTCCCAAAGTGGTGGGATTACAGGCGTAAGCCACCACGCCCAGCCCACGTGTGTTCCTATCTACATTGCATATACATATGTGTACACATGTATATGCTCATGTATGTGTGTTTATATATGGATATATTTTTGTAAAAAATACGTCTTGAAGACTACTTACAAAACTTTCTTTGTGTCTCATTCACTTGGTGAATGTATACAAACGTGCTGTTTTCAAAAGGTGTATGTTGTAAAGCTGAAGTTGAGTTGTTCTAAGATGCAAATATCTGACTTATGTCTTAACATGTACAATATTTTATTTTAATCGAATCATCATGAAATGAATGTGTGTTTATGAAGAAAGAATACTTCTATTTTTGTAAGGTTTTGGAGTGAATTAATGAATTGGGTTTTATAGATGTTTGAGGGATTTAATTGATTTGTCTAACATGCTATTATCTAAAAAATGAGTGAGAATCTGATGAGATTTTCCCTTCAGGCAAAAGAAAGCTTACTAAAGAAAAAGACCTGGTATCTTTCATGAAATCTTGCCCCCCAGTTTTTTTAAGATTCAAGGACAGTCACCTAAATATTATAGTAATGAACGATGGGAGGGGTTGCAATGGAAGCAGGACTAGTCTTCCTTATGAAATCCTCCATCTCTTCTCATAAGGGCACCAGAAAGAAATCTGGAGGTCTTTGAAGGAGTCATCCTGACTACTCCATGTACCCAAGCCCACAGAAAATCCTGCTGCTTCTGCTCCCAAAAAGATACCCCAAGTCTGCTATTCATCATCTCCTCCCAACAGCACCCCTAGTCCACACTACAGCACCTGCAGTGGGGCCACTCAGGACCTCCCGACCCACCTCCATGCCTCTGTCGGGGACCCACAGCCTGCTTGCCCCACAGCAGCCAGGGGATCCTCATATTTATGTATTTGTTCAATCCCTAATAGTTATGGGCTGAATGTTTGTGTCTCCCCAAGATTTACATGTTGATGCCCTAACTCCAGTGTGGGGTTTTTGGAGATGAGGGCCTTTGGGGTGATTAGATTTAGGTAAGGTCATGAGGGTAGAGCCCCGTGATGAGATTAGCACCCTTATAAGGAGAGACACCAGAAAGCTTTCTGTCTGTCTCCCCTGTGAAAGCACACGAGAAGGCACCTGTCCGCAGGCCAGTAAGAGAGCCCTCACCAGGAGCCAAATCAGCAGAACCTTGATCTCAGGCTTCTAGCCTTCAGAGGTGTTAAGGAACAAATTTCTGTTGCTTAAGCCACCGAGCCTCTGGTATTTTGTTATAGCAGCCTGAGCTGACAAGAACACAAATACATTTAAAGTTTCAAAAATTAAAATGATATTGAAAGATATACATGGAGGAGTCCTATCCTCATTTCATTCACATCCACCCTGTGGTCCCGCAGTCAGTTTATCTTATAGCCCTATGCTTATCTGACATCCATGTTCATATTAAAAAAATAAATGATCTTTTTAGCATGCAAGTCAGGCAGCTTCCTGATGGGGTTTGGATCTGTGTCCCTGCAAACCTCATGTTGAAATGTGATCCCTAGTGTTGGGGGTGGGGCCTGGTGGGAGGTGATCAGATCGTGGGGACAGATCTCTCACGAATGGCTTAACACCATCTCCTTGGTGATGAATGAGTTTTTGCTCAGGTATCTCACAGGAGATCTGGTTGTTTAAAAGAGTATGGCATCTCCCCTACACCCCCCTGCCCCCTGCCATCTCTCCCTTGTTCCCACTCTCACCGTGTGATGGCTCCTTCTCCTGCTGCCATGATTGGGAGCTTCCCGAGTCCTCCACAGGAGCAGATGCTGGTGCTATGCTGTTTGTACAGCCTGCAGAAACAAACCGATTAAACCTTTTTCTTTTCTTTATAAATTACCCAGTCTTGGCCGGGCATGGTGGCTCACGCCTGTAATCCCAGCACTTTGGGAGGCTGAGGCGGGTGAATCACTTTAGGTCAGGAGTTCGAGACCAGCCTGGCCATTATGGCGAAACCCCATCTCTACCAGTAATACAAAATTTAGCCAAATGGTGGTGGGTGCCTGTAGTCCCTGCTACTTGGGAGGCTGAGGCAGGAGAATCACTTGAACCCGGGAGGTGGAGGTTGCAGTGAGCCGAGATCGTACCACTGCACTCCAGCCTGGGCAACAGAGTAAGACTCTGTCTCAAAATAAATAAATAAATAACTAAATAACCCAGTCTCAGGTATTTACAACGATGCAAAATGGCCTAATACCCTTCCCTACTAATTTTCTTTTTAAAAAAGAAAGAAAAACCTCCAACTGCATCCCCATCCTGTGTTACTCAAGTAAAACCTCAAGTCTTTCTCAAGGCTGTACAATTTCTGGCTCATTTTTTCTCTGACCCCATCACCTATCCATCTCTTATTTTCTCATTTCTCTCCATGCACACGGGCATCCTTGCTGACCCTCCAACACGCAAAGCACATGCCAACCTCAAGGCCTTAGCTCTCGCCACTCCTCCTGCCTGGAACCAGCTCTTCTTGATATCCCTTGGCTACCCCTCACCTCATTTAGGTCTTTGCTTAAATGTCACCTCTGCAGAGTCTCCTCTGCCTACCTTCCTAGTAAGCACCCTCATTATTCCCTTTCTTCTTCATACATGTACTGCTATCATTTACTAGTTTTTTAAAATTAATTTTCTAACTCCATGCGAGTCAACAGAATGTCTGTAGCAGGGGCCTTGTTGCTCTCGTTTTCCCCGTGTTCTTCCCTGGCACAAAGTAGAGGGTCAATGAATGGTAATTTCATGAATATTAGCAGATTGCTCAGGAAGGGTCCTTGCTTTTGTCAGATTTGCTTTTGCCATTTCAAGTTCATTGCATTTCCGCAACAGATGTGTTCCTCCAAAATTGTGTGTGAGCTGAATTTTCCTAGGTTAAAATCTGTTTTAAATGCATTAATGCCGTTTCCTACTCACTCCACATGAATGCTTTGCAGTCACCCCTAACATCTGTGTTGCAAGTTTAGTCCTTGCTGTACTCTCTTCTTCCAGCGAGTTATGTGTGTATTCTAAAGTATGTGTCTAAATTCTCCTAAGTGAGACATGCCTGGGAGTATTTTCGAAAGCCAGTTGTTTTCCGGCATTCTAGATGAATGTTCTAACCTCCGCGGGCTGGAGCAATCACCTTCGCTGACAAGTCTTTGATATCAATGGAGAGGAATTACTCAAGTCATGGGACCTCTTTCCTCTGGGCACTGAGTTGGTTTGGAAGGAAAGTTCCAGATGAAGAATATTGTTTGGTTATAATTAATTCCTCTAATTATTTGTATGTAGTACTGAGTTTGAATTTGCAAAGTGCCTGCCACAATCCTGGAAAACTTTTCTGTCAGTGGAGTCTTCTTCAGTGGCCCGTGGCAGAAAACACAGCCCAAACAAGCAAAACAAAGCAGAATTTACTGTTTTACATAAGTCAAAGTTCAGAAATAAAGGTGACTGTGGGTGCTGTGAGAAACACCCTGCAGGACCCAGTCCTCAATCTCACACAAGCTCTTCCATTGCTGCAGATGGTGGCTGTCCCACCCCAGGACCCAGTCCTCAATCTCACACAAGCTCTTCCATTGCTGCAGATGGTGGCTGTCCCACCAGACCCCTCACCCATCCTCTTGACATCACCATCAGTGAGAAAGAAAGAATTTCTCTACCCTTCAATTTAAAAAACTGACTTAGGAGGCTGAGATGGGAGGATCGCTTGAGTCCAGAGGGTTGAGGCTGCAGTGAGCTCTGATTGCGCCACTGCACTCCAGCCTGGGTGACAGAGCGGGACCCTGTCTCAAGACAAGAAAGAAAAAGAAATGGTGCCTGTCCTTGTACCAAAGGGTTAGGGCATGCTGATGAGCTGAGATGTAACATTTCCAGCTGAGTGCTGAAGTAAGTAAGTCTCACAGACCCGTGTACAGTGCAGTGACCCATCCCTCACTGGACACCTTTTCAGAGGGATTCTGAGGGATGATTGTAGCCGATCTTCCTACTGGGACGGATGATTACAGCCAATCTTCCTACTTTCCTGTGAAAATGCCGTCGAGTGAGAGCTGTACAGGCTCAAACAAAGGTTTGTTTCTAGACAACACCTGGATTTGATTTCTTTTGTGCAGACCTCAGGGACGTGCTTCTGGGAAAGCTGCTGAAGTTCATAACCAAGACTCTCAGAAGAGTTCCCCGTCTTTCTCTCTGCCATTCTCTAGCCATGCAGCAACATCAAGTTCCGACAGCAGATTATCGAGGTATGCATAGGAAACCTGAGGCTTCAACAGCACATTTCACCCTGGCAGCCTAAAGGAGTCACTTCTTGCCTTTGGAGAGCTTGGGTTGTTGAAATGGAAGAAAATGCAGCCCTCGTAGCCAGGCTTCACTGAGAACGTGCCACCCTCCCTCATGTACCTGGTTGTATTGAATTGCAGCCACTCATTGTCACAGAGCCAGGGGACCTGTGGAGAGGAGAGGAAGCATGTCATTCCTCAGGCTGCCCTGGCTGGATCAATTCAAATCTTTACACGTTATCGAACACCTCCAGAGTACAGGGCCCTGTGCTAGATGCTGAGAGTGAGGAGGCAGGAGAACAGAGGTGGAGGTTGAGGAGTGGAGAGAAGGGCACACAGACTGGAGCGAGAGGGCTGGGCTCCAATCCCAGCTCATTATCTCTGTGACCTTGGAGGAGCAGCTTCACCTCTCTGTGCTTTCACTTCCTTATTTGCAAAGTGGAGAATAGCCAACCTGCCTCACACGGTTAGGGTGAGGATTAAATGAGTTGATGTACCTAAACCACACCTTTTTCTTTTTCTTTTCTTTTTTTTTAAGGCAGCGTCTCGCTCTGTCACCCAGGCTGGAGTGCAGTGGCGTGATCTCAGCTCACTGCAGCCTCCACCTCCCAGGCTCAAACCATCCTCCCATCTTGGCCTCCCAAGTAGCTGGGACTACAGGCTCATGCCACCATGCTCAGCTAATTTTTTAAAACCTTTTGTAGGGATGAAGTCTCACTATATTGTCCAGGCTGGTCTCAAACTCCTGGCCTCAAGCAATCTTTCTGCCTTGGCCTCTTCATGTGTTGGGATTACAGGCATGAGCCACCATGCCCTGTCCTTATAAACCACATCTTATGCCAAGGCTGGCATATGGGGTGGTCCTGTAACTGTTGCGTTTATGTAAACACCTGCTCTGAGGGTATCTGCAGAATCTCAAGCCTTTCACTGTAGCCTCCCCAGTAGATTGTAGTGGTCACACATGGCAGTTTGAGAATGACATGCTTTAATTCTGCAGCCAAAAACCATGCAGCTTTGTGATGGCCAGGCCCAGTGTGGGAAAGGGAAATGGATGGTGAGATTCAGGGTGCATTTCAGTGGTGTAATGGAAGAGGAGAGTCTCACAGCCCCTCACTCCAGGGCCACAAATGGACACACACTTAATCGTGTGTGCTAAACTTTTTTCACCTTTGCAAAATCACACCTGAATACATTTTGCTATATTTTTCTTCATTGAATACTTTCTAAATGACCAACGTGATATGACTCACATTTTTCACACCAAGATATTGGTTGCTTTCCCACTCAAATGGAACAACTTATAGTTAATTTGAAAAATATTATATATTTAGCTTGGCACAAAGATTACATATTTTCCCCAAGAATTTTTCTTTAAGAAAGTATAAATTTTACAACTCTCTTTTTATCATACTGATTGGAAAATGGTGGTGTTGAGTAAATTGGATGCTGAGGTTCATTAATTGGATTTTTGAGGGGCAGAACCAGTAGTTTTTGTCGTCAAAATAGTCCAGGCAGCTCTCCATGTGAAGAGGATGGAGGACCGTGTCTGGCAGGGATGTCCAGAGGAGAGAATACAGTCATGGGTTCTTAGTTTCTGTTTCTGGTTGGACCAGTAAAGCCCTTTCCTCATCCCTCTTTTCCACTTATCACTGGAGACAGAAACTAAAAACCATGGCTTCAGGCTGCTAAAAGCCTAAAACAAAACAAAACAGAGCAACAAGAACAAAATTAGCTGGGTTTGACAAGCTTGGCGCTGTAAACCCACTGGCAGGCTACAGGTTTGCCAGGCCTAGCAGATACCAGCAGGTTTTAAAATTCAGAGGACATGCTCTTGACTAATGTGTCTGCGACTGGATACTATTTTTGGAGTTTTGACCGTTTGTGTTTCTTCCCACCTCACCCTCTACTTGGCCTTTTCCCCATTCTGAATTTGGGGCCTCACTTATTTCTGGGACACAAGGTAAGCTGTCAGGGCTCTCCTCATTCCTTGGAACCTATTCTTGGAAAATACTAGATGAAACCATATTTCTCTGTCTAGAATGTATTGTTGTATGCAATTTGAGAAAATTGTAATTTTTCTTTTTGCATAATGATCTATCATCACAATCACACTTTACCAAATATTTATGAAATAATGTTTTCCTACTAATTTTGATATCACCTTCTATAATATAAATATTCATTATATGAAAAATGTATATACCCCCCCACACACACACACACGCACACACACAACTCTTTCCAAACTGCTTTCCCTGTTCATCAGTGTATATTTGTTCCTTTGAGCCACACAGTTTTACCTATTATGGCTTTGCAATATATGTTAATTCCTCTCTCTTTGCTTTCTATTTTCAAAATTCGTGTAATTCTTAGTAGAACTGCATATCTTATTCAGGTATATAATTGTTATAACCACTTTTTCTCAAATTCCTTGTAAAATCTTACTGGAATTTTTTTTTTTTTTGAGACGTCCTCATTCTTTATTAGACAGGTAAATACGTTCTGTGGTGTGAATGTGTTACCCAAAGCTCATGTCTTGGAAACTTAATCCCCAGTGCACCAGTGTAGAGAGGTGGGACCTTTGAGAGGTGAGAAGATCATGAGGGCTCTGCCATCACAAGTGGATTAATGCAGTTATTTCAGGAGTGAGTTACCTATTGCAGGAATGGGTTGGTTATCGTGGGAGTGGGTTAGCTATTGCAGGAGTGGGTTGGTTATCATGGGAGTGGGTTAGCTATTGCAGGAGTGGGTTGGTTGTCGTGGGAATGGGTTGGTTGTTGTGGGAATGGGTTAGCTACTGCAGAAGTGGGTTGGTTATCACTGGAGTGGGTTAGCTATTGCAGGAGTGGGTTGGTTGTCATGGGAATGGGTTAGCTACTGCAGAAGTGGGTTGGTTATCACTGGAGTGGGTTAGCTATTGCAGAAGTGAGTTGATTGTCATGGGAATGGGTTAGCTACTGCAGAAGTAGGTTGGTTATCACTGGAATGGGCTCCTGATACAAGGATAAGTTCAGTCCCCATGCCCTTGTCCCATGTGTGTGCTCCTTTGCCCTTCCACATCCTGCCATGGGATGATGCAGCAAGAAGGTCCCTGCCAAATGTGGCCCCTTGATCTTGGATGTCCCAGCCTCTGGAACCATGAGCCAAATAGATTTCTATTTATTACGAATTACTATTCTCAAGTATTCTCTTATAGCAGCACAAAACAGACTAAGACAATCAGTGGATGGATGGATGGATGGATGGATGGATGGATGGATGGATGGATGAATACATAAATAGATATGCATTGTCTAAGAAGTGTTCTCCTTAGGGAGAGAGGAGTAAACTCTCAGATTAAATTTTTTCATAATTAAAGCTTCCCCATGGAATGAATTGCTTGGTGGCTAGGATGTAACAGAAGATCTTTATTTGGACATCCAATCTTCCCCAGCTATAATATTTACTACAATTACAATTTATATATCGTGTGTCTTTCCCTAAGGTGAAGATGTGATCCTCATCATGCATAGCCAACCCCCTCCTCCTTTGCCTGTCCACATTATTTGGGCCAACCCAGATACTTTTCTATCATCCCTTATGATAGAATGAACAAGTTTCCTGGTACTGCCCAAGGAGATATAAAGGCATGTCTGCTGATTGTCTTCTTGGAAAGATTGTGCTTCCCACATACAAGAAGTGAGCCCCAGGGAAGAGCTCTCTCTTGCTCTGCTCCCTACAGTTTTAGACACAATCAAGTGAGAAGTGATGTCTGGCGCTTAGGCAGCCATCTTGCAACCATGAAGTGACAAGCTTCACAGGGAGGAAAACAGGCACTAAAGATAGTAGTTCAGAGGAAGGGAAAGATGATGGTATCACTGAGCTGAGACCATTTATCTCCAGACTTCTTTTAAACAAAAAATTTCTCTATGATTTAAGCCACCATATGTTGTGCTTTCTCTTACTTGCAGCCAAAAGTGTCAGAGGTGGGCAGAGTTTATATCAGTTTGCCCACAAACGTGTCTCCTGTCCTCAGCACAGTGCTTAGCAAACAATAGGAATGCAATTAGTGTTTGTGGCATAAAAGCAACATGGGGTGTTGGGTCTGGCTGAGAGAACTGAAGCACCTAACTTTCAGATGCTACATACACCTGTTTTTCTAGGATTTTCCCATGTAGAGAGGTTTTGGCCCCAAAGAAAAGTCCCTAGTTGCAAAGGCCGTCGGTTCTGCCTCTGCCTGTGAGTTTTTGGTATCTTGAATGCTTTCTGGCTCTACAGCCTGAGATGAATCAAAGTAGAGTTCAGTGCAGCCAGTGCAGGTGTGAATGCTCAAAACTGGATACTACTGTGGACCTTTCCTTTCAGTTCTATTCTAGGAAAACTTTGGAAAGAAAAGCTTTGACAGATAAAGGACAGTAAAATTATTTGTGAAAATCATTCAATCAACCAATCACAATCACTGATTATGTTAGACACATTTCTGGGCATCGGAGAAGAAATAGAAAGATACCATTCTTATAGTTTTCCTGAATTCTAAGTTCCCAGTTTCCTTTCTCTGCTTGTCTTCCATCCAAAGATGGGCTTAATGCAATCATCTGGACCCAAAAGAGAAAATGTGAAGTTTCTCATGGATTCCAGTGTGATCGCTTTCCAGAGCTAGATTTCATGTAGTTTTACGGTGTTCGTCAGAAAGTTTACATGCATAACATAATTTAGACTGGGCATGTTTTAAAGACTCTTGTTCGTCAAGACCACAATTAAATCTAATTTCTGAACCCAAGTGACAAACGCACACTTGGTGAGTGATGGGTATGGCAAACTCAGTCTCCCAGACAAGCAATACTCTCTTCTGAAAGCTCACAGGGCAAAGAAGAATTTACAAAAGACCATTTGAAGAGATTAATAAACATCTATTAAGTTCTCTATGTTGAGATGTTCTGAGAGAGGTGAGCTGTTGAAGGTAGAAAATGGGCTCTATCTACATCTTTGAACCAGAAAAACAGGACAATATTGTCGATATGCCTATGAGATTAAGAATGGGGTTATTTTTCTGCTCGGGACTTAGGAGAAGATATGAGATATTAAATAGATTCACCCATAAACCAGTAAGTATGTTTAGGTGATATATTCCTAGTGAAAACAAATTTTAAGTCACCATCTCAGGTGTACAAGCAATGTGACTGCCTTCATACTTCTTGGATACATTGTCAGGTTACAAAAACCTAAAGACATAGCAAACATATAGGCAAGATAGGCATAGATTGCCTCCATAAAAATTAACAAGAATATGGCTTTTTTGTATTTGCTTTTGGACATTTTTAAGAAATAAAAAATTGGGGGTATAAAGTCATCTTTAAACATGCCATGCCTTTATGTGGAGTGTTGAGTTTAGGTGCTTTAAGAAAGAATCATTAGCAATGAGTGAGGAAAATCACAGGTTTACTTCTGTCTCTTAGGGAAACCCAGGCTGCTAAGCCCCCACCAAAGGAAAGCATGTCTATTCTCCATGCACTTCCAAAGCCCCAGTTCCCTGCATCCTGCGGGTCTCCTCCAGTCTCTTAGTGACCTTGTCCACGTAGACAACAATGGCCCAGCAGCGTTGAGTCTTCCTTCCAGCCAGTAGGAAAGGAAAAGAGGAAGTAGCACACAAGCCAATTTCTCTTATGGATGTGACTTTGAAATTGCACAAATGTTTGTTCTCATCTTCCATTGAACTTGGTCACGGGTCCACCCCTAACCACGTGACTGTAGTGCATGTGTGTCCAGTCTACAATGTGGGGGCTTTAGTAGTAAAAGAGAGGATGGGAAATAAAATGTGGGAGATAATTAAGAGTGTCCGCCACAACCATCATCTCCAATCCCATGCCTCTACCCGCTGTTCCATTGGGCACTTCTGCCAGTATGTTTAATGTGTGTCCTTTACGTAAGTGTGTTTATGCTAATTTTACATAAATAATGATAGTGAACATATTCCACTATTTTTTATTGAATTTGGTTTTGAGATTTATTCATACCAAGACATACCTATATCTGTATCTAGATATAATAGATACATAATATATAGACATATAATATCTATATAGTGTATAGCTATATAATTATATATATCTTATATACTGTATATTATATACTTTATATAATATATATTTATATGATATATATTATATATTATTTTATAATACATTATATATAGTATGTGTATAATATAATGTATTATATAGTATATTATAAATGTTATATAAATATATATTTATAGCCATATGTACATATCAATGTATCAATATAGATATATCTATAGCAGTATGTTATAGATATATCTATATAGAAATATATCTAGATATATAGATTAGTATATAGATATATATTTTATCTATAGATATATAGATATCTATGTACATGTATGTAGATGTAGATATACAGATATATCTATGTAGATATACATATACAGACATAATAGTATTTTATCTTATAAGTACATCTCATATCCTTTTTATATGTAAATATATATATTCATTTGCAATCCACAGAAAAGAATACCCATTCTTTTATTGCACATTTGCCTGTCTGGACATTTTTGTTGTTATCCCTTTTTCACTAGGATAAAACGTTGCAGTGAACGTCCTTGTGCAAATCTCCATAAGAACATTACAAAAATATTCATAACCTGAAGTCCAGTAACCAAATATATACCCATAAGAAATAATTCAGATTGGGCATCAAGACCACAATTAAATCTAATTTAATTGTGGATGCCCATAAGAAATGGGTATATACTTAGTTACTGGACTTCAGGTTATGAGTATTTTCTGTTTTATCAAATACTGACAAATTGCTCTCCAAAGTGGCTTTACCAATTCAAAAACCCATCAGCCTCATATCAAGCACCATTCCTCATTCTCGCTATCCTTAATACTGTCAAACATTTCCATTTGCACCCATCTAATGGGTAAAAATTGCTACCTCTAGTTTTCCATAATGAAAATTAATTTCTCTTTTGTGTCTCCCATTATATTTGCTGATGGAAGTTTTGAGGTAATTTGGGGGTACTCACATTTTTGGAGGAACACTTATACAGAGGCATGGCGGAAGGACTACGGATAGCCTCCATGTGATTCTTTTTAAGAGCTTTATCAAAGCATAATTTACATTCCATAAAATTCACCCCTTCTGAGTATACAAGTCAAAGACTGTTCGTGTGTTTACAGAGGAGTGTACCTATTGCCACAATTCCGTTTCAGAAGCTTTCTGTCACCCCCAAAAGATTCCCGTGAGCTTTTGCAGCCCATCTGTCACCTCCATCCCCAGGCAACCACTAAAGTTTCTGTGATAGATTTGCCACTTCTGGATGTTTTCTGTCAATGAAATCATACAGTATGTGGTCTTTTTAATGCGATGTGTTTGAGCTGGCGTGGTGTCACATGTCATTAATTTCATTTGTGGGCATTGTATGTGCACAGTCCAGCCCCGCTGAGCCTTGCACGCCACCCAGCGTCTACGCGGCTAGACCCTGCTTCTCACAGTCCTCCTCACGGGTGTCCCTCTGTCTCCCCCTTCTCCAGGATGGCCTATATTTGGGAGTTCTTTATTCTACCTCTCACAGGAACCTCACAATCGTTTCTAAGAACTCACGCAGGCCCGGAGAGGTGTAGCTGTTTCCTTAGTAGAGATCAGTGAGAAAAACACTTACTGTCATTTTCGAGCCAACTGATCTCAATAATTGTATTGACCAACTGGGTCAAGGACTTGGGCTTCAGGGTAGTGTTTCCGCCCAGGCAGGCAGTCCTCACGGGCTCCCTTCATGTTCAGGGTTTGTATTCCCAGCTCTTACAAAAATGTATTGACGGGAACAGTGGACAGCAGAGGATAAAATCTCTTCATGTATCTGAGCAGAAACTGTAATTGACAGTAAAAGCTGCAACTCCCGCTCAGAGGTCAGGTTTTTTTCCCACCCATCACTGAGGATTGTACAGTTTGATCAATGGCACAGCATCCTCCGCCTGTTGCTGAAAAACGTGCCGTGCCACAAAACCACTTTGAGAATGAAGCTGTTTAATTCCGTTTCTAATTTTGCCTTGTTAAGGGGGAAATGGTGACAATGAAAACATCGTTGCTTTTTTAAATATTAATTTTAAAATGATGATCCTGTCAGGAAAAATATTTCTACTTGACAGTGGGGTGGATGTCTTTTCTGAGAAGCCTGAGAGATGAGTGGCGGAGTTTCTGGGGGGATGTTTATGTTTCCCAGGGAATGTCTCAGCCACAGTAACTTCAATAACATTTCTTGGCTCTTTCTGTTGTACACCTGTCACTGCAAGTTTTGATGGGCATTTCTGAGTGATGAATATTACCTGCAAGAGGAAAACAACCTCAGTTTGGCGTGGGTTGCTTGCTCAAGTGTTTAAGCTTGCTGGAGTTTATTTATTCATCTTCATGAGCGGAAGCCACTCAGGACTTTTCAGGACGAGTTTTTGAAAAGTTTCTTAGGGGAGGTGAAAGAGAGTGGTTCTTATTGAGCCAAGTTTCTGAGCAGCAGCCTAAGGCAATTATGTGAATTTGGCTCTCCTCAAAAAGAAAACAGGAAAGTCACAGACTGGCCTGTTGCTGTCTAAACTGAAGAGGGTTAAGTGTGCCTTCAGCAAACCCCTTAACGCACTCTCAGCCACCACCTTCAGCCCCTGTGATTCTGGAAAGAAACAGGAAAGCATCCCCAAGAAGCCACTGCATCTAAATTTTGATCCATTAAACCAGTTGCCCCCCAGAAAAGATGATTGACACTTTTAAACAACATCCTGGATAGGGCAAGCATTGGCTCATTCATTCACTCACCTCACTCATTCACTCACTCATTCAACCAATGTGTATTGCAAACCTTCACAAGCACACACACTGGGCAAACATGGTAAGGAAGACATGGCCCTTGCCTTCAAATCAGAAATTTCTAGCCACGGGCTGAATTTGCTGCACAGATAAAGCTTTGACTGGCCTACAGAGTGTGGTTTGAGCCATTTGGAAATGTTAATTACATGCCTTGTTTGAAAAATCAGGAACTTTCCCTCTAAATATCTGAGCTTCTAGCACCTTAGGGAAAAAAAAGTCTGTTCGTTCTAGGACTATCTTTGCACCTGTAACGTAGATTGGAGGCAAGTAGAGGTTGCTCTCTCCAGGTGGGATGCATACCCTCCAAGTTTATCATAATTGACATTGACAACAAGAGGGCCATGCATCCTCGATGGGTCTTGTCTTTTATTTTCCTTGTATCTGGCCCTGTCTGTTCACTTGAATTACCTGGTAGTTTTTGTAGACATTCGAGTTTGCCATATTGGGTGTAGTGCAGATGTTTACAAATGGGAATATCACATCACAATGGTCCCAGAATATATGTGCATCAAAATCACTGGGGTGAGGGTTGGGGGAGGGCTTGTTCCATCAAGGGTGGTGGGCCCTGGCCTGGGGTCCCTGATTTTGTATATATGGTAGGGCACCATGAGTCAGCATTTGTAACGAGGTTCCTAGCAACACAGCCGCCACTGGCCCGGGGACCACACTTTGTGAACCACTGACCTCTCAGCTTTTTTACAGGGAGGGTGTTGTCAACAAGCGCATGCTGCATGTGGATGTGCAGGCCCATGAGACCAGAATCTCTTTGAGGAGGAAGGATCAGAGGAAAGGTCTCCAGTGTGCAGATTCTGGAAATGGCTCCAGGGAACTCTGATTCCCCCAGTCTTGTTGTTCAGTCAGCTGGGAACTTTTAAGAAATACTGAGGCCAGGCAGGGGGCGGTGGCTCATGCCTGTAATCCCAGCACTTTGGGAGGCTGAGGTGGGCGGATCGCCCTGAGGTCAGGAGTTTGAGACCAGCCTGACCAACATGGAGAAACCTTGTCTCTACTAAAAATATAAAATTAACTGAGTGTGGTGGCACATGCCTGTAATCCCAGCTACTCAGGAGGCTGAGGCTGGAGAATCACTTGAACCCGGGAGGCAGAGGTTGCGGTGAGCCGAGATTGTGCCATTGCCCTCCAGCCTGGGCAACAAGAGTGAAACTCCATCTCAAAAAAAAGAAATACTGAGGCCAGGCATGGTGGCTCACGCCTGTAATCCCAACACTTTGGGAGGCTGAGGCAGGCAGATCACCTGAGGTCAGGAGTTCGAGACCAGCCTGGCCAACATGGTGAAACCCTGTCTCTACTAAAACTACAAAAATTAGCTGGGCATGGTGGTGGGCGCCTGTAATCCCAGATACTCGGGAGGCTGAGACAGGAGAATCACTTGAACCCGGGAGGCAGAGATTGCAGTGAGCCAAGATAGCACCACTGCACTCCAGCCTGGACAACAGAACGAGACTCTATCTAAAAAAAATAAAAAAAGAAATACTGATGCCAGGGCTCTACCCCCAGAATAATTTAATCAAAATCTCTTGGAGTAGGACCCAAAAGGATATGTTGAGTTTTTGTTTTTGTTTTTAAAGCACTGCTGATGATTTTAATGTGTAACCAGTATTGAGAACTACTGGACTGGGGTATAACAAATGATGAGATCTTAGTCCACAGGGCGGGGGGAGAAATTCTGAATTCTGAGACCTCACTGGGCTTGTCCAGGCACCGCCCGTGCAGGAGAACCTTTCGAGGGTGAGGTTCTCTGTCTCTCATTGCTCTGGCCTAAATCTGAAGATTGCCATTTCTTTACTTTCTAAAAACTCTCAGTCCCTCTTCACATGCCTTCTCCCCTTCTAGAACTCCAGTTAGAGGCACAGTGGACCTTCTCCTCCTATTCCATGTGTCTCTTTCTCTGCCTTCCCTCATCTCCCGAAGTTTGTTGTGGGAATCAAATCAGTTAATGCACTCAAGTTTAAACAGGTATATTGCAAGCACACAATAAATGTGATCTGTTGATCATTTTATTATTATTTCCTTATTGTTATCATCGTGTGAGGAAAAGTGAGGGCTGGGGAATGAACGAGCTCACTTAAGGAAAACAATGAAATTGCAAGAAGTGCATTAACGACAAAAGATTGGGAATGACTTAGAACAAGGGAGGAAGCAGCTGTGAAGAGAATGAGGATCTAATGATTCAATAGTTATAAGAATGAACAGTTATAGAGTACGTACTGTACTGTGTGCTAGATATGCATGAGTGTGTATGAGTACTAGTGCATTTTAAATCATTTAAATCTCACAAATCCTGTGAGGGAGGGAATATTAAGCTCAATATTTTACAAATAAACTAAGATGGAGATAATGAAAGTTATGAAGCCTACATCCAACCAATAGTATAGAGCCAGGGTGAGAATGCAGTAAGGCCCTTGAGTTCATGTCCTCACTCCTGAGGCCTCCTCTCCATACAGCACCCTGGGATGGAGGGGGTTAATCAAGGTAGGGTCAGGTGACATGGACAGGGCAGAGCGAGTGGTCCCAGAGTCACCAGCAAGAAGAAGGAGGACCAAGGAGAGAGGCCTTTGGAAGCAGCAAATAGGAGGTAATCGCAGGCTTGTGGTGACCAGGGGACCTTCTGGCTCCTTCTATATCCAAAATCAGCATAACCCTGAACTTCTCAGGAACACAAAGCACTCAGTTCTTCTTTATGGTTGAAGCCAGTTTAAGTTGAGTTGATGGGCCTTTTATCCATATGCTTTCTAGCAAATTCAGAAAGATCAGAAAGCTGTTTCTGGTTAGGAGTGTGGACTCCAGCCAGCTTGCCATAGAAGGAAAGGTGGGAGGTGAGGGGATGGACATTCAGCCAGGTAATTGTAGACAAGAAGTGGTCACAGAGTAAATATCTGGGGCTTTGTGGGGCACGTGGTTCCTGCCTCAGCTACTCAACTGGGCCATTGTAATAAGGAGCCATAGATGATCTGTAAATGGAAGGGTGGAGCAGTGTTCCAATAGAACTTCAGGCACAAAAAAAGACGGAGGACCCGAACTGGCCCGTGGGCCAAGGTCAGTCAGCCACTGGTGTAGACCATGATCTACAGAAAAGCTATTGGCAACTGGAAAGATAAGGAGCTTCCAGGAGCACTTGAAAGTGCCGCACACAACAGCGACAATCCCTGTCACACAGTCTTCTCCCTCCCCAGCTGGTCCCGTGACAGGATGACAACAAAACGCCAGTGTGCGCCGACAGGAACGGCCATATCACAGCTCTCCTAGAAACGAGTCAGTGCGATGAAGGCACAGCTCAAACTGCCCGTGGTAGAAGAGCAACTAAAAGTCTCACCATGGAATCAAATGGACTGTTTTTCAATCTTTACTCCTCTCCTGGTCAGCTATTTGGCCTTGGACAAAAACCTAGCCACTCTCTGCCTCCGTCTCTTCAACTCTTAGTGGAAGAAGTAATAGTCCTTACTTCAAAGAGCTGTTTATGAATGAAGTGAGTAAATACTCAGCTAGCCCTAGACCACATACAGGAAAGGGTCCATCTCTGTTAGCTGTTATTATTTATAACATGGCATGACTGTTAGTATTTGCATTTGCATTAGTGCTGGCATGGTGTCAGCATTGTTGGTGTTAGTGTTCATATTAATATTAGTTTTAGTTTAAGTGTTAGTGTTGGTATTGGTGTTTGTATTAGTGTTGGTGTTAGTATTATTGTTAGTGTTGGTGTTGGAGTTAGTGTTAGTGTTGGGACATAGCATTTGTGTTGGTGTTAGTGTTGGTGTTGGCAGTGACATTAGTGTTAGTATTAGATTGGTGTTAGTGTTGGTATTGTTGTTAGTATTGATGTGGGTGTTCCACTTAGTGTTGGCACATAGTATTACTGTTAGTAGTTCTGGTGTTAGTGTTAGTATTAGTATTGGTACTTGTGTTAATATTAGTGTTTGTTAGTGTTGGTGTTAGTATTAGCCTTAAGGTTTGTATTAATATAGTGTCAGTGTTGGTGTTAGTATTAGTGTTGTTCTTAGTACTGGTTTTACTGTTCATGTATTAGTCTTGGTGATAGTGCTTGTATTAATATTAGTGTTAGTGTTGGTGTTAGTGTTTATATTAGGATTCGTGTTGGTGTTAATATTATCATCAGTGCTGGATTGGTGTCGGTGTTAGCATTGGTGTCGGTGTTAGTGTTTATATTAGGATTCATGTTAGTGTTAATATTATTATCGTGCTGGATTGGTGTTGGTGTTAGTATCGGTGTTGCTGTTAGTGTTTATATTAGGATGAGTGTTGGTGTTAATATTATCATCAGTGCTGGATTGGTGTTGGTGTTAGTATTGGTGTCGGTGTTAGTGTTTATATTAGGATTCATGTTAGTGTTAATATTATCATCAGTGCTGGATTGGTGTTGGTGTTAGTATTGGTGTTGCTATTAGTGTTTATATTAGGATTTGTGTTGGTGTTAATATTATCATCAGTGCTGGATTGGTGTTGGTGTTAGTATTGGTGTTGCTGTTAGTGTTTATATTAGGATGAGTGTTAGTGTTAATATTATCAGTGCTGGATTGGTGTTGGTGTTAGTATTGGTGTCGGTGTTAGTGTTTATATTAGGATGAGTGTTAGTGTTAATATTATCATCAGTGCTGGATTGGTGTTGGTGTTAGTATTGGTGTCGGTGTTAGTGTTTATATTAGGATTCATGTTAGTGTTAATATTATCATCAGTGCTGGATTGGTGTTGGTGTTAGTATTGGTGTTGCTATTAGTGTTTATATTAGGATTTGTGTTGGTGTTAATATTATCATCAGTGCTGGATTGGTGTTGGTGTTAGTATTGGTGTTGCTGTTAGTGTTTATATTAGGATTCGTGTTAGTGTTAATATTATCATCAGTGCTGGATTGGTGTTGGTGTTAGTATTGGTGTCGGTGTTAGTGTTTATATTAGGATTCATGTTAGTGTTAATATTATCATCAGTGCTGGATTGGTGTTGGTGTTAGTATTGGTGTCGGTGTTAGTGTTTATATTAGGATTCGTGTTAGTGTTAATATTATTATCAGTGCTGAATTGGTCTTGGTGTTAATATTGGTGTTGCTATTAGTGTTTATATTAGGACTCATGTTAGTGTTCATATTATCATCAGTGCTGGATTGGTGTTGGTGTTAGTATTGGTGTTGCTGTTAGTGTCTATATTAGGACTCGTGTTAGTGTTCATATTATTATCAGTGCTGGATTGGTGTTGGTGTTAGTATTGATGTCGGTGTTAGTGTTTATATTAGGATTCGTGTTAGTGTTCATATTATTGTCAGTGCTGGATTGGTGTTGGTGTTAGTATTGGTGTTGCTGTTAGTGTCTATATTAGGACTCGTGTTAGTGTTCATATTATTATCAGTGCTGGATTGGTGTTGGTGTTAGTATTGATGTCGGTGTTAGTGTTTATATTAGGATTCGTGTTAGTGTTCATATTATTGTCAGTGCTGGATTGGTGTTGGTGTTAGTATTGGTGTTGCTATTAGTGTTTATATTAGGATTCGTGTTGGTGTTAATATTATCATCAGTGCTGGATTGGTGTTGGTGTTAGTATTGGTGTTGGTGTTAGTGTTGGCACATGGCATTAGCATTAACGTTAGTATTATTGTTAGTGGTGGCATTAGTGTTAGTGTTATATTGCCATGGATGTTAGTATTAGTGTTAGTGTTGGCGTTGGTGTTAGTCTTGGCACATAGTATTAGTGTTGGTGTTAGTGTTATTGTTAGTGTTGGCATTAACGTTAGTGTTAGAGTGGTGTTAGTGTTGGCACATAGTATTACTGTTAGTGTTAGTATTGCTGTTAGTGTTGGCGTTAGTGTTAGTGATATGGTTGATGTTGATGTTAGTGTTTGTTAGTGTTGGTATTAATGTTGGTGATTATGTTAGTATTAGCGTTAGTGTCAGCACTGGCATTGGTGTTAGTGTTGGTATTGGTGTTGGCATTGGCACATACTATTAGCACTAGTGTTAGTATTATTATTAGTGTTAGCATTAGTGTTAGTGTTATATTAGTGTTAGTGTTGGTATTATTGTTAGTGTTGGTGTTGGAGTTAGTGTCAGTGTTGGCACATACCACTGGTGTTGGTGTTAGTATTAGTGTTGGTGTTGGCATTCATGTTAGTGTTAGTATTACATTGGTGCTGGTGTTAGTGTTCGTGTTGGTGTTTGGTGTTTGTCTTAGTGTTGGCACATAGTACTACTGTTAGTGTTAGTATAGTGTGAGTATATTGTTAGTGTTGGTGTTAGTGATAGTGTTAGCATTGGTGGTTTTGGTGTTGGTGTTAGTGATAGTGTTGGCATCGGCATTGGTGTTAGTGTTGGTGTTGGCATATAGTTTTTGTGTTTGTATTATGATTAGTGATACTGTTAGCATTGGTGGTGTCGGTGTTGGTGTTAGTGATAGTGTTGGCATCGGCATTGGTGTTCGTGTTAGTATTGGTTGGTGTTGGCATATAGTATTTGTGTTTGTATTATGATTAGTGATAGTGTTAGCATTGGTGGCGTTGGTGTTGGTGTTAGTGTTGGCATTGGCATTGGTATTAGTGTTAGTATTGGTGTTGGTGTTGGCATATAGTATTTGTGTTTGTATTATGACTAGTGATACTGTTAGCATTGGTGGTGTCGGTGTTGGTGTTAGTGATAGTGTTGGCATTGGCGTTGGTGTTAGTGTTAGTATTGGTTGGTGTTGGCATATAGTATTTGTGTTTGTATTATGATTAGTGATACTGTTAGCATTGGTGGTGTTGGTGTTGGTGTTAGTGTTGGCGTTGGCGTTGGTATTAGTGTTAGTATTGGTGTTGGTGTTGGCATATAGTATTTGTGTTTGTATTATGATTAGTGATAGCGTTAGCATTGGAGCTGGTGTTATTGTTAGTGTCAGTAGTGTTGGCATTAGTTTTAGCATTGGTTTTAGTGTTAGTGCTGGCATTAGCATTAGTGTTAGCATTGGTTTTGGTGTTGGTGTTAGTACCCTCCTAGGGTTGAGAAGTAGACAATTATGTTGTTCTTATTCCATGGTACTTTAGTAACTGATAACAGTTTCCATTAATTGGGCAAGAGAATGTTCTCAGTTCCATTAAAGAGTGTCACATATCCTGATGTTAACATGAGATCAAGGGTGTATGCTGCCATAAGCTAGCTGGTCACTCAGGCCATTACCACTGTGAGCCAGCAGGAAAGTGACTGTCCCAATAAGCCATTTGTAAAGACAAATCAGAGACAGGAGCTAGCAGGAGCAGGTGGGGAACTGTGTGCAGCACAAGGTGCCCCGTCTGCAGTGGATGTTAGCTAAGAGGTCCCAGCACTCACTCTAAGGTTTTGATCTTTCTGGGGCCTCTGTGTGCAATGTCAGAATTGATCCCCAGCCTCTTCCCCAGTAGATCTTTTCTCTGGAGAGTAAGTTAAGTATGCACCAGGGGTTTGGCTGCTGGCCTGTTGCTTTCTGAAATTCAGTCATAAAATATGCAGCAGAAGATATTGTTTGCCTTCTGAGCAAACAGTTCAAACTCTAAATTATTAAACCTAAAGATAAAGTGGAGAGACATTTTTAGCAGTTAATCTTATCTCCTTACTCTCTTGTCAGAACACAGAAGATCTGATATGTGTTTTCAACTAATTCTTGCTGCATATTTAAAGGAAGAAGGAAATTCCAATTTTATTCTCTTGCAAATCAACCAGTTATATAGCACTTACTAGGCTGGTTGGTGGCCAGGAGGTAAATGAACAGTCTGTTTATTTTCAGGTCACTGGGAATAACCAAGATGTAAAAGTCTTTTCCTCTAAGTGTCCTAGTAAATGTATAATCCAGTATGTTTAAGAAGCACTTTAGGGCCAAGCACGGTGGCTCATGCTTGTAATCCCAGCACTTTGGGAGGCCGAGGTGGGCGGATCACCTGGGGTCAGGAGTTTGAGACCAGCTTGGCCAATATGACAAAACCCCACCTCTACTAAAAATACAAAAATTAGCTGGGCATGGTGGCACGTACCTGTAATCCCCACTACTCGGGAGGCTAAGGCAGGAGAATGGCTTGAACCCGGGAGGCGGAAGTTGCAGTGAGCCAAGATCGCACCACTGCACTACTACTGCACTCCAGCCTGGGTGACAAGAGCAAAACGACGTCTCAAAAAAAAAAAAAAAAAAAAAAAAAAGAACTTTAACAGTGTAAAATGCTCATTTGGATGGCAGGATGGACAAAACTGTGGATTCAGGGATGTTTTGTTATAATAGACAATTTGAGGTGAATGGGACTGTTTCAGACTGCGTGAGTAAACACACATTTCTGTTGCAGGTGGGCTGATGGGCTCAAATCTAGTAAATGGGAAAGGTGCTTCCTTTTATAGAAACTCAGAAATTCTTAACTAGAAATTCTTAAACTACAAATTCTTAACTAGGATTTTGACATGGAAGCATGTGCTCTAAACAGATGGGAATACGGGAGAGTGTTGCCCTGTGCTTCACAGACTGTCGCGTACGTGTGAACGCATCACCTGGAGACTGTGTTTGAATGCAGATCCTGACTCAGGAGGTCTGCAGTGGACCAAAGTCTGCCTTTCTAACCAGGTCTAGGGATGCTGGCCCATGGACCACACTTGGAGTAGCCAGGGGCTTAGCTTGGGAAGAAGTGAAATGGGTCTCCTTTCCCTTCTAAAATAATGCGAACGTGGTTAAAGTCCCTCCTGGGCCACTTCATCATCAATCTGCGGAGCCAAAAAAAAAAAGCACAGAGCAGTGTTATTTCATTTGTTTTCCAGGAACCATGGAGTACCTTGAGTTCTGAGACTTTTTTTAATTTTTGTCTGAAGACTTTAAAAAGTGGTCTACAGCCCTGGGAGTTCTGCCTAATGTTGTTTATGTATTTATTTATTTATTTTGTCTTTTGTGATTTACCTCGGACAGCGTGGTGGAGCCCATCCATCTGTGACACAATGTGTTGCCAGCCGCCATTTGTTTATTTTCACTTGTTTGTTTTGTTTTGTTTAAGTCACTGTTAAAGTTTCAATAAGCTCTTTTAAATGTTCAGTAGTTGACTTGGCAGCTGAGTGCTGCATTTTCATTTTTATACATAAGGTTTGGCTAATTAAAATGTCCTCCACTGTTGGTGCAACTTCTCTTTGCTCGTGATGAGCATGTGTTGTTCCAGCCTTCGGAGCATTTCTCAGATCTTTTTTTACGATGTGTTATGTATTTTCGGCAATTCAGTCCTGAGCTCAATGAGAGTCTTCTACAAAGTCTACGAGGTTCTACAGCTTTCGGGAGGCAGAGGATACTGGGTGACTGCGGTGTTGTCTAACCCAGTGTTCCTCATTCCGGGTCCTTATGGGAATTATCCAGGGATGACCTGGGCCTGCCCAGACTGAGTGAATCAGGCTCTCTGGGATTTGGGACCCGGTCTTCTGTACTTCTTAAGTTATCCATGTGAATCTGACGCCCAGTGAGGGCAAGAACCATTGTACTAATCAAGGCAAATCTCAACTTCAAATAAAAGGTTACCTAGAGGCCAGGCATGGTGGCTCACACCTATAATCCCAGCACTTTAAGAGGCCAAGGCAGATGGATCTCTTGAGGTCAGGAGTTCGAGACCAGCCTGGCCAATATGTTGAAACCCTGTCTCTACTAAAAATACAAAAATTAGCCAGGTGTAGTGGCATGCACCTGTAATCCCAGGCTGAGTCAGGAGAATCACCAGAACCCAGGAGGCAGAGGGTGCAGTGAGCCAAGATCACACCACTCCATGCCAGCCTGGGCAACAGAGCAAGACTCCGCCTCAATAACAACAAAAAGATTATCTAGAGGATTGACATGAAATGTAAAAGTGTAGGGTTTACATGAGGTGCTAAAACGGGCATTTCTGTATTTCTGTTGATTGTGTGTCTAAATCCTGCACACTGAGGGCTGGTGGGCTTAGGGTTCTTCAGCCTTTCTAGTGAGCATCTAAGAACTGCATTTCCCAGGGTCCCTTGCAGTGAGGCATTCTGGGTGTGATTTAGATTTCCCCAACCAGATGCACACATACAAATTTACATTTGGAACGTAGGTTGCATGTGGAGAGAGGCAGCACATCTTCCGTTGATGGTGCACACGACAGTGGGCGGCTCAGATGGGCAGCTCCTGATTTGGTGGGTAGCCTGCTGGACTCCACAGCTCTGTAATGGGGTCAGAAGCAGAGTAGCAAACTCCTCAGTGTGCTTTGGGACTTACTCCTAGAAGCTAGAAGCAGCCTAGCGACCCAATGATCCTGTGTGTCATTAATATTTTTCCACAAACAGAGTGGGTTATGTCCTCTGCCACTAAGCCCAGACCAACAGAAAACACAAACAGGAAGGTACAGATTGAATAACAATTCTACCAAAAGACTGAGCGGAAACACGGACCGCAACAGCACCACCAGCCGTAAAATCAAACTAGGACTTCTCCCCCTGTCTTTGGGTATATGGCTCTCAGTGCAATAGATTGGGGTCTAAACATGTGTTCACCTCAAATCTCACTTTTGACTTTTTCAAAAGCCTCTGTATTCATAAAAAAGAGCCCAGCTTTCTAGATCCCTTGCAAGGTAGACGAATGAGATGCTATGGTGTAAAAATGGACTTTTGGTGCTCAGAATTAGGGCCTCCCTCTTCCCTCTTTGGCCGGTTCACTTGAATCAATATTTTCTTTTACACTTGAGATTTAGGACTGTATGGTGTCTGTTATCAAATGGTCAGGATTTCTGCAGTAGACGGGCTGCACCTTTCACAAACCACCTACCTAAAAGCCATCTTGCTGGAGGATCCTCAGATCTGGCACCGTCTTTCAATATGAAGGACAACTAACAATTATTATTTTGCTGGAGCAAGTCTCTAAGCTGTAAGTATTGCCTAGAGATGCTTTTCCAGTGACGATTATAGTAATACTTGGTAATTGAATACTCCTTGTCAACTTAATGGACGGGAAGGAATTTAAGTGCTAAAAAAACTGTGACACATCTTCTAATCTTGATTAAAATGGGAGCAGCTTGAAAGGTGGTAAGTTTCAAAGACAGAGCCTTGTAAACCAGTCTCTGAATTTGTTTGGTTACCAGATAGAAGTGAGAGGATTTGATATTTAAATGGACTGCTGAATTTAAATTATTTTTTGGTAGTAGAATGGAAATTTCACTTGCTGCTGAAATTTAATAGATTTTCAGACTTGTACCACCAGCAACAGTTTTTTAAAGGACACGGTAGAATGAGAATTGATGATCTACAATTGCACACAGCAATAGCTCATGTTCAGTGAAAGAAGCCAATCACAGGAGCATACGGTCTGTGTAATCATTTACATAAAGTACCAAAACAGGCAGAACCAGTGGATGCTTTCAGAAGCCGAGGAAGTGGTTATGCTGGGCAGCAGGTAGTGAGTGGAGAGGAGCCTCTGGAACCCTGGTAATTTCCTGTGATTTGGTGCAGATGCTGATTACAAGAGAAATTCATTTGGTGCAAATTTGTCAAGCTCCATACCTGTACCACATGTGCCTTCCTGTAGGTTTAATATACCTCAGAAAAAAAGAAAGAGAAAGGAAAGGAAAAAGAAAAGAAAAAAGTCAGAAATACAAAGGAGTGTGCAGAGAACTCTGAGTCAGACTGCGTGGAATCTAATCCTGGCTTTCCACTTCAAAGCCACAGAATGTTGGGGAAAATCTCGCAACCTGGTTGTGTTTGAGTTTACATTTCATGCAAAATGGGAATCAATAAAAATTTACCTATGAGATGGCAGTAGGCTCTCTGGAAGTGTTTCTTTAGTAAAGTTTTAAAAACAAAAAGGATGTCCCAAACCTGATTACAGTGAAAAGCTGCAATTTCAAGTTGCTTGGAAATGTGAAAAGAAGTGTTTTCCAGTATTCTCAAAGTTAGATAATCCTTTCATCAGTCATTCAGAGCCTAATCTCCCTCTTTTTCTAGGTTTTATTTGGCAACTTTATCACTGCTTATTTGTATAGCTATAAGAGCTCATAGGAGAAAAGAAGAAATAAAATACTAATTGGCATAGTTTCTCTTAATATCAACTTTGGCTTAAACAGAAAATGCAGAGCCAGCAACGATGGCTTTGAATACAGTGGGCTTCTGGAATTACCTGGATTTTTATCCCTATCCTTTACTCCTTTTCTCATTTCACTGGAGTGATCAAATGACTGGAATGATTTGTATCAAAGTTGCTACTACCAGGCTTGAAGGAGGTCTTTGATTATTTAGGAGCCCACACAAATCACATTCTTTACACCCTTATCCAAACAGCCATCTGACACAATTCTCATAGGATTCAATATCCATTTATTTATTTGAAAAGATTTCATCTGGCAACAAAAAAAGGATTGAACTAATGATGTATGCAACAGCTTGGAAGAATCTTCAGAAAGTTATGCTGAGTGAAAAAAAATTCTAGTTCTAAAAGGTTACATACTGTATAATTCCACTTACGTAACATTTTTGAAATGGGGTGGAGTTTTAGAGATGGAGAACACAATAGCGGTTGCCAGGGATTAGGGATGGGGATGGGGGACAGGAGAGGGCGAGGTGACTATGGAAAGGCCACAGGAAGGAGCCTTGTGGGGATAGAACTGCCAAGTGTCTCGACTGTGGTGATGGAGACACAAACCAACACACGTGATGAGATGGTATAGAACTAAATAGAGATGCACACACACACACGCACACACACACAACGTCTGCAAGTAAAACCGAGAAATCTAAGATCTGTGGATTATCTTAGTGTCCATATGCTGACTGTGATATTGCACTAGAATTCTAGAAGATGTTACAATTGAGAGAAGCTGGGCAAAGGGCAAACGGGTCTTTTTCTAATATTTCTTACGTGATCATGTGAAACTACAATTATATCAATATAAGTTACAATTAAAAACTTAATTATCAATATGATGAAAGTGGAGACTTTGAGTATCGATCATTTTAAAATCACTTCCTATAATAAATGGAAGTTTTTTTTCTAGACGTTTGCCTGCTAAGTGAATTCTGAGGCTAATGAGCAGTTTAGTATGCATTTGTATAAGTTTTTAAGGCTGTGTTTATTAATTGCAGTTTCATGTAAATGGATGTTGTTATTACCATATTCTATTGAATCTAAAATGCCATCAATAATAAAATGCATTGTTACTTTGATCACCAATAAGACAAAAGTTATGTCATTTCAACTATGACACCATGTTTTATTTTTATACTTAATAAAAGGTCTCTTTTAGACTCATTTAGAATCAACTTCTTAAAACGTATGTCACTCTTATAAATATATGAAAGTAAAATAAAAAGCAAAGTTAATTGCTTATGGCATTTCCAACCTCTCCACGTTGAGTATAACTTTTCTGAATCACAAATGTAAATTATCATGACCCATTTCCCAAAGTGTGGCCCTCTTACCTCAACAGGCAGCATTTTGTGAAAAGGATTCTCGACTATTGTCTTCAGAATTTCTTTCCCAGAAATTACCACTCCTGCAGGTCAGATGTTGGCACTTTATTGGTATTAACAGGAGATGTGAGTAGACAGATTTCAGAGCATACCAGGACTTGTGCTCCTCCCTGAAAGTTTCCTTGCAGTGGGTTGATGATTACATTGTCAAAGGGTCATAGTTGCCCAGTGACAGCACCAGTAAAAACAGTCAGACTCACACAGGCACAAAGACGTCATCGTGCCAGGTTCAGATGTTAAAGACTCAACTATGCCAGGGTAGGACAGGCCAGGATATACTGAAATCTGGACATAGGTCATTACCACTACAGACGTGTCAGGTAATGTAGGTTTTACGCTTAATTCTCAAATAGCTCAACAGTTGTGTTTCCCAGTTATTATCAGTCCAGATGTCTTGCTACGGACAGAGACATCTTTATCACAGTTTCATTCATTCATTCATTTATTCATAGTTCATTAGTGGTTGCTGTCTCCTAGGAGACAGGCACTGCTGTAAACACTGTGCAGTCTCTTTCCTTCTTCTGTTCTTATCAAGTACAGTGATTAAGCCTGTAATTTAACCACCCATATATTCCTGACTCTGTGTGTGTGCATGTGTTTATCATTGACAGCAGAGTCGTGGCCAAATTCAGATCTCAAATAAACAGTACTGAAAGACAGGACTAACTAGTATTTCCATGACATTAAATCACATATTAGAATGAGAACTTTCCCCAGGATAACATATTTAACACGATTTATTACCCATAATCAGGTTCATTAAAGTTAATCCATTGATGAATTAAAAGCATATTCTCAGGAGGCCTCTCTGATTAAGTGTCCCCCCCTTCCTGAGTGATAACCTCCTGACAAAATCCGCAGGCACATTGTGGTTGAAAAGAACGCCGAGACATTGCATTTGTTATTTTCCTCTCTGAAGCTGCTTAAGACATTTCAAAATTTACACCGTCAACGGCCGCCATTCCTGTTGATTGAACTTTCCAATGGAATCTAAGTCCCCATTGAAAAAGTACAAGAAGCAATAATGGTGCTGATGGCTACATTTTAAAATCACTCAGCTCTGCCACAGTTCACCGAGCTTCTATAGCAAGTAAATGGATTCCTGCAGGTGGCTGAATGGAAAAATGGAGCGTCACTCTTCCATTGAGAACCAGCCAGGAGCTGTGACCATATGTGCTTCAGGGCAGACAGACCTGAGAAGGAACTAGCAAAGCATGGAGAGACCCCATTATTTAATTTTCTGTTTCAACCAAAGCTCTCTAGCTTTCAACTACTTTGAAATTATTCATCTCAGGTTCCCCCTAAAACCTTTGATTAGCTCCTGAGAAATCTACTCCTAGCTATTGAGAACTTTAAAAGTGTCTGCATTTCAGAACACAGCCTGACCACAGCTTTCAATTAGTTTCAAGAGTGCTGGGTGGTGAAACTGCTCCCAGAGAGCTGCCTAGCTGAAAGTAGTGTTGCTTTGATCAACGTTGGAATATCCACGTTAGACATGGAAGATGCCTCAAAGGCTGGCCTCGCCTGCCTCTACAAAACTGAGCTGACCACGTGCATGTTCTCACCAGTGAAACATCTTCTCATCTTTTAATTACAATCCCCTTTCAGGTGCAGGGCACCTAATTGTTCTCCAGTATATTTTGAAGTTTCACTTTGAGGAAATGATTATTTCAATATGGCCTTAAAAGAGAAAAGAGGCTGTAGTGATTAAATGTCTTTGAAAGGGGTATGTGCAAATTTCAGGACTTTGTTCATCAATAGCAGAAGCTGTCAAGATGACAAGATAACATGATGTGTTGACTTTCTGTGAAGATGGTGATCCCAGGTCAAAAATACTAAGATAATCTTTTATCGCTTAAACCTGACTTCATTCCACAAATGATTTAAAGTGACTAGGTTACCATATTTAACCATAGAAAAGTAAAATAATTACTTAAGGGTGTCCACATGGAAGGAAAATATGGATGGGAAAAAGGAAAACTAAGTCAGGATGCATAACAGAAATCACAGCATGTGGGTCTGCACAGTCATGGAAGGTGGACCACGTATTTCTTTGTAAATACTCAACAGACAAAAGAAGGCAATTGAGTCAAAGATTTACACTCACCACAAAATGAAACCAAACTGGTTCCTGGAGAGATACACAGTTCCTCTAAATATCAGGACCAGAACAAGATTCCTTTTGTGGATTCTCACAAAAGGGACACTGGAATATGGTAGACCATCCCCTGGGCAACATCTCAGCAAGTAAGAAGAACAGTTAATTTTATTCTGCTGTTTGTTTTAACAGCATTTCTCGATGGAGATGGAGAAATTATTGCATATGCTTTTTTCAAAGCCTGGAATGCTCTTCTCTAAGACCTCCCCTTGACTCACACCCCATCTTGAATTATGACACCTTGGAAATGCCCAAACCCCAAAGAAGCCTTCTGTATGAGTCTGCTTGGGCTGCCAAAACAAAGCACCACACACTGGGAGTGCTTCACCAACAGGAGTTTATTTTCTCACAGTTCTGGAGGCTGGAAGGCCAAAATCAAGGTACAGGCAGGTTTGGATCCTTCTGAGGCCTCTCTCTGAAGATTGTAGATGCTGCCTTCTCCCGATGCCTTCATATGTTCTTTCCTCTGTGTGCACCTGTCTCTTAATCTCCTCTTCTTTTAAGGTCACCAGTCACATTAGGTCAGGACTTGTTAAAAAGGTAAACTGAGACACAATACAATGTTTAAAGAGTTTGTTTGCTAAAACAGGAATTCATGAATTGGGCAGCTTCAAACCAGAAGTGGTTCAGGAATTCCACTGAGCAAACGCAAGGTGGAGACTTATGGGACACACAAGGAAGTAAAGCAAAGGAAACATTTAATGGGTTATATTTGTATACTTGCCTTATTTGTTCCATTCCAGTGGAAAGCCCCTAGTTGTATATCTATTGGTTGCTTCTGACTGGTTGAACTTAAGTTCTGTTTTTCTTTAACACACGTTTACAAGAAATAACTCGTTAAGTTTCACTTACGTTTGCACACCCAGCAAGATTAAGGTCACTTATGAAGCCTAACCACTTCCACTTCTGTCTGCTCAGGGATTATTCAGGACTAGTCTCCATTTTAATTTACTTTTAACACACCCTACCCTAATGACCTCCTTTACCCTGATTTATTTAAAAGCCCTGTCTCTAAGTCATCACATACTGAGGTACTGGGGGTTAGGGCTTAAGCTTACAAATTCAGCCTGATATGGTTTGGCTGTGTCCCCACCCAAATCTCATCTTGAATTGTGTCTCCCATAATCCCCGTGTGTCGTGAGAGGTACCTGGTTGGAGGTAATTGAATCATGGGAGCAGCTACCTCCCTGCTGTTCTCATGATAGTGAGTTCTCATGAGATCTGGTGGCTTTAGAAGGGGCTTTGCTCCTTTTACTCATTCTACTTCTCCTTGCTACCACCATGGGAAGAAGAAAGGATGTGTTTGCTTCCCCTTCTGCCATGATTTTAAGTTTTCTGCAGCCTCCCCAACCATGCTGAACTGTGAGTCCATTAACCATCTTTCCTTTATGCATCACCCAGTCTCAGGTATGTCTTTATTAGCAGCATGAGAATGGACTAATACAGAGCCCATGGCACCTTTCCTGGCCACCCTATTAAAAATGGGATTGTTGTATTTCCCCCTGAAAAGTTATAGCTGTCTTTTTTCTCCAGGAACCAGAGCCCTGATGCCTACATTTATCTCTGAAATGTTAACATCACATTCTCACCCTAGTTCCAACCAAGCATCACTGTTTCTGCCCAAAAATGTTTAACACCACTTGTTTCCAACTCTGGGTGCTTGTAAGATTCCTTGGGAAGCTTTAAAAATAATTATTGTCAAGGCTATAGTCCAGATCGATTTAAAATAAGAACTTCTGGGGCTGGGGCTCAAACATGAGTTTGTAAAACTCTCAGCTTATTTTAACATGCTGAGTGAGCTGAGAACCACAGTTTAAATCAGTAGCTCCATGTTGCAGTCACTCAGATGCTTTTGAAATCCTGATGCTAGGTAACATCTCAGACCAATGAAATCAATACTTCTGGGATGGAGACCCAGGCTGAGTCATGGTATATATTTGCTGTATGTTCTGATGTCCTGGTGTATGATTCTACTGGACCGTCCAGGTTGAGGACAACTGATTTAAAGGGCATGCTCTCCATACTTACTCCACAAATCTCATAAGATTAACTCCTCCATACAGTTTGATTTCCTTTACAGCTAAAACACAACCCCAGTAGTTCTCAACTGCTTTACATTTGAATCATAGGAGGAATTTTTTAAAATACCAAGGCACGCCCAATGCATACCCCAGACCAATTAAGTCAAACTCTATTCAGGGTGGGACTCCAAGCATCAGTATCACCTTATGACACAGATGATTCCCAATATGCACCCAACATCATAAACCACTGTTCTAAACACGAATTTTGTCTGCAGTGTAGACACAACCACAGATGTTTAACCTGAACCATAAAATCTCATGAATGGGCTGTTGGTAAATTGTTCTGTGTTTAGTAACTGCTGTACTGAATAATTTATTGAATTATTATAAGGCTGAGCATAACATATTTGATGTTGATTTATCATCTCCCTTGCATAAAGTGGCACATTCCTGTTGAATTTGTTGTGGAAGAAATGATGTGAAATAAAGAAAGCTGTACTGCAGCCCAAGTTCCCGGAGCAGAGTGTTGTGGCTGAGATTTACCCCGCTTTGAAAATTCCTCTGGTCTGCCATGCAGGGACATGGTTAACCTAAGTGTTTAGACTAGGTCAGGTCCCTGAGAAATGTGCCCCGGTAGGGAGGGTGCCAGGTAGGGACGGCTCTGATGTCCTGTAGCTAGAAATATTTCACCTCTCATGGCTTGTGGGTGGGCTGTTCTCCAAGGAGTGACCTTAAGGCCCCACCCAAGTACAGTTTTTACACCAGTGTGTTCGAAGTCACTGCCACCATACCAGCCTCCATCCTCTTTCTCTGAGGCTTCTTGACATATTGTCGGGTCTGCAGGTTATATACGTTGAGTAAGGCAAGCTGTGTCTAACAGTCTCGGAGCAAAATTTGGTGTCCTTGCTGGCCACGTGGAAGGCCTCATGCTGTGGCTGTCAAGGGAAGTACTCACGGGCAGCCTCTAGAAAATGTCTAGCACAGCCCTTGGGTGGCACCTTGTTTCCTGAAAACAAGGCTGAACATCTATGCCGTGGTTCTTTCCTCCACCTGCTCCCTTCAGCTCCAGCCTCTCACTTCTCACCACAGAGACCTCCGAATCCCCTCTAAATTCACCTATGAATCCCCTTCCACTCCCAGCCCAAGGCATCTGTTATGCACTGAATGTGTCCATCCCCAAATTCATCTGTTGAAGCCCTAACCCTCAATGTGACTGTATTTGAATATAGAGCTGTTTTAAGGTAATTAAGGTTAAATGAAGTCATGATGGTGGACCGTAGTATTATGATAGGATTAGAATCATTACTAGAAGGGGCAATCTCTCTCTCTCTCTCTCTCTCTCTCTGATGTGTGAGGTTACAGTGAGAAGGCACTGCCTTCAAGCCAGGAGAGCCCTAATCCTCACCTGACCATGCTAGCACCCTGATCTCAGACCTTCCATCTTCCAGAATGCTGAGAAATAAATGTCCGTTGTTTATAAGCCACTAGTCTATGGTATTTCATTAGCTACTCTAACTGACTAAGACAGCATCTTTACTCTTTGGGGAATGAGGGAAACTCATTCTTACACATTCCTTTTTATTCTTTATTTCTTTCATTTATGTATTATGTTGATATTTCCCTAAGGCCTTAGGCTTTAGAAGCCAGGAATTGACTCATTTTTTCCTTGCCTTCCCAGAAGCACTAAGCACCACGTAGCTTTTCTGCCCCAATGCAGCAAAGGAAAGAATGGGAAATCGAATGATAATCAGTTTTTCCAAAATGTTACTTCACCAAATTCTTAGGCCGTTTGGCTTTATTTTATATCTTGGAGTTTTTAAGGATGCACGTGGTCTTTTCTCTCCAGACTTAGCCTAAATGCAGTACAGATGAACCACTGAACATAAGAAGGAAATGTGTATGCCTGCTTTAAACATGCTTCCTGCCGCTTTTAAATGTTTTTTTGTTGTTTTTTTTATTTTGTTTTGTTTTGTTTTGTTTGTTTGAGACAAGTCTCGCTCTGTTGCCCAGGCTGGAGTGCAGTGGCTCAATCTCAGCTCACTGCAAGCTCCGCCTCCCGGGTTCACGCCATTCTCCTGCCTCAGCCTCCCAAGTAGCTGGGACTACAGGCGCCCGCCACCGAGCCTGGCTAATTTTTTGTATTTTTAGTAGAGACGGGGTTTCACTGTGTTAGCCAGGATGGTCTTGATCTCCTGACCTCGTGATCCACCCACCTCGTCCTCCCAAAGTGTTGGGACTACAGGCGTGAGCCACCGCGCCTGGCTTAAATTTTTTAAAACAAAATTATGATTCTCAGAGCAAGGTCCCAGTCTGTTTCTAACTTTTTATGAGGCCCAAACTTTTATCACTTAAATGCAGTTATTATTGGAATGAGGGTTGGAAGGTGGGGTGGGGGTGAGTCAAGTCCATTAGAAGGATTTGTTCACAGAAAGGATGAAGTGCTGTCATATTCCAAAGGTCTGTTTCAAATGTTCTTGTTCAAGTACACACACCTGCACAGGAGCTTGGCACCTGACTTTCTAAGTATTTGCAATAGTGTGTTATCCCAGGCTTTGAACCAGGAAGTCGGTCTCTCTAACAACAAGTGGGTTCCTGGGTTTTTTCCTATGACCTTTGTAACTACCACAAACTTAGTGGCTTAAAGCAGCAGTCCCCAGGAACCGCACCAGGAACCAGTTTCGTGGAAGACAATTTTTCCACAGACCAGTGGAGTTTGGGGATGATTCTGGGATAATTCAAGCACATTACCTTTATTGTGCACTTTATTTTTATTATTCTTACATTGTAACATATAACGAAATAATTATACAACTCACCATAATATAGAATCTGTGGGAGCCCTGAGCTTGTTTTCCTGCAACTAGATGGTCCCATCTGGGGGAGACAGGAGACAGTGACAGATCATCAGGCATTAGATTCTCATAAGGAGCACACAACCTAGATCCCTCACATGCATAGTTTGCACTACAGCATAGTATCCCTGTAGTGCAAACAACAGGGTTTGCACTCCTATGAAAATCTAATGCCACTGCTGATCCTGATCTGACAGGAGGTGGAATGTGGGTGGTAACATAAACAATGGGGAGCGGCTGCAAATACAGATGAAGCTTCACTTGCTAGCCCACTACTCACCTCCTACCATGTGGCCTCTAATGCCACTGCTGATCCTGACCTGACAGGAGATGGAATGCAGGTGGTAACATCAACGATGAGGAGCAGCTGTAAATACAGATGAAGCTTCACTTGCTAGCCCACCACTCACCTCTTACCTTGTGGCCCAGTTCCTAACAGGCCATGGACTGGTTCTGGCCCATGGTGCACAGACTGGGGACCCCTGGCCTAAAACAATACAAATTTGCTCTCCTGCAGTTCTAGAGTCAGAAATCTGAAGTCAGTCTCATTGGGGTAAAGGAAAGCTGTTGGCAGAGCTACTTCCTTGTAGAGGCTCTGAGGAAGAATCTGTTTCCTTGGCATTTCCAGCTTTGGATTGGAGGTTGCCCACCCACCCTGGTAAGGGTCCATCTTCTTTACTCAGTCTGCTAACTCAAATGCTAATCTCTTCCAGAAATATCTTCACAGACATACCCAGAAACAACATTTATCAGCTACCTGGACATCCCTTAGCTAACTTAAGTTGACATATAAAATGACCATCACACTGGTCCACATGCTAACTATCACAACAACAAGAATGCTGGCATCTCAGGATCTGGGCTGTAGCATATATCTTATTCCCCAGAACATGCCTCACAACTCATGGATGTGACACAGCAAGAAACATGGGGACAGACAAGACTTGGAAAGTCTCTTGATATCACCACACACTGAACTAGGTTCAGCAGATACGTAAAGCTATGTATAGACTTCCATGTTTTCCAGTTCTAAACACCCCATCATCATCACCATCACTATCATCACATCATCATTGTCACCATCATCATCATCCACACCATCATAACCATCACCATCACCACCACCATCACCATCACCACCATCATCATCACCACAATCTGCCATGATCATTGTTACTATCATCACATCATTGTCACCATCATCGCCATCATCATCATCATCATCATAATCATCATCATAATCACCACCATTATCATTGCCACTGTCATCTTTATCACCATTATCACATCATCATCGTCATTACCACCATCATCAATATCACATCATCATCATCTCCATTATCACCATCATCATCATCATAATCACCACCATCATCATTCATCATCACCATCATCACATCATTATTGTCACCATCATTATAATCATCACCATCGTTATCACCACCACCATCATCATTATCTCCATCATCATCATCATCGTCACCAACACCACCTTCATCATCATCATCACTGCCACCATCATCACCACAGTAACAACAATAATTTAAAAAGTAATATTTTTGAAAACTTAGTCAGTGTGACTTTGTTTTAGCAAGTCTTTTGTACTTTTTTATTGATTTGTCATAGTTGTACATATTTTGGTGGTACCTACAACAATATAATGATCGAATCAAGGTAATTGGGTCTATCACATCAAATATTTATCTGTTTTTTGTGTTGAGAATGTTACAATTCTTCTCCTATGGCTATTTTTTTGTAACATATAATTAATTATTGTTAACTATAATTTTTCTATTGTACTATCAAATACTAAAACATAGTTCTTCTATCTAACTGTATTTTTGTGTTCATTAACCAACTTCTCTTTATTTCCCCTCCCATCTTCCCTTTCCAGCCCCATGTGACTATTATTCTACTTTCTACCTTTATGAGAGACACTATGTCTGCTCCCACATGAGTGAGAACACACAATATTTGTCTTTCTCTGCCTGGCTTAGTTTACTTAACATAATGACTTCCAGTTCCATTTATGTTGCTGAAAATGACAGAATTTTATTCTTTTTTTATGGCTAATATTCCACTGTGTCTATAAACCACATCTGTTTATCCATTTATCCATTAATGAACACTTAGGTTGATTCCATATTTTCGCTATTGTGAATAGAAGTCTTTATGAAGAAGAGTGAACTCATATAAAATCTGGAGGGGAAAGATTATACCTTCAACACTAAGGCTGGAACCTAATGGAGGCCATTCATAAATGAACCTGACTATACAAGTTGTTCTGTGTGCAAGGGGCTCTGAATCCCAGCCTCCCGCCTCCCACCAAGCCTCACAGCTGGCAGAGCTGCCACTATAGAGTGAAGGAGCAATTCATTCATTCACACGAAAGACCAAACAGGCGGGCCTCATTTGGGAACCATGGATTTGTGAAAATAAGGACAATTCTTTAAAAATCATTAACTGTCATGGCTCCAGGGCAACAGAGGATGAAATGTTTCTCAATGTCTCTCTGAAGACATTGCACACCAGAGGACTTTGTGTCAATTCCTGTGTGAAGGCTTGTTTGTTTGGCCTGCATGGTGTTTTTAAGAAAATTTGAATTTGTGAACAGTGTTTAAAAATCAAGGCTTTCAATGTTTGAGAACTAGATTTGTGACTTTCTCCTGGAGAAAAAACACCAGAAGACACTGACCCTATATTCTATCCAAGAATGACAGGTGGATCTGGGTAGGGGAGCCCCATGAATCAGGGCCACAGTTGGCCACAGCCCCCACCCCTGCCACTGTCCCACGCTGGCTGTGCTCCCACTGTGTGACCCACCTGGCTTCCGCAGCATTTGAATTTGAGATCCCTTCCCCGGTACCATATCCTTATATGTGTGACAAGGCACAGAGAGCTTACAAGCATGCGAAAATTGCTTGATCTCACCTGGCTTTAATCTCTTTTTTAAGAGAAGCCTCTTCCCTCCCTTTTCCTATTTGTAGCTTCAGATGACAGTTTGTACTTCAGTTGTTCTCTTTGCTGCTGAAAGATCCAATTGTCATGTCTCATGTCACTTTCATCATGCAGCAATCTTTGCAAATTAGCCCTCTGGCAGACAGAGCCCCACTATTTAAATCTGCCCCAAACAGCCTCTCAATGGCTAGGTGGGATGTTTCAAGAATAAAAGACAGAGAGGCAGCCAGCTTCCGCTGATGAGACCCAGCTTCCTGTGAGCATTTTAGACCTGATGGTCAATTCCTATCATCATATCCCCAAACATTCCAGCAAAGATGAATGTAGTGTTTCATAGGATGAGTGCCATGATTCCTACCTAATCCACTTGACAAGACTGAGGTGTCCGACTGTGAATACAGCAGGACTGATATCTGAATTAATTTAAAAAAAAAAAGCAGCATGAGGAACAGATAAATTTAATCAAGTGAAATTTTAAAGAGGTGGATCATCGATTAGGGAGGTGGGCAGTGAGCTCTTTGTCACCTTCTGTCGTGGAAGACACACGTTATTTTCCCAGCTTTGTTTCCTGTATTTTGGCAGGTCTGCACACAGACACCACAGATATGCCCAGATACAGAGAGAGGCATGTGCCCTCTATGCTGTTTGGATGTCAGTCAGCTGCATAGAACAAAGGTCCAAGTCGAATAGCCTTTAAACTTTGGGATTTGTTTATCTCAGACAAGAAGATGAAGGTAGCTACTCCTTGGCTGGTATCACAGCTGATTGATACCACAGGGTCTCAACCTTCTATCTTTCTGCTGTGCCGCCTCGCTGTCACAGGATGGCAGCTGAGCCTCCTGCATCACATCAGTATTCCAGGTGGGAACGAGGAAACAGGGAGGATAAGAGGCATACATGTCCTCTAAAACTGCACCTCTTTATCAGGCAAAGAACTTGTTTTCTGAAAATTACGTGAAGTAGATTTCTGCTTACAGCCGATTGGCCAGAAATATACACATGACCTCATGTCAGAGCCTTTTGGGTTTTTTTTTTTTGGTGGAAAGGTTGACAACTTGAATGAATTGGTCTCTGTTGGTAAGGAGGAAAGAGGGAGCCGATTTTGAGTCAATAGTTTGCAACACTGCCCACAGTCATCGAATCAGGTAGTCACTGAATGCTCGTCAATGGAGGACCCAGAACTTATGGGGTCTGTATGGTGGAGTGTAAAAAAAATAATAATAATAAGTAACAGTTCAGAAGAAAGGAAGGAGAGGAATGAAGAAGGGAAGGCAGGGAGGGAGAGAGGGAGAGAGACTCCCTATCCTCAAAGCATTCACTCGCTGCTAAAAGAAGCCAATATGCAAATAGGTATTTAAATTAAACAAATGAACAGAATGGTAATGCAAAAGACGTGGTTATAGGACACAGTTTATAAGCTCAAACAAGGATGGAGAATGTGGAAGGGGTTAAGGAATATTTCACACAGATATACAGACATATGTGTAAGGTGTATTTATACATGATGTGTGCATATATACATATGTATTTGTGTATGTGTACACACACACACACACACATTTTGCATATGTAGATCTTCAGTTGGAGTTTTAACTGCATATGACAGACATTACATTTCTTTAGCTTTGAGCCACCAGACAGATAACAGGAGTGTCACTCGGTATTTTAATTATAAACAACAGCAACCCAAATTTTAAAGAAATGGAAAAAGAGACCAGGCTCTGTGGCTCATTCCTGTAATCCTAACACTTTGAGAGGCTGAGGTGGGTGAATCACTTGAGGTCAGGAGTTCAAGACCAGCCTGGCCAACCAGGCTCTCTACTAAACCCCATCTCTACTAAAAATACAAATATTAGCCAGGCGTGGTGGCAGGTGCGTGTGATTCCAGCTACTCAGAAGGCTGAGGCAGGAGAATTACTTGCACCGGGAAGGTGGTGATTGCAGTGAGCCAAGATTGCACTGCTGCACTCCAGCCTGGGTGACAGAGCAAGACTCTGTCTCAAAAAAACGAAAAAAAAAAAAAAAAAGAAAAGAAATGGAAAAAGAAAGAGCTTCCTTAACCTATCTATCTAACGAAAAACATCCAGGGCTGGGACTGGCATCAGTGCTGGCTGGATCCAAGTATTCAAATTATGTCCCCAGGCCTTTCTCTCTGCCTCTGGCTACCACTCATCCTCTTGGCCGCGGAGATGGCCACAAGCAACTCCATCCATTTGACCTTGCAGCCCGTCACACCTGAAGAAGACCCTTGCTCCCCCGGCACACACACCAGTGTCGTATTCCCCATGGGACTCTGAAGACTGGCGGGGCAGGGTCTTTGGGACAACCTGGGTCCATGCCCACACCTGTAATGCAATTGGCTGCTGCATTTGAGGCACATGCATCAGGGAGGGGAAGTTCCCTAAAGGAAAGGATCCATGGACACTCAAGAAAGCAAATGTGTGTAGTGTTTATTCTCTTGCCACCTCTCTCACTCATACCTTCCTGCCCGCCACTAGCCACCTGAAAGTGGTAAGTACACAGATAGATGGATAGACAGACAGACAGATAATGTGCAAATAAATAAGTAAATAAATCCCACAAACAATAAGCACTTTATTCTATACACCAGCAAATGAAGGCGTCAATTGTACTGAGGCTTCAGCACCATGTTTTGTCCTTGGCTGAGGGTCGTCTTGTGCAGGTCTTGCTAGTCGCATCCGTCAAATGGGCCACCCTGTGCTCAGCCGGTGTCCTCCATGCAGTTGGTTTTCAGTGCCTGTCAGCATGGTGTGGCACAGTCCATTCGTTGTCTCAGAGGCTGAAGATCCTTGTCTTCTCGCTGCGTGCTTCCTCCGGGACTGCAGCTCTTTTGTGAGCAGGCAAGCGTTCCCACTGGGCATAGTGCGAATTCCACCCTAAATCCCCAAAACCACAGCATCTTCCTAGAGATTCATCCCATCTGTTGACAGCCCATCTCTCTGTGTGTGTGGTTCCCCGAGAAAGAGGTTCATTTGTTCTCTGCTGAAGGATTCTCGGCCCCCTCCTGTTGAACCCTGCCCTGCCTCTCATTCAAAGCCATGCTGGCCCTGTCTTTGCATACTTGTGGCTCCTTTCACACCAGAAGACCTCAGTTAATGCCTGTCAAATCACGTCTTAGGACAGGAGCATCCCAGCGATGCCTGGTCCTAGAGCTCACACGGCGTATTAGTCCATTCTTGCATTCCTATAAAGAAAGACCTGAAACTGGGCAATTTATACAGAAAAGAGGTTTAATTTGCTCGTGGTTCTGCAGGCTGTGCAGGAAGCACAACGCTGGAGTCTGCTCAGCTTCTGGGGAGGTCTCGGGAAGCTTTCAATCATGGCAGAAGGTGAAGGGGAAGCAGGCGTGTCACATGGCCAGAGCAGGAGCAAGAGAGAGGGAGCAGGGAGGTGCCACACGCTTTTAAACAACCAGATCTTGTGAGAACTCACTCATATTTGCAAGGACAGTGCCAAGGGGATGGTTCTAAAGAATTCATGAGAAATCCACCCCTATGATCCAATCACCTCTCACCAGACCCACCTCCAACATTGAAGATTACAATTCAACAGGAGATTTGGGCGGGGACACAGACCAAACAATAACACAGGGCTTTTCCCTAAGACTGTGTTTACTAAAACAAAATATACAAGATGATATGATAATATCCGGGTGAGTGTTTTTTTTATTTTAAGAATTTTAATTATTTTATTTATTTAGTAATTTTAAGAAGTTTTTAAGAATTATTTTTATATGAATTATTAAAATATAGAATGAGTACATCAAGCCCTGAGTGACTAAAGTTTAGGGAAGTTCCCTCTGAGGGACTGCTCTCTCGGTAGGTGTGGGTGTGCGGGGCGGGTGGACAGTGCTGGGTGGACATTGCAGGGGGAAGGAGATGCGCTGCCTGGATTCCCTGTCCAGGAAGGCTGGGCTGCCCCCCTGCGGCACGTGTGCTCAGCAGACAGCCTCCATTCAGCTCCTCTCAGACATCAGTTCTACCTCTAGTGCCAGGAGCTGCCTCATCCAAGGTCATTCCCTTTCCAGAGAAGCACACACCCAGTGATTGACACATTGAGGTAAGGTAGAAAGACCTGCCTGCCTCCTCGCCCTCTGGGATCCTCTTACACGCAGTTCTTGCTCCAAGGCTCCCTGCGGGGTGACAGGGGCTTGGTTGGGCTTGCATCTCAGTGCAGAAGGGGTCTCTTCTCCCCCTGCTCCATCCTGGTTCCTCTTTCTTCCTTTGACATGTGATTATCCCTAACAAACACCTTGCATCCAAAATGCTACCCCGTTGACTGCTTTCAAGAAACCCTCCTAAGACGGGCATTTATTATTCTCCAATTTGTTCTTAAGGCCTTAGCTTTGGATAGGACTAGTCAAGTCTCTTAAGACAAATTCTCTCTTGATAAGGGTTTTTGGTGCCTAATCTTAGGGAAAGATTAGGCACCTAAGAGAATGAAAACAGAATGAACTGCATCTTCTTTTATCTCAGGCTTCAAACATCCATCTATTAACCTTAACAGTTCATGTCACTCACAGAGAGTTTTTAGTGTTCACAGGTCAGATAAGATACCTTAGCTGACCTGTGATGGCAGCTGGACTGCCTCTAGCAAGCAAGTGAGCTTGCGTCCCCAAACATCTACACCTGACAACTAAATTGCATGTGGACTCCGAAGCACATAAAATCTAACACCATCAGCTCAATACTGAAATAAATGACAAGAAAAGGTGATTTTTCTTTAGCCATGATCTCTTTAAGCACGCAGTTGAATTGCCTGAGTAGAAGGAAATGCTGTACATTCATTTGAAAATGCAAACAGAATTATTAATTGATAGTGATGATCATTGCTAAATCTAACAATGGTTTTCTCAACTCCCATCTGACATGACAAATGAAAGTGAAAGTGTTTGTATAAACATAAGCTACCCTCTCCAGTCTAGGTGAGACTGTTTTTCCCTTCAGTGTATTTCCATCAGAGTTCTCACATCCACTGGAATGTGGTCTCCATGAGTGCAGAGACCTTTCCGATTGTGGTCATTCCAGCAGCTTGAACAACACCTGCAATAATGATGCCTGGAATGAATGCACCTTCTTCAAGGAGTAAGAGGTCTACTCCTTCCATTTTTGTATAAGGGCCCATGGTGAGGGGAGATGTCAGAATCCAATGCCAGACAAAGTGAGGTAAAAGCACTAACTTTCCTGGGAATAGCAGTTAACATCACCTTAGCCCCCATAAACACTAACAAAACTTATTTCAGGCTTGATTCCCGATTGCAACTACAAAATTACGCTATACGTCTCCCCAAATCCCTCTACAAGCTTTGCATAGGCATAGTCCTAAATACTTTGCATAAATGATCTCAGTTCATCAACACTGCGAGTGCTAGGACTGCCTCATACAGTTGTACAGGTTGTACACTGAACAATTTAAAGATGTACCACATGAACTACGTGAATGATACCACCTAGAGTTGTTCAGTGTACCATCTGCACACTATACCCAGAGGACTGACCATCACTCAAAGAGAGTTACAATTATTGACCATTTTATTGTTTAAAAACCTGAGGCTCAAGGAGTTAAGTATTGTATAACACAACTAATACCATATCGGGATTCTATTCCAAGTGTAATTCACTCTAAAGTCCATTTACTCAACCACTACATTTCACTGCTTATTCTGCTATCTTATCTGGAGAGTGTTCATGATGAACAAATGACTTTCCACACTAAAAACTCTTCGTGAGTGACATGAACTGTTAAGGTTAATAGATGGATGTTTGAAGCCTGAGATAAAAGAAGATGCAGTTCATTCTGTTTCCTTCACATGAAACTGATAACAAACATGCCTAACTGGTTGTATGAGAAAAGCAAACTTCTTGATCAAATCCTTTTTCCCTGTGGCTTTCTGAGATTTTAGTAAATCCCTCACCATACCCAAAACGAAAAAGCCAACATTGACTTAAAGTTTATCTTTAATTATATTTAAATCACAAGGCTTAACTGAATGTATTGACATTTATACCAAGAAATTAATTGACATTCTATTAACCTCAACCAGCAAATTAATTCTTCAACCTCAGACCTTGAGCACTTGAAGGCCGAAACACAATTATGTATTGATCATAGACGTGGCATAGCTTTTTCACTTGGGAATTTAACAGCTAAGCCTAAAGAAACAGAATCATCTCTTTCATATGAGGAATCAACTAGATACATATTGGAATTATTTTTTTTACCACAAAAGAATCAAACATCTGAGCCTCTCAGCACTTTCATTTGTCATATCAGATGGGAGTTGAGAAAACCATTAGTAGATTTAGCAGTGATCATCACTATCAATTAATAATCCTGTTTGCATTTTCAAATGAATGTAAAGCATTTCTTTTACTCTAGCAATTCAACTGCATGCTTAAAGAGATCGTGGCTACATAAGGAAAATGGTCTTTGCTCGTCACTTATTTCAGTATTGAGCTGACGGTGTTAGATTTTACATGCTTCAGAGGCCACATGCAATTTAGCTGTCAGGTGCAGACGTTTGGGGACACAAGCTCACTTGCTTGCTGGAGACAGTCCAGTTACTGTCACATGTGAGCTGTGATGTCGCTTTCCCTAAGGCTAGACACCAAAGACGCTTGTCAAGCAAAGCTGCCTTCTTTTGACCTGGTGACGTATTCTGCTTAGATGGAGTGTAGAGAAATTGTTCCGAATGTGTTTTCTCTAAAAATACTAACACAATAAACAAAGATGGAGGAAGGAGTGTATGAAGAAGCACTGAGTTGCCAGATGTAGCAGATGAAAAACTTCTAATTAAAAATTCTTGAGAACTAAGTCAACTGGGAAATGCTGTACCATGTGCAATTGTCAATTAAAGTTAGAAGGTTGAAGGAGTCTGCAGGCAGAGCTGGTACTTCAAAGATAGACCCCTTTTCTAATCCCTGAAGTGGAGAGATTTAGATATTCAGAAACTAATTGTGTATAATTGGTTTGCTTACATTCCTTGCCAATTCTACCGTATTCTGATTTTGTGTTTTCTGCCCAAGTCTCATCTAGGGCTTCATCACAGATGCTGAGCAGAAAGAGTTTAAGGCATCCCAGATACCTGTTTATGCAGGCAAGATGTGATCTCGAACAGTCTGCAGCCCTAGCAAGAATGCTAATGTGTCTGTGGCATACAAATTGTTTTTTTAAAATAAGAAAAAGACTCCCAACAAAAAAGAAATATATAAAAATAAAATATATCTTCATTTCCAGGCGAATATGTTTTTTTTTTAAATGTCATGATGTGGAGATGAAAGAGTTAGCTTTATTTTGTTTCTATATTTGTCTGTAGCAGAGATTCCAGCTCACGTGTGGAAAACACTTTCAGACGGGGGTGGGCGGGTGGGTGGGGGCTGCTCCAAGAGGACTTCAAGGACATTTCACTTTTAAATAGAATATTGCCTCACTTTTGAGGCTCCTAGTTCTTCCTCCCACCACAGCCCCAATTGCCTTGTACTTCTGAGTGTTGGAAACTCTCTTTAACCAGGATTAATAGGTATCCATGAAAGACCATTTAAAGTCACTCTATGCAAGACAAGTTGAAAGAGTGTAATAAAAACAGGAATCAACAAGATTTGATTGGGAACCGATCTTTAGAAATGACTTATCTTTAGAAATGACACTTGAAACTGAAAAGATAAGGTATTTTATCGTAAACAAGAGTTATAATTAGAACCATGGGTTTATTCCTAGGTAAAGACTAAGTGAAACCAGTATGGATTGCGTTGGAGAAGCAACCTCTCAGAAAAATAAATAAATAAGTAAACAAGATCGTGAATGCTCCTTCAATTTTGATTGATTTTGAAAAAGTAATCTATGTCTTCATCAAGTTTTCTAAAAGGCTTATCTTGAGCTTTTGTCAGGCACATCGCGTGTTTTGAAGTGCCAAATTTGTCATCATCCTTGTTGATTTGCCTCTTTTTTGAACCCTAACATATTTAATTCTACCCTATTCTTGTTTGTCAATCATTTTATGTGGGGATCAAGTAGTACAAATGGTTTTCTCCAAGATTTTACTCACTGTTTTTATTAAATATGACATCTTTTAAAAGATTCTAAATATCCCTTTGCAATAGAGTTGTGTGATATTTGCATGTTATTGTCTTGTGTATAGAGGCAGCAGTCAACAATAGCATTTGCCATGGACATTTGGGTTACAAATACTAAGTGGGAAGAGATCATTAAATGGGGCCTGACTTTATGTCAGTGGCACATTCCATAACTCATACTAAGATACAAGAAAACCCTGTATTTACTCATATGTCTTCCCTGCCTGCAGTTTCTCCATTTGCCCTTTATTTCTGCAGGGAAAGCTGCTCTCTATGCTTTAAAAGTTTTGTGATGATGGGGCTGGGCACAGTGAATATCTCTGTGGTGTCTGCTCCCTTGCAAATCTGCAGTAAGCAGTAGCCAGTGGAGAGAGACATTGGGCAGGAAGAGGGTGATTCTATCAACATGAGCTTAGAAAGATCTAAACAGAATCTCATATCTATACACCATGAGCATTAATCAGTCCTGCCAGTTCCCCTGCTGTCCATGCAAGCTCACCTGTGTCTCTCCTGCAGTCTTATTTCATTTGAATTTCTTAGCTGCTCTACATACATCCTCTCTGGTTTGCCTCTGATACATTCCCAACACTCCAAACACTGTTTTCAAGCCATTAATTGCTCAGTGGACATCCCTTTGAATATGGAGGACTCAAGGGGACTGCTTTGCAGGTGGAAGTGTCCCGGTGCACCCCAGGATGCCGTGAACACAGGAAGCTGCGTTTGTGTTTCTAGATAAGAGCGCTCCCATTCACAGATTGACTGCTTGCTTGGCCACACCTTTTCAGAGCCCAGCAGTGAGCCTACACAAGGAGGAGTTATGTGTCGCGACACAGGCTCAACAAGCCACCTTCGTCATCAGGGCAAGGCAGGAAAAAGCCGCCATTGCACAGTGGGAGACGTCCAGGAAAAGGGTCAGGAATGGCTTAGCTAAGAGGATGGCAGCCATGTTGACCTCATCCCTGTTTGGACGGACTTCCTGACAGCAGCCTTTCCTGATCTTCACCCTTCCATGGACTGATCTAGAGAGCATTCCCGCTGCAAACCCACTCAGCATCCCCGGCCAGAGTCCCCAGGTGGGTGATCAGATCCCTGGCCAGAGCCCCCAGCTGGGTGATCAGATGGAAGGTGGGTGTGGCTACAAGTTTCATGTGGAGCCTGTCCCACTATCCCATTGTGAAAAGAGCAAAGAATCCCTGCCTGCTCCCCTCGTCTCTTTTAAGAACCCATCCATTCCTCAAGGAGACTCCCCACCTGGTGCTTTCCATCCTCATTGAACCCACCTTCGGGTCTTTACATGAAAGATCTCAGTGCAGAAAAGTAGCATTTTCTGCTGGAAGAAAGAACATAAAATGACCACTTCTGACCAGAAGCCCACCCAGGCTGGAGAAGGGCCCCCCTAAGTACAGTTAAACTCACCTACGGATCTTAGACATGAAGCAAGTTCAGCTTCTCTTTGGAGGTTGTGGGGTATGTCTCTGGCTGTGATCATCTCTTTGGAGGTTGTGGGGTGTGTCTCTGGCTGTCATCATCACCGGGGTTTCCTGTTGGCCATTATAGATAGGCAGGGCCTGGGTTGACAGGTGTCCTGCAGCATGTGCAGTGGTTTCATATCATGAAGAATTGTCCCTTACTCTGTGTGACATTCCAGTTTCCTATGGACAGTTTTGTAGGACCCATAGCTCATCTGAAAAAAATGGGGTTTTTTTTTTTTCTCATTTTTTTCCCACTGCAACAAGTTATAATTTAGCTTGGCCTATTTTTTCCTGTTTAAATTAAGATTATTTTGTGCTTATTATTATCTATACAAATAAGCCTGGTCTCTGAATTCTTATCCTTATGGCAATTTTTATTCCAGTGCCTGTGTGACTTCTGCCCTTTCATTTATTTTCCATTTCTTCTTATTCAGAATACTCTCAAGTCAACTCTTAAAATTAAACTTATTCATTCTCAGTGGGAGTAAGTATTTGACTACCTCATAATGTCTCCTAGTGAAGCATTTCATATTGAAGTAAATGTTATTTGGTTATTTTTAAAGTTTTAATAATTTTCCATTTCTTATACAGTTAAGGCCAGGCATTGGCCAGCTTTTCCTGGAAGGGGTGAGATAGCAATATTTCAGGCTCTGTGAGCCATATACTTTTTATGCTGCATATTCTTTTCTTTTTAAGTTCAAAAATATAAAATCCATTTTTAGTTCAGGAACTGCGCATAAACAAGCTATGGCTTGGATTTGACTGGCCAGAGTTTGCTGACTGTGAAAGACACAACGCTCAATGTGACTTGAAAAGACTTGAAATGTCCTTAAAATTTGCCATTTTAGCCATTTTTAAGTGTGCAATTCAGTGGAATTAATTACATTCATAATGTTGTACCACCATCACCACCGAAACATTTTCATTACCCCAAACAGAAACTCTGTAACCATCAGCAATAACTCTATTGTCCCCCGGCCCAGCCCCTCTAAATATACTTTCTGTCTCTATGGATTGGCCTATTGTTGATGTTTCATATTAGTGGAATCATACAATATTGTACTATGTGTCTGGCTTATTTCACTTCCCATGATGTGTACAAAGTTCACTTATGCAGTACTATGACTCGGAACTTCTTTCCTTCTTGTAACTGAATAATATGCCATCATGTGGATATACTACATTTTGTTTATCCATTCATCTGTCAATAGAGAGGTTGTTTTCACCTTTGGCTACTATGATACTGTGAATAAAGTTAAAATGGACATTTAAAAAAAAAAAAAGCTTGAAATTTCTTCTACCCACAGCTCAACAGCATCTCCTTCCTCAATCCCAAGCCCTCTGGGTAGTTCAGCCACCTGGGTTTTTTTGTCTTTGTTTTTCTGGTCCATTTTCCTCTCTCCAGCAGCAGAGCATTTGTGCCTGCAGTTCCTTCTCCCTGGAATTCCCTTTGCCTCTACCCATTCTTCATTGGGGTTCACATCCCAAGCATGGTCTCCTCTGAGAAACTGTCCTTGGCCTCCTTGGCTACACTCAGGTCCTCTGAGATAGACTGTTATTTCACCAAATACCTCTGCTCTTCTTTTCTTACAGTTGCCAATTTATGTTGGTTGATGTGATTGTTTATTTAATGTCCACCTCCCACCTCCCCTACAGACTGTATGCTCTAGAAAAGTGACAGTCTTCAGCAGTGTCCTCTGGGAGCTGGAATAAAGAAGCCCTGATTTGTGGTGTCTGCCAATTTTCATAGTATAAATACTCCACCGTGGCCAATTTCAAACTACCAAAGTAATGTCGCTGCACGTGGAGCTGTAGAGAGAGTGCAGAATCAGCGCCCAGGAGCCAGTCCCAGGCCACCACCTGATCTTCATCTTCTTTAGCTCATCTTTAACCTATATCTCCATCACCAAGAACAGTAACCAACAAACAACAAGGGTTCCAGAAATGTCATTGGAATGACTGAACGATTGAATGAACGAGGAAAATAAAGGAAAACCGAGCAATGAAACCCAGAAATAAAAGGAAGATGTGCAGCACGACTTGGCTCAAGCTACAACCTTTCCAGTTGTTTTTTTCCAGAATGACTCTGGTTACCAGACCTCAGGGTATTATAAGATAGAAATAGAGGACACAAGAAGACAAATTTATGATGACAAAAATCTCATTATAAAGTACGTACATTAAAAGGATCATGCATATTTGACTTCATAATGAAAAGTTTTTATACTGAAAATGCTGATGAAAAGGTCAGAAAAAGGATGTCAGTAATGGGAAACTTTAATCCTGTGATAATGTCCAAGAGGAAACAATTTGTTTGAGTAATATCTTGACTTTCATCTTGATAATGAGATGTCAAGGCGGGAATGGGAGAGGATGACAGCAGATCTTCCACTGGGGAGACCTTTGGTAGCCTATGGGTATGTCTGATGCAAATTTCCAAAGTGCCATTGCCGACGAAGATTGACGCAGTCTGGAAAATTCTTCCAAAGTGGAGCTAGCACCTCTTGGGACCTGAAATAATGGCCTCCTTGCCACATCACTCACTTCTCTCTCTCTCTCTTTCTTTCTCTCTTTTCTCTTTCTTTCGATCTGAAATAATGACAAACTCCTTGCCACTTCACTTCTTTCTTTCTTTTTCTTTCTCTCCTTTCTTTCTCCCTTCCTTGCATTCTTTCCTTTCTTCCTTTCTTTCTTTTCTTTCTTTCCTTTCTTTCCTTCCTTCTTTCTTTCTCCTTCCTTTGTTCCTTCCCTCCCTTCCTCCTTCCTTTTTCTACTGCTTGCTCGCTCGCTTTTTCTTTTTTTCTTTCCTTCCGTCTTTCTTTCTCCTTCCTTCCTTCCTTCGTTCCTTCCTTCCCTCCCTCCCTCCTTCCTTTCTCTCTTGCTTGCTCGCTTTCTTTCTTTTCTTTTTCTTTCCTTCCCTCCTTCCTTTCTTCCTTCTTTCTTTCTTTCTCCTTCCTCCCTCCCTCCCTTCTTTCTTTTCTTTTTTTTTTTTTGAGACACGGTCTCACTCTGTCACCCAGGCTGGAGTGCAGTGGTACAATCTCAGCTCACTGCAAGCTCCACCTCCTGGGTCCATGCCATTCTCCTGCCTCAGCCTCCCAAGTAGCTGGGACTACAGGCACCTGCCACCATGCCCAGCTAACTTTTTGTGTTTTTTAGTAGAGACGGGGTTTCACTGTGTTAGCCAGGATGGTCTTGATCTCCTGACCTCGTGATCCACCCACCTCGGCCTCCCGAAATGCTGGGATTACAGACGTGAGCCATCAGGCCCGGCCTTGCCCTCCCCTCCCCTCCCCTCCCCTCCCCTCTCCTCTCCTCTCCTTTCCTTACCTTTCCTTTCCTTCCTTTGTTTTGTTTCTTTCTTTTCTTTCCTTCCTTTCTTTGTCTCACTCTTTCACCCAGGCTGGAGTGCAGTGGCACAATCTCAGCTCACTGCTGCCTTGACCTCCCAGGCTCAAGCGATCCTCCCACCTCAGCTTCATGAGTAGCTAGGACTACAGGCACACACCACCATGCCTGGCTAATTTTTGTATTTTTATTTTATTTATTTATTTATTTATTTATTTATTTATTTATTTATTTATTGTAGAGACAGGGTTTCACCATGTTGTCCGGAATAGTCTCCAACTCCTGGGGTCAAGCAGCCCTCCCGCCTAGGCCTCCCAAAGTGTTAGGATTACAGGCATGAGTCACCGAGCCCGGCCTCGTTTCTTATTTATTGCCAGAAGCTTTCGTGTAGCATTTGTTAATTGACTTCGGCATCCGCCTTACTTTAAAAATCCCGGCCGGGCGCGGTGGCTCACGCCTGTAATCCCAGCACTTTGGGAGGCCGAGGCGGGCGGATCACGAGGTCAAGAGATCGAGACCATCCCGGCTAAAACGGTGAAACCCCGTCTCTACTAAAAATACAAAAAAATTAGCCGGGCGTAGTGGCGGGCGCCTGTAGTCCCAGCTACTTGGGAGGCTGAGGCAGGAGAATGGCGTGAACCCGGGAGGCGGAGCTTGCAGTGAGCCGAGATCCCGCCACTGCACTCCAGCCTGGGCGACAGAGCGAGACTCCGTCTCAAAAAAAAAAAAAAAAAAAAAAAAAAATCCCTTCAGTTTCTCTAGAAGCAGACTGTGAGATTGGGATTTGTGTGCAACTGATTTATGAAGGAAGCGCTTCCAGGAGAACCCAGTAAATGCTCAGGGAAAGTACGACGGGAATGGGTGGAGAACCCAAATGAAGTTTCAGATGAAATCGCGTGCAGGGTAGCTTCACCCTGATCCCGTCGGGGGTGGCTCTGGAGGGCAAGCGATCCTGCTGCCTTTGATACCCCAGCTAGAGGCACAGGAGCAGGGCTGTCACCTCCAGCATCGGACTCTGCGTGAGGGCCCCTCCAAGGGCCAGGAACTCTCAGGCACTTTAGGCTCTTTGCGCTTGTGGGCAAGGAGACTTCAGAAACTAAAAAGAGTCATCAAGGAAAGTTGCAGGTACAGATTGTTAAGAACAAAAGCACACATTGAAGCCAGTGTGAAGGAACACGGGAACGGCTTTTTAAAGTGAAATGCAGAGATTTGAGTGGAATGCTGACACTATCCACCATAATTTGCTGCCTAAAAATAAATATTCTCTCATTCAGATAACCTTTGGAAGGTGTTCTGAATTGTTGGAAGAACATCTCCAAGGAAAGGGTCGTTCAGATACTAGATTCGCCTTCTCTCTAACTTCACTTTTGTTTTCAAAATTTTACCAATTTATGCTTTAGAGTACCATCTGGAAAAACTTAAGTTGGAAATAGAATTTCACTCTCCGCTTCCCCCACCCACCCCTCCACCTTACCCCAAGCACTCACACAGGCGCTGGCACCCAGTTGCCCACGTAGGCGGTTGCAGAGTGAGGTTTGATTGTTGGTGTGCTTTTTAAGGACCTATCCTACTATGTTGAGTTTCTATTCTGGAAAAAAAAAGCATACAGGTAGGTTTAAGATGCATTGACTTGCATCTCAAATACTTAGCTCTAAATAGTTCTTACTCTCAGAGGTCAGTGTCTACATTGTCGTACAAAGTCCACAATGTCTATTTTTGATCTCTCCAAATGAATGGTAAGCTTTCCTGTCTAATATGGTAGTTTCCACAGCTTTATTTGATTTTTAGACACAGTATCGGACTTAAAGAGTTGGTAGAAGATTTTAAAGGCAAAGCTAACTGCAAAGTCTCTTGTGACAAAAATGTACCAGCTTTGCTTCTGCAGAATTTATTTGAAGCATTCATATCAGTTTCTGGGTCTCAGGTAAGCTCTGCATAACATACTTCCCTACATTTATAGTGGGGGATGGAAAGGTGCTTCAGTGGTCTTCATTCTTATAAGCATGCATGTTCTTGCACTGGAAGAAGAGGTGGGAGCATATTAGGCAGAAATCAAGAGTGGACATTCTGCTGTCAGATCTCTTGACTCCTCCGTTTATTAGCTGGGTAACCCTGGACAAATGTTTAGCTTCATGGAGAATAGATTTTTTACCTGGAAACTGGGAGTAATAATGTCACCTTATTCATTGGAATACTGTGAAGATTACATGGGGTAAGACATAAAAAGCTTTTAAAGCAGTGTTTGGCACATTAAAAAAATACCCAATAAAGACTGGGCGCAGTGGCTCACGCCTGTAATCCCAGCACTTTGGGAGGCTGAGGTGGGCAGATCACAAAGTCAGGAGTTTGAGACCAGCCTGGCCAATATGGTGAAACCTCGTCTCTACTAAAAATACAAAAATTAACCGGGCGTGGTGGCTCGCACCTGTAGTCCCAGCTACTCGGGAGACTGAGGCAGAAGCATTGCTTGAACCCAGGAGGTGGAGGTTGCAGTAAGCTAAGATCATGCCACTGCACTCCAGCCTGCGTGACGGAGCGAGACTCTGACTCAAAATATGTATATATATATATATATACCCAATAAAGTTTAGTTTTTGCATCACTCTGGAAATAGATGCAGGAGAATCCTAAAATAAGATTTGTCTTATTCTTTTGGAAAAGATATTCCTTATTGGCCTTGAGGTCTGCTGAGGAGGGCCTGCAAGGTTCACTTTAGCTTTTGTTTTCAGGTCTCTGTGCCTCAGCCCTGAAGGACAGGGTCCTTGTCTGTGCCTGGGCTGAGCTGGACCCTTGTCTTCTAAAAGGACATTTCAGGCTGTTGCTTATGGCCAACAGTTTTGACTTCATCTATTTAAGTGCATCCCTTTCTGGTGGAAAGGTTTAGATTTTGAGTCCCATGCACAAAGGAGTCTGCACTAGTGAGCATTATTGGGGAATGAGAAGAGCTGTCTGTGTTGGGAAGGAGCTGTTCATTGGCTCCGTGCGAGAAGATTAGACCTCCGAGAGATGCCTCCAAATCCACACCTGTGGAGTCAGTCAGGAGGTGTTTGAGCTGTATGTAGAGGCTGGGCTCACTACTCCGCTTCCTTTTTCATTGCCCTCCATACAATGGATGATGGCAAGCAGGTCAGGGAAGGAAGATGTTTGGTTTACCCGTGCTAAACACAAAATAGCAACCACACCAGTGGGCAAAACTAAACTACAGGCAGGTCCCATTCCCAGAATGCTTCCAGGTTCACAAGTCTGACATAGCCCCGTGCCTTTCTCCTGATGATTGCACTTTGTCCTCCAAGCAAAACCTGCCCAATCTCAACTGCAATGCTGCCTTCTCCATGGAGCCCCCAAATCAAGCCCTGTTCACCCTGATAGCTACCTATTTGACTCAGCGATGTGGAGGAGAAGAGGGGGGCTGGCAGGATGGGACTCTTGTTTCTGAATCCAAACTGTTCGGAAGTGATGTTTGAACAGTTTGGGTTCCTTCAGACCCTATGTCCCCTTGCCTGAAACTCTGTTCTTGTCACCTCTTTATTCATTCTCACAGACATCTAAAATTCATGTTTTTTAAATTTTCCTTGCTTCATACATTTTACCAATCATCTCCCCCAAGTAGACTTAGTGCATTCCACCTCTAATGCTATTGTTTACTGAATACTTCCAAGAGCACAGATATCCATATAATTAAGCTTTGATAAACCTCTAACATGGTTGTTCACAATCCTGTTTGCATGTTGGAATCTTCCAGGATAAAAAGAAGAGAGAAGGAAGGAAGGGAGGGAGGGAGGCAGGGAGGGAGGGAGGGAGGGGGAAAGGACAGAAACTGATTCCTGGAGTTACAGGAAAGAGGTCCCAATCCAGACCCCAAGAGAGGGTTCTTGGATCTTGCACAAGAAAGAATTCAGGGCAAGTGCACAGTGCAAATCAAAAGCAAGTTTATTAAGAAAGTAAAGTGGTAGAATGATTTGTAATCCTTTGGGTATATACCCAGTAATGGGATTGCTGGGTCAAGTGGTATTTCTGGTTCTAGGTCCTTGAGGAATTGCCACACTGTCTTCCACGATGGCTGAACTAATTTATACTCCCACCAACAGTGTAAAACCATTCCTATTTCTCCACAGCCTCGCCAACATCTATTGTTTCCTAACCTTTTAATAATCGCCATTCTGACTGGCATGAGATGGTATCTCATTGTGGTTTTGATTTGCATTTCTCTAATGATCAGTGATGATGAGCTTTTTTTCATATGTTTGTTGACCACATAAATGTCTTCTTTTGAGAAGGGTCTGTTCATATCCTTTGCCTATTTTTTGATGGAGATGTTTGTTTTTTTCTTGTAAATTTGTTTAAGTTCCTTGTAGATTCTGGATATTAGACCTTTGTCAGATACATAGATTGCAAAAACTTTCTCCCATTCAGTAGGTTGCCTGTTCACTCTGATGCTAGAAAAAAAAAAAAGTAAAGTGGTGAAAGGACAGCTACTTCATAGACAGAGTAGGATGTTCTTGAAAGTAAAAGGAGGAAGGCGTCCACCCTAGGTACAAAGCTTGTATATTTGGGGATGTGTGTTCTGCTACAAGGGTTTGTGATAAAGGATTAATTTTCTTATTACTATATTTTGCAAGAATCGATATTATTATCTTTAAAGAAAATTAGGAATGTCTTTGTTCTCAAGATATCGGGATATCAGGACACTCCAACTCTGGGTCTGTTTAGTACACATTATTAATTTGTTCCCTTACCCATAAACATCTTGAGGCTGGGAATGCCCAACTTCCTGGGAACGCAGCCCAGCAAGTCCCAGCCTCACTTTCCAGCCCTTACTCAAGATGGAGTCGCTCTGGTTCGAACGCCTCTGACATATCTCCCTCTTCCCTTTACAACAGGATCCTTAATCTGAAGAGTTGCAGAGGGATGAGGATCCATCTTCTGTAACTTCTTCAGGCTGAATAGGAGTGATGATATTCCTGCCTAACTGCGAGGGTGTCTTGCATTCAGGGTAGAGAGAAGCTCAGTCAGAGAGCACTGGTATGGTGAGGGTTGTTCTTAACTCCAAGTTCCAACAAAAGGTGATATCTGGGAGATTAACAAGTTTCCAATTTAAGAAAGCGTTGAGTGAACTTGTCTTTCATTCTTACACAAAGAGCACAACCACAATATATTCCACAACAGCAAAGCACGATGAGTAAAATCATTCCAAGTAAACTAAGCAGAAAGGCATTCCAAGAACTGGGCAGTTGTTGGAACCAAACTGAGATAGGGTTGACTGATAGTGCAGCAATGGCAGAGATGTGAGTGTCTAAAGCTTTCATAGCCTGGGTAATCTTATGTGAATAGTCTGGAACGTACACACAACATTCGGCTTCGATCAAAGCACAAGTTCCCTCTTGGGCCGCTGTTAAAATGTCCAAAGCCATAGGGTTTTGTAAGCCTACCTGCCTAATCTGAGAAGTTTCCTCAGTTAGGAGGTACGGCCAGGGCGTGTATTATTGAAAGCTGCAGCAGTGTGCTTGGCTAAGGCTTTAACTTGTAACTGGATACTGATTGTAGGTGCCTGTGGGGAAAATATAGCCATCGGATAGAACCACTGAGATGCCCGTTTTTGTCACCTATGGTGAGCTTTTACCATTTCCCAGTTAGATGGGAGAGAGTCCAATTTGGTGAGGATGCATCCTGGGAGATAAGCACGACCTCACATACATCTTCCAGTCCAGTTATAAGGTAAGTATGGCCAGGCCAGCCATGTGTTCCACAAGCCCATAACCATCCCCGAAGAGAAGGGTAGTCATCCATTTTTGGCAGATTATCTTGCCATCCCATCCACATCTGGTCTGTTAGAAGAAGGGTCTGATTACATTGTTGAGGTGACAGCCATCCTATATCGTGGGTTTCAGTCTGGTGGTGACTATTATTGAGGCTTTCAAAACATGCAGGAGCTTTGCCTGATACCTGCACTGGAACAGCTGTCATTTGCCCTCATTCGTCATGTATAGCATAACCTAAAGTTGGGGTGGAGTTTAGCTGTTTTCTAATTAGGTTAAAAAGGTGCCTTCTTGTCTCTTTATAGGAGGGGAAGGGGCTAAGGCCCGTGTGGCTATGATACATGGGAAAAGAGGGATTATGTTTATGATGTTCAGTTTCCCAGTCATAATAAAATCCCCATGAACTTGGGTTGGTTGGTTGAATATGCCAGGGCAACTGGAAGTGGAGGAAAGTGGCAATTCTCCACATACCCAACAGTTTGTCTGATTATGCAGAGAGGCTGAAGTCTGGGCCCACTCAGTAAATAAGTCACTCTCTGCCTGATTCCAACTTATACCCAAAAGTAGAATACAAATCCATGTATTTATGTTACCCATCCCCTTCATTTCTCCTGAACAGGAGTCGGAGGTCACTGATTGGCTCACGGGAATAAACGGGATCTGTCTCTTGTGTTCCGTTGGCCTGTGGGACTTCATAAGAGACAGGCTGAATTCGAGATAAGTGGACCCAACTATTTATTCCCAGAAGTTTAACTGCAGTTGGGGTACTATGGAAAACTTGATAGGTTCCTTCCATTTTGGGAGAAAGTTGATCTGCTGGGGATCTTTCCTTCCAAGTATTTAATAGGATCCAACTTCCCTGCTGGGTTGTAACAAGGTTCTCTTCCTTAGCTGGGGAAGAGAAGTCTTTGATTTCCATATTCAAGGAGTGTGTTTTGCACTTGTCCTAAGTTGATCACATAAATCTGTAGCTTGAAATTATCTATGTCTATTAGGAGGCCTGTAGTTAAGAAAGGTCTTCCATTCATTATTTCAAAAGGGCTGAGGTGCAGATTTCCCTTAGGGACCACTCGAACCCGTAATAAGGCTACAGGTAATAAAGACAGCCAGATTTCTGATGTTTCTTGGCATAGTTTAGCAACAGTCCTTTTTAGAGTTTGATTAGCTCTTTCTACTTTCCCCGAAGACTGACCTCCATGCCAAGTGAAGGTGGTACTGAATTCCTAGGGCTGAAGATATGTTTTGGGTAATTGTCGCTGGGAAAGATGGGCCATTATTGCTCCGTAAGCCCTTAGGCAGCCCAGATCTAGGAATTATTTCCTTTAGCAAGAGTTTAGAAACCTCAATTGCCTTTTCAGACCGGATAGGAAAAGCCTTGATCCAACTGGTAAATGTGTCAATGAATACTAATAAATATTTAAACTCTTTACATGGGAGCATGTGAGTATAACCTACTTGCCGATCTTTGCCAGGGTATGTTCCCGTGTGCTGAACAGGCCTTACTAGAGCAGGAGGTGAAGGTTGGTTATTTGGATTATTCCCGACACATAGTTCACAGGCCCAAGTTACCTGCTTTACTGTTTTAAATAAGCCTTTTCCTATAAAAAGGTAAGACATTAATTGAAACAAGGACTCTCTTCCCCAATGAGTAGAGTCATGCAAATGCTTAACTATTTTCCACTGATTAGCACCTGGTATTAACAGTTTGTTGTCCTTTTTCCTTGGTGCACAAAGCTACTTCTGCCTATAAACCATTCTACCTCAGGATTATCTAGAGCCTCATCTTTTAAATATGGATGATTGGAGTAAACTTGCTCCATAACTTGAATACAAGAATGACCTAGGGTGCCTGTGGGTTCAGGCAAATAGGTAGCTGGATTCAAAGTCTGGCATACTTCAAGTGTTATATCCGGAGCATCTAGCAACAAAGCCTGGTTATTTGTTCACAGGAAAGGAGAAGGAGCAATTTCTGTCTGCCTTATAATTTCAAAAAGATACTACTGTTTGCAGCTGAGTTAACAGATCCTTTCCCAACAGGGAGTGGGGCATTCAGGAGAAAACCAAAGTCCCTGAAGAGCAGCTTAAAGGATAAGTAAAATGGCATCCATGGACTTGTCCATCTGTCCCCTTGACAGTACAGTTTTGGGATGACTGAGGCCCATTACAATGGGTGAAAACCGACTAAGCATTCCAGAAGGAAGTTACTATTCTTACCTGCCACATCAAGGGTTACCCGAGGCTCCTCCAGAGATATGGCTAGTTGTCCAATGGGAGCTGTGGTGGAAGGTCTCGGGCCCCGTCACTCAGGATTGCCTGGCTATTTCGGCCATCATTGGTTCAGGTGCCAATGGCTCCCTCTGGGATGCTGGGCAATCCCTCTCCCAATGGCCAGTTTTCTTTTCTTTATTTTATTTTATTTTACTTTAAGTTCTGGGATACATGTGCAGAACATGCAGGTTTGTTACATAAGTAAGCATGTGCCTTATGGTTTGCTGCCCCCATCAACCCATCATCTAGGTTTTAAGCCCAGCATGTATTAGGTATTTGTCCTCATGCTCTCCCTTCCCTTACCCACTACCCCCGACAGGCCCTGGTGGGTGATGTTCCCCTCCCTGTGTCCATGTGTTCTCATTGTTAAACTCCCACTTATGAGTGGGAACACGTGGTGTTTGGTTTTCTGTTCCTGTGTTGGTTTGCTGAGGATGATGGTTTCCAGCTTCATCCATGTCCCTGCAAAGGACATGAACTCATTTGCTTTTATGGCTGCATAGTATTCCATGGTGTATATGTGCCACATTTTCTTTATCCAGTCTATCATTGATGAGCATTTGGGTTGGTTCCAAGTGTTTGCTATTGTGAATAGTGCTGCAATAAACATACGTGTGCATGTGTCTTTATAGTAGAATGGTTTATAATCCCTTGGGTATATACCCAGTAATGGGATTGCTGGGTCAAATGGTATTTCTGGTTCTAGATCCTTGGGGAATCGCCACACTGTCTTCCACTATGGTTAAACTAATTTACACTCCCACCAACAGTGTAAAAGTGTGCCTATTTCTCCACATCCTCTCCAGCACCTGTTGTTTCCTGACTTTTTAATGATCGCCATTCTGACTGGCAGGAGATGGTATCTCATTGTGGTTTTGATTTGCATTTCTCTAATGATCAGTGATGATGAGGTTTTTTTCATGTTTGTTGGCTGCATAAATGTCTTCTTTTGAGAAGTGTCTCTTCATATCCTTTGCCCACGTTTTGATGGGGTTGTTTTTTTCTTGTAAATTTGTTTAAATTTCTTGTAGATTTTGGATATTAGACCTTTGTCAGATGGATAGATTGCAAAAATGTTCTCCCATTCTGTAGGTTGCCTGTTCACTCTAATGATAGTTTCTCTTGTTGTGTAGAAGCTCTTTAGTTTAATTAGATCTCATTTGTCAATTTTGTCTTTTGTTGCCATTGCTTTTGGTGTTTTAGTCATGAAGTCTTTGCCTATGCCTGTGTCCTGAATGGTATTGCCTACGTTTTCCTCTAGGGTTTTTGTGGTTTTAGGTTTTATTTTTAAGTCTTTAATCCACCTTGAGTTAATTTTTGTATAAGGTATAAAGGAAGGAGTCTGGTTTCTGTTTTCTGCATATGGCCAGCCAGTTTTCCCAGCACCATTTATTAAATAGGGAATCCTTTCTCCATTGCTTGTTTTTGTCAGGTGTGTTGAAGATCAGATGGTTGTAGATGTGTGGTGTTATTTCAGAGGTCTCTATTCTGTTCCATTGGTCTCTATATCTGTTTTGGTACCAGTACCATGCTGTTTTGGTTACTGTAGCCTTGTGATATTGTTTGAAGTCAGGTAGCGTGATGCTGCCAGCTTTGTTCTTTTTGCTTAGGACTGTCTTGGCTATAGAGGCTCTTTTTTGGTTCCATATGAAATTTAAAGTAGTTTTTTTCTAGTTCTGTGAAGAAAGTCAATGGTAGCTTGATGGGGATAGCATTGAATCTGTAAATTACTTTGGGCAGCATGGCCATTTTCACGATACCGATTCTTTCTATCCACGAGCATGGAATGTTTTTCCATTTGTTTGTGTCCTCTCTTATTTCCTTGTGCAGTAGTTTGTAGTTCTCCTTGAAGAGGTCCTTCACGTCCCTCATAAGTTGTATTCCTAGGTATTGTATTCTCTTTCTAGCAATTTTGAATGGGGGTTCATTCATGACTTGGTTCTCTCCATGTCTATTATTAGTGTATGGGAATGCTTGTGATACTTGCATATTGATTTTATATCCTAAGACTTTGCCGAAGTTGCCTATCAGCTTAAGGAGTTTTTGGGCTGAGACAATGGGGTTTTCTAAATATACAATCATGTCACCTTCAAAGAGACAATTTGGCTTCCTCTCTTCCTATTTGAATATGCTTTATTACTTTCTCTTGCCTGATTACCCTGGCCAGAACTTCCAATACTGTGTTGAATAGGAGTGGTGAGAGAGGACATCCTTGTCTTGTGCCGGTTTTCAAAAGGAATGCTTCCAGCTTGTACCCATTCAGTATGATACTGGCTATGGGTTTTTCATAAATAGCTCTTATTATTGTGAGATATGTTCAGACCTAAACTCGACACCCTAACGTCACAATTAAAAGAACTAGAGAAACAAGAGCAAACAAATTCAAAAGCTAGCAGAAGACAAGAAATAAGTAAGATCAAAGCAGAACTGAAGGCGACAGAGTCATGAAAAACCCTTCAAAAAAATCAATGAACCCAGGAGGTGGTTTTTTGAAAAGATTAACAAATAGAGACTGCTAGCCAGACTAATAAAGAAGAAAAGAGAGAAGAATCAAATAGACAAAATAAGAAATGATAAAGGGGATATCTCCACTGATCCCACAGATATACAAACTACCATCAGAGAATACTACAAACACCTCCAGGAAAATAAACTAGAAAATCTAGAAGAAATGGATAAATTCCTAGACAAACACACCCTACAAAGACTAAACCAGGAAGAAGTCGAATCCCTGAATAGACCAATAACAAGTTCTGAAATTGAGGCAGTAATTAATAGCCTACCAACCAAAAAAAGCCCAGGACCAGATGGATTCACAGCCGAATTTTACCAGAGGTACAAAGAGGAGCTGGTACCATTCCTCCTAAAACTATTCCAAACAGCAGAAAAAGAGGGACTCCTCCCTAACTCATTTTATGAAACCAGCATCATCCTGATACCAAAACCTGGCAGAGACGCAATAAAAAAAAGAAAATTTCAGGCCAATATCCCTGATGAACATCGATGCGAAAATCCTCAATAAAATACTGGCAAACTGAAGCCAGCAGCACATCAAAAAGCTTATCCACCACAATCAAGTTGGCTTCATTCCTAGGATGCAAGGCTGATTCAACATACTCAAATCAATAAATGTAATCCATCACATAAACAGAACCATGTCTAGCTCTTTTTCTTTTCCTCTCATCAAACATGCACACACCTGCTGCAGGTTTTTATCCTGAATGAGCAGCAAAAATGCTTGAACATATGATATTTCATCCCATTTTCCCTCCCACTTACAAAACACTCACTTGAAGTATAGTATTAAAGCCCATAGTTCCAGCAGGAGGCCATTTCTCTTGCTTTTCCAAATAATACTGAAGCCAAATACCAGTATTACATAGAAACACCAGTTTTGTCTTCTTAAGCCCATTCCGTTGAAACTGGTCCCAGTGTTCGAGAATACATTCTAGCGGTGAGTTCTTTGGAATCGATGCTGTGGTTCCCATGAAGGAAGCAGGTGATGCTGAAAGAAAAGTTCCAAACCTGCGAGATTGTATTGCCACTGGCCGAGTTCCACTAACAAGGTTAAGACAGGTTTTGAAGGCCAGCTGCATTAATGAGGGGATCCCTGCCAAAAATTGAATTCTCTTATTCACATTATCCAAATAACGTAAGTGAACTGAGCCATGAATCTTAGATAAACCACAACATGGACTTTAACAAAAATGTCGAATAAGGCAAAGGAAATGAAGAGGATTTAGATGAGAAGGACCAGAGCAAGCAGGTTCTGGGCAATAGTGGATGAGCAAAGCCAGTTTGCCCAAATCCAAGAAAGGAAAGAAGTTTTTTCAGTGTGCGAAATGAAACAAAAAGCAAAGGGAAGAGTCCCCTGATTTCCATCCTTGTGCTTCTCAATCACACCTAGTCGGCATAGTGGCAACAAAACGTAACCACATCTATCTAATCTTACTGCTCATAGCTGTTAAATACCAAATCTCAATCAGCAATTTTAGAGACGGAGCCATCAATGCTTTTTGCTCCCAATGTTTTGCAAGCAGACGGACGGAAATCGGGAGGCACGTAGGAAAAGAGTAAGTTAAAATCCCTAAGACCCGTTAAATAAAGTCTCCTGAAAATGACAGTGAAACAGAGACAGCAACCAAGAAATTGATTCATGCAGCAAGAGAAAAAGGCAGGTTAATATGAAGAGCAGAGCCTGCGGTGCCAAACCTGCTCTTAGCCAAGAGGGACTTTACTGAGAGGAGCCTCCAACCCCCTAAATCTTAGAAGCAACTAAGTCAGCTCCTAACCCAAAGTCAGGCCTCTAAGCCAAGGTTGGTCAAGCATCCTTGCCTTTTATTAAGAGGTTCCTCTAACCCATTCTGTCTTAGGAGAGACTGACTTCCCTAAGTTGGGCCTCTAACCCAATCCCATTCTTTACCCAGGTATATGCACCCCACTTACCCAAAGTTAGCCAGTTGGTGCATGCAGATGATTTTCCTTTGGGGCGGGGGCCTCTTCAGTATCATCCATTTGGGGTTTGCCAGAAGTAGGTTACAGGACCCCAACATTTACCCAAAGGTAGTCCTTGGACCAGGCTTTCTGCACTGTAGTCCCATCTGTGGTCACCAGAAATATGTTACAGGAAAGGGGTTCTGATCCAGACCCCAAGAGAGGTTTCTTGGATCTCACGCAAGAAAGAATTCAGGGCGAGTCCACAGTGCAAAGCAAAAGCAAGTTTATTAACAAAGTAAAGTGGCGAAAGGACAGCTACTCCACAGACAGAGTAGGACATTCCCGAAAGTAAGAGGAGGAAGGCGTCCACCCTAGGAACAATGCTTGTATATATGGAGAAATGTGTTCTGCTACAAGGGTTTGTGACAAAGGATTAGTTTTCTTAATTACTATGTTTTGCAAGAATCAATATTATTATCTTTCTTCATTTTTTTGAGACAGGGTCTCGCTCTGTCACCCAGGTTGGAGTGCAGTGGCACGATCATGATCTCAGTTCACTGCAACCTCTGCCTCCTGTGTTCAAGCAATTCTCCTGCCTCAGCCTCCCCTGGGATTACAGGCATACGCCACCATGCCCGGCTCATTTGTTTTTTTTTTTTGTTTTTTTTTGTTTTTTTTGTTTTAAGAGATGAGGCTTCACCATGTTGGCCAGGCTGGTCTTGAACTCCTGACCTCAAGTGATCCATCCACCTCAGCCTCCCAAAGTGCTGGGATTACAGGCATGAGCCACCACGCCCGGCAACATTATTATCGGTAAAACAAAATTAGGGATGTCTTTTTTTTAATTTTATTATTATTATACTTTAAGTTTTAGGGTACATGTGCACAACGTGCAGGTTTGTTACATATGTATACATGTGACATGTTGGTGTGCTGCACCTATTAACTCATCATTTACATTAGGTATATCTCCTAATGCTATCCCTCCCCCATCCCCCCACCCCACAACAGTCCCCAGTGTGTGATGTTCCTCTTCCTCTGTCCATGTGTTCTCATTGTTCAGTTCCCACCTATGAGTGAGAACATGCGGTGGTTGTTTTTCTGTCCTTGTGATAGTTTGCTGAGAATGATGGTTTCCAGCTTTATCCATGTCCCTACAAAGGACATGAACTCATCATTTTTTATGGCTGCATAGTATTCCATGCTGTATATGTGCCACATTTTCTTAATCCAGTCTATCATTGTTGGACATTTCTGTTGGTTCCAAGTCTTTGCTATTGTGAATAGTGCCGCAATAAACATACATGTGCATGTGTCTTTATAGCAGCATGATTTACAATCCTTTGGGTATATACCCAGTAATGGGATGGCTGGGTCAAATGGTGTTTCTAGTTCTAGATCCCTAAGGAGTCACCACACTGACTTCCACAATGGTTGAACTAGTTTACCGTCCCACCAACAGTGTAAAAGTGTTCCTATTTCTCCACATCCTCTCCAGCACCTCTTGTTTCCTGACTTTCTAATGATCGCCATTCTAACTGGTGTGAGATGGTATCTCATTGTGGTTTTGATTTGCATTTCTCTGATGGCCAGTGATGATGAGCATTTTTTCATGTGTTTTTTGGCTACATAAATGTCTTGTTTTGAGAAGTGTCTGTTCATATCCTTCGCCCACTTTTTGATGGGGTTGTTTGTTTTTTTCTTGTAAGTTTGTTTGAGTTCTTTGTAGATTCTGGATATTAGCCCTTTGTCAGATGAGTAGGTTGCGAAAATTTTCTCCCATTCTGTAGGTTGCCTGTTCACTCTGATGGTAGTTTCTTTTACTGTGCAGAAGCTCTTGAGTTTAATTAGATCCCATTTGTCAATTTTGGCTTCTGTTGCCATTGCTTTTGGTGTTTTAGACATGAAGTCCTTGCCCATGCCTATGTCCTGAATGGTATTGCCTAGGTTTTCTTCTAGGGTTTTTATGGTTTTAGGTCTAACATGTAAGTCTTTAATCCATCTTGAATTAATTTTTGTATACAGTGTAAGGAAGGGATCCAGTTTCAGCTTTCTACATATGGCTAGCCAGTTTTCCCAGCACCATTTATTAAATAGGGAATCCTTTCCCCATTGCTTGTTTTTATCAGGTTCTCAAAGATCAGATAGTTGTAGATATGCGGCATTATTTCTGAGGGCTCTGTTCTGTTCCATTGGTCTATATCTCTGTTTTGGTACCAGTACCATGCTGTTTTGGTTACCATAGCCTTGTAGTATAGTTTGAAGTCAGGTAGCGTGATGCCTCCAGCTTTGTTCTTTTGGCTTAGGATTGACTTGGCGATGCTGGCTCTTTTTTGGTTCCATATGAACTTTAAAGTAGTTATTTCCAATTCTATGAAGAAAGTCATTGGTAGCTTGATAGGGATGGCATTGAATCTGTAAATGACCTTGGGCAGTATGGCCATTTTCACGATATTGATTCTTCCTACCCATGAGCATGGAATGTTCTTCCATTTGTTTGTATCCTCTTTTATTTCATTGAGCAGTGGTTTATAGTTCTCCTTGAAGAGGTCCTTCACATCCCTTGTAAGTTGGATTCCTAGGTATTTTATTCTCTTTGAAGCAATTGTGAATGGGAGTTCACTCATGATTTGGCTCTCTGTTTGTCTGTTATTGGTGTATAAGAATGCTTGTGATTTTTGTACATTGATTTTGTATCCTGCCCATCGTCTCAGCCCAAAATCTCCTCAAGCTGATAAGCAACTTCAGTAATGTCTTTTTTCTCCAGCTATTGGGATATCTGGACACTCCCAAGTCTGGGTCTGTTTAGTAAACATTATTAATTTGTTCCCTTAACTGTAAACATCTAGAGGCTAGGAATGCCTAACTTTCTGGGAATGCTGCCCAGCAAGGGCCAGCCTCATTTTCCAGCCCTCATTCAGGATGGAGTCGCTCTGGTTTGAACACCTTTGACCCTGGCTCCACTCAGGAACAATCAGAAATCTGTAAGGATGATGCCTGGACATTGCTTTATTTGTAAAGTTCCTCCAGGCAATTTGAATGCATGGGAGGTGGAAAAATCACTGCTTTAACCAGATATGTTTTATAAACTTCTCTTTAACCAACTGTATTTATCTCCTACAATACATCAGATTCCCTTCTGATGAATATCAGGAATTACACTCTATTGTAAGCACAAAATGCAACAAGATAAATATGACCACCATTTTCAGGACATGTACCATCTGTCAGACACACAAACTGCAAAGGCACAGTCCTTGTCTTTAGAGTGAAACATGGAGAAGTGATAAATATTGCCTACTACGCAAGAGTTTGGAAAGCTGTTAAGTGCTAAATATTTACAAAGGGGCATTAAAATTCAAATTCCCACTGTCACACTAAGATACATGTGATGAGATATTCCAACGAGATCACCATGTGCAGAATTTATAAAGGAAATTGTCAGGAACTCGGTCCATAATCGTACTGTAGATGAACTATTGGGGAACTCATGCAAGCTAAGGAATCTTTCCAGAAAATCACGCGCATACAACGTTTTCCCCACAAGCTCAAGGTACAACCTTCCTGAAGGTTGGTATAGTCCTGGATTGAGAGTTCCCAACTTAGTCTTGCTATTGTGAATAGTGCCGCAATAAACATACGTGTGCATGTGTCTTTATAGCAGCATGTTTTATAATCCTTTGGGTATATACCCAGTAATGGAACCAACCCAAATGTCCAACAATGATAGACTGGATTAAGAAAATGTGGCACATATACACCATGGAATACTATGCAGACATAAAAAATGATGAGTTCATGTCCTTTGTAGGGACATGGATGAAGCTGGAAACCAGCATTCTCAGTGAACTATTGCAAGGACAAAAAACCAAACACCGCATGTTCTCACTCATAGGTGGGAATTGAACAATGAGAACACATGGACACAGGAAGGGGAACATCACACACCGGGGCCTATTGTGGGGTGGGGGGAAGGGGGAAGGATAGCATTAGGAGATATACCTAATGTAAATGACGAGTTAATAGGTGCAGCACACAAACATGGCACATGTATACATATGTAACAAATCTGTACATTGTGCACATGTACCCTAGAACTTAAAGTATAATAAAAAAAAAGAAAAAGAATTCCCAACATAGAATATTTTCATCACCACTTCATAGAGAGGGCAGTTGGCTGAAAAAAGACCTTGTTGCTTTTACATCTTGGCTGGGAAAGGGATCTAAAGAAAAAGGGAAAATCTAAATGTATAGAACAATCACGTAAGGTTACAGGAAGAGTAAAATTAGATGAAGTAAAGGGAGCACTTATTACCTTCTATTAATTGAAGGGTATTATAGGTGGCTCTTCTAGGATGGCAAGAACTTACATATATGAAGAGATGTATAAGGTTTTCCTGATAAAACAAACTCTAAAAACAGAAGTATGGGGCTGTGGGGTGGGAGGCATCCAGTATTCTACTGCGGGCAAGGATTGTTGGTTTTTATTTGAGGTCAAGGAATCTGGAAGGAAATAGGGGTAGAATGTGATGTGGACATATGGGCAGTTATTGTGTACAATGAGCTACATTTATGCCGGTGTTCACACAGCTCAAACGCAAGTAATGCTAATTCTGTTATATAAATTCCTTTCTTTGTGATTAAAAACAGAAGGCGAGGCCCACAGACTCGGAGACGGAGATTATCCCATTTCATCAATGGGAAAGTCATACCAAAATTCTTGTCAAGTTCGAATACAAAAACGAAGGTGCATTCTAGCATCTTAATTCCAAGTTCTCTCTAGCTGTGACTAGAAATGCCAGTCAGGGGCTTCAAAGAGACAGTGGCATTCTTTTCTTATGTAAAGAAAGGTATGGGAGAAAAAAGCCCACCGTGGCCTAGGGGATTTTTATCACAGCAGCTGCTTCTCAAAGAATTAAACCACTTTCTTTCAAAAGCCAAGAGGGAGTGCGTTTTGTAGGATTCAAAAACCAGCTGTCGTCTTTTCCCCTTCATTACTCACAGCCCATTGCAGCTACCCCGTTCCATGGAAGAGATTTGGGGTTCTTTCTTTTGGCAGTTCTTCTCATCTCATTTCTCCGGCCCCCTCCTTCCCCTCCTCTTTCTTTTCCTCCTCCCCTTCCTCCTCTTCTATCTTTCTTTTTCTTTTCCCTTTTTTTTTTTTGAGACATATTTTCATTTCATCACCCAGGCTGGAATGCACTGGTGTGATCCCAGCTCACTGCAACCTCTGCCTCCCAGGTTCAATTCTCATGCCTCAGCCTCCCAACTAGCTGGGATTATAGGCACATGCCACCACACCCAGCTAATTTTTGTATTATTAGTAGAGATAGAGTTTTGCCCTGTTGGCCAAGCTGGTCTCAAACTCCTGACTTCAAGTGATCGCTTTTATCTTTCCTTTCTTTCTACTTCTCTCTCTCCTTCCATTTTTCCCTCCCTCCCTCCTTTCTCTCTCTCTGTCTGTCTCTCTCGCCCTCCTTCTCTGTTCATTAGAATCTCCCCTGATCTTCTAGTTTTCCATCTCATCCCTCCTATTGAGAACAAGGCTCCCTGGAAGCCCCACCGTTTATCTCTGAGCTTCTTACCGGTAAACTTGGGTGAGATTGACGGTGTGATAAAAATGTCAATAGCTTTGTCACATATAAAAGAACAAACCTTATTCTCCTACATGTCAGAGTTCAGTGATCATTTCTCAAAGGTGTAAAATTCAAATCTTTTAGAAATAGATCTGACACGTAGACGTTGTTTGGCCACTGAGGCTTTAAAAAGTACCTCTCTCAGCGGATTCCTCTGTTCATTCTCAGCTACACCCTGGTCACTTCCTTTTCAGGCAGAGGCAGGCACCAAATCTACATTTTTCTACCTGTCACATAGAAGAGCAGACATCATACCAAAAATCACTATGATGAGGCAGGCAGCTAATTAATTACTTAAATAGCTGTAAAAATAATCCAGAAAGTCCTAGGTGGATTTGTTTCTAGATGTATGCTTATAGGAAAATTGAGGGTCTAGAAACCAGTCTTTGTCGCAATGACTCCCATCTCCACGTAATATCTGGTGACTTCTCCATGCTCATCACAGCGACCCCCTTGACCCTGGTTTGTTGTGCACACGTTGCCTGTTTCTGTGCAATTCTGTCTTATCACTGCCAATAACACAACTGTGTCACCCTCAGACATCCTTAAAATTCTGTGCAACCAACTCAATCTGGCTGTGGCTTTGGAAAATCCAATGGAAGTTGCCTAGAAATTTGTGAGAGTGAGGAAAAGTGTTCTCCTAAATGGAGAATGGGAAAGGAAGTGTTTAAGAAATGCAATCACTATTTCCCATAATTATCCACAAATACCTGCTCTGGGGCAGCTGAGCAGCCCACAAACAGAAGGACTTTGGAACCTGGAGTGACAGTATCTAAGCCCAGGCTAATGCTGCAGAGCATATTAAAGCTCCTTTGTTCGTTTTGGAATGGCATCTCTGAATGCTCTTTGCAGAGATGTGTGCGCTTGGTTCCATGTGGAGGTACATAGAGAAATGGCCAAGGGCCGCCCACTCTCTGCCAAGCGTGCCATACCTCATCAGTCCCTGAAAGCTGTTCTCCTCTGTGTCTTCTCTCCAGTGCGGATGGCGCCTCCTACGAGGTCATGCAGATCGATGTGGAGGTGGAAGAGCCTGGTGACCTGCCAGCCACACAGCTGGTCACGTGGCAGGTCGAGTACCCCGGAGAGATCACGTCTGACTTGGGAGTGTCCAAGATCTATGTGAGCCCAAAGGACTTGATTGGAGTTGTGCCGCTGGCTATGGTAAGCAAGCCCCGCCCTGGGCTGTTAGAACTGAACTCGGGGGAGGGGAAGGCGCCGGCGCCGCACTGAGTCCCAGGCTGGGTGGGGAAAAGGGGAGGAGCCAAGAATCAGGACAGTGAGAAACGAAACCACAAAGTTGACTGCCAATAGCCAATCGTTATGTGTGTGTGTGTGTGTGTGTGTGTGTGTGTGCGTGTGTGTATCTATATCTATATCTATACAAATATAAACCAATTTTCTTAACGTATTATTTAGAAAATAAACTCCAGGTATTAGATTTGGGTCTGCTATTGTGTGAAAATTGTTGACGACTCGATAGATGTGTTTGTAGCATATGATGTAGACACCTGTGGATCTCGAACACACACAGCTCTGGAGTCCATGTAGATCAAGCATAGGAGTGAAATGTGCTGAGACATTTGGCAAACACCCGCCTGGTCCCCCAGACCACCAATTAGAAAATATTGACCAGCGTTCTTCTGTCATGCTGAAAGAACACCAGAAATCAGGTCTTCAGTCCAAGGCAACTGGACAGCTGCCCGGTGACACTAAACTGGTTACTGTGTTGTTCATTAGGAAATGTAAAGGTGTTTGGGTTACTGTAGTTGACAAGGGCTCTTACTGTTTTATTTGAGAGGCGCTGGGCCTCCCTGGTTATTATTTTGTGTGAGACGGCCGTGCCCTTTGCTTTGGACTCTCAGTGGTTCTGTCACTGGGAATGGCAACGCCGTTTGTCTTGAGCAAGTAGTGGTTTGAATTTGCTCCTTTCCACACCTCTGGTCTGAGGAGACTGAGCAGCTCTCCCTGAGCACCTCCTGCTGCTGCCCTCGGCCCAGGCCCGGCTGCATGCTGTTTCCCACACTCCACACTCGGCGTTTCTCCTGCCTCTGGTGGCCCTGATGCTGCTGTTGCCTCTTCTAAACCCCATCGTTCCTCATGGCCTATACGAGTCCTCAGTCCCACAAGAGCCCTCTCTCTGTCCTTCAACAGCCTCTGAAACATTTCCCATCCTACAGCACCTGTTCTTGCTATGCTACATGTAATGTTCTTTTTTTTTTCTTTTTGACGGAGTGCCAGTCTGTTGCCCAGGCTGGAGTGCGGTGGTGCGATCTTGGCTCACTGCAACCTTTGCCGTCCGGGGTTGATTCTCCTGTCTCAGCCTCCCCAGTAGCTGGGATTACAGGTGCCCACCACCATGCCTGGCTAATTTTTGCATTTTTAGTAGAGACAGGGTTTCACCATCTTGGCCAGGCTTGTCTTGAACTCTTGACCTCGTGATCCACCCACCTTAGCCTCCCAAAGTACTGGGATTACAGATGTGAGCCACCGTGCCCAGCCCTATGTAATGTTCTAAGAATGTATAATGGTAGAGCTAGAAACAAAAATCTCAGTGGAGACCCCCTTGACATGTGTACCAATTAGGAATTGCATTTGGCTGAGAGCAACAGAGCTCCCTGCCCAGGCACCCTAACTTACCCTCTGGCTAATTATGAGTTAAGTACAGATTTCTTCTTTCATGTAAAGAAGTTCCTAAGGTTAGTGGTCTAGGGCTGGTTTGGTGTTCCATGACATCTGAGACCCAGGCCCCATCTTTCCTTCTACTTCAGCAGTCAGGTGCATGGATTCCATCCTCATGATTACCTCATGGTCCAACATAGCTGCTGGGATGCCAGCCATCACATCTATATTCTGCAGACCAGCAAAACTTAAAAAGGCCAAAGTTCAAACAGGGCCAGTCTCTTTTCCTTTTCAAAAGAACTTTACAAGAATCCAACATACAGTTTCTGGTTGCATCCAATTCACCAAAACTTAGTTATATAGCCACATCTAATTGTAAGGAAGGCTGAGAAACCTACTTTTTTAGCATGAAAGATTGCTCAAATTCTGTTACAAGGAAATAAAAGAAAAGGTATTCTAAGGCAATGAACAGCATCTTCGACAATTCTCCTTTATTTCCACTTGAGGAAACTGAGGCTCAAAGAGGTCCCTCATCTTAGTACCTGTTTTCCATTTTTCATTGGTCATTACGAGTCTCCCAGGAAAAAGAATAACATAACAAATTATGGTCTCCACTAGCTATTCATGCAACCATACTTAATTTCATTGTGCCTCAATTTCCTCATCTGTAGAGGGAGTTACAGGGATAATACCTACTTATAAAGTTGTAAGGATAAAACAGTAATTAAAGTGTACTTAGACTAGGTGCGGTGGCTCATGCCTGTAATCCCAGCATTTTGGGAGGCCGAGGTGGGCAGATCACTTGAGGCCAGGAGTTCAAGACCAGCTTGACCAACATGGCAAAACCCCATCTCTACTAAAAAAAAAACTACAAAACTTAGCCAGGTGTGATGGCACATGCCGATAATCTTAGCTACTTGGGAGGCTGAGGCATGAGAATAGTTTGAACTTGGGAGGCGGAGCTTGCAGTGAGCCAAGAACGTACCACAGCACTCCAGCCTGTGTGACAGGGTGAGACCCTGCCTCAAAAAAAAAAAAAAAAAAAAAAGTACTTATTAGAGTACCCAGCCTATAGCAAACACACAGTAAGTGTTATCTATATTATGATTACTTAACTACTGAATTTAAAATATATGCAATACTCTGGCAATAATGTTATAAATTTTTTCAGGTAAGGGACTTATCCACAGCTCCCATATTTTACAACATAAGAAGAGTGGTAGGCAGTATGTAGGCACCCACTGATTCTTGAGCTGAATTAAATGTATTGGATTAAAACTTGGTGGGGCTGGGTGCAGTGGCTCATGCCTGTAATCCCAGCACTTTGGGAGGCCAAGAAAGGTGGATCACCTGAGGTCAGGAGTTCAAGACCAGCCTGGCCAACATGGTGAAACCTTGTCTCTACTAAAACTACAAAAATTAGCCGGCTCTGGTGACTCACACCTGTAGTCCCAGCTACTCAGGAGGCTGAGGCAGGAGAATGGCTTGAACCCAGGAGGCGGAGGTGACAGAGCGAGCCTGGGTGATAGAGCAATACTTCATCTCAAAAACAAAACAAAACAAAACAAAACGTGGTGGGCTGAGTTGTTAGCAATGGGCTCTGAGTGGCTTCCTTTCGAACTAAGTGGAGAGCCAGACTGCTGTCTGATCTACCTTTTGTATTGGTAGTGGTTCTGAGTCTTCCCAGAGCAAGGTGCCTTATTTTAACCTTGACTTGGTTGGTAAAAGAGTGTTGTCATGCAGGGGATGTGGTTGCCGTTATTAAATTACTTTGCTTTTGTTCATTCTATCTTTATTGAGAAATATGTGAAAGAAATTTTAGATCCATCACTCTTCCTCCAAATTAATGACAACCATACCCACATTGCAGCTATTTTCTAAATTTTAACATTCCGTGTTGATGGAGTTGCAGGAAAATGGGAATCATTACACAAAGCAGGTGGAATTTTGTATTTGTTAAGCTTTCTGGAAGGCAGTTTGGCAAACATTATTTAAAAGGCAGTTAAGGCAAACATTATTTAAAAATTTTTTTCATTATTTATTTTCTGTTTTTGTGAGACAGAGTTTCACTCTGTCCCCCAGGCTGGAGTGCAGTGGCGTGATCTCAGCTCATTGCAACCTCTGCCCCCCAGGTTCAAGCGATTCTCCTGCCTCAGCCTCTCAAGTAGCTGGGACTACAGGCACCTGCCAACAGGCCCAGCTAATTTTTGTGTTTTTAGTAGAGATGGGGTTTCACCATGTTAGCCAGGCTGGTCTTGAACTCCTGACCTAAGATGATCCACCTGCCTCGGCTTCCCAAAGTGCTGGAATTACAGGCATGAGCCACCATACCTGGCCTATAATTTTTTATATTTTATAAGTGGGAAAGGGGAGAGTGTGCTCCTCTCCATCCCGAGCACCCCACCTCTGCTCCCACCCCATCAGTCTAGGAGCTCTGCCAAGTGCTGAGATCTAGCTGCAAGGGAGGCTGGAGAGAGTGAGCTATTCCAGGAGCCAGATGCCCAGCTGCAAGCATGCAACAGTGGGAGAAGGGAGTGCACATGGAGAAATGTCTGGTGCTGTCCTGGACTGTCCTGGCTGAGATAATAGCAGTGGAGCAGCAGCGTCCGCCTTAGAAGACAAGACTTCCCAATGCATTGGATATAGGTGTGAAGAAAACACAGGAATAAAAGATGCATCCTAGCTTTAGTCCCAAACAAAAAGTTCCCCGTATATCTCCATGACACTACCACACAAGATTAAAATTTAAGAGCTTTTTTGTTATAAAATAACCTATGGTTTATATTTTCGTACAAAAATCTTTGCACACATTTTTAATGAACTCCTTCAGGTCAACTTTTAGAAATAAATTCAAATCAAAGGATATGCAATATTGTATTCCTTTTTCATAATGTTTGCCAAACTGCCTTCCAGAAAGCTTAACCAGTTTAAAATTCCACTTGCTATGCATAGTGATACCCATTTTCCTGCAGCTTCCTCCAACATGAAATATTAAAATTTAGCAAAACTTATATCTCAATGTTGTTTTAATTTGCCCTTCTTAGATGACATGTTTATTTCCTATTAAGCATTTGTTCTTTGCCCATTTTCTCTTCTCCTTGGGAATTCAATTTATTCTTAGACCTTTGTTATAAATCTTTTTTTATTATGGTAGAAGTCATATAACATTAAAGCTACCATCTTAACCATTGTAAGTGTATAGTTTAGTAATGTTAAGTATTTTCTCATTGTTGGGCAATGGCTCTCTGGAACTTTTTCATCTTGCAAACTGAAACTATAGCTACTAAACACAAATTCCTCCTCCCTCTTCCCTCCTCCCCAGACACCGGTAACCACATTTCTATTTCTATATATTAGCGATCCTAACTTTTCCATTGACATATTGCAGGTACTCTTACTAGTTTACCATTTGCTAACTTTGCTGGTCAGACTTTTTTGGCTTGCACAGACTTCTGTCTGTTTGTGTAATTTGTATGTAGTCAAATCCATTATCTTTTGCATAATGGAAATCCCTCATCTCCCTCTAATTATATCCAAGACAAAAAAGGCATAAAATCTCAAATATTAAAATATTCACACACAGCACAACTAAGTAAGTAGATCAACAGTCTTCAAAAATAATGCTGGAAGGGAGCACAGTTGTGGCTGTTGTCAAGGATCTGAGGTCCACTTGAGCTGAAGCTGGTGGCCTCTCCATTCTTTGTGTGCTGTGTAATTTCATCTCCAGGAAAGCTCTGGGATGAGATGCCGCCAGGTGCTTGCATCGAAAGCTACTTTTTAGAAACAATTTTTTTTTAATATTTTGTATTTTTTTCTTGAAGTCTTCTTCAATAGTTTGCCTTTTTTCCCCCTAATGTCTAGGGTCTTGAAACTTTTTAGTTTCTTAATCCAGTTGTAGGTTTTTATGAGATTTATTACATTGTTTTTTCAGTTCAGGAAATCATGCCTTACTATGTTGTAAGTAAATATGGTTTTGTTTTTAGGGAGGCAAATTCTGAGGGAAAAGGTCATTAAAGGTGCATTAGCATTCATTTATCAAGTGCTTATCTGTAACCACGTTAGTGTCTGAATCTGGAGACTGGTGTTTACTCTTCTCCAGATATTAGCCCAGCTAATTTTTATATTTTAGTAGAGATGGGGTTTTGCCAGGTTGCCCAGGCTAGTCTCGAACTCCTGGCCTCAAGCAATCCACCCGCCTCTGCCTCCCAAAATGCTGGGATTAGGGGCATGAGCCATTGCACCCGGCCTGGTGTTTGCATGTCTTGGAAAAGTTGGAGTCCCCTTTGTAGTGACTCAGCTTTCCAAGGAGAAAGGTCTCCGTTTCTCAAAGTTCTTCAACGTCCTTCTCTCCTAACTGCCTCCTGAGTTTTGGCTAAAACAAGTGTTTCAAGTTTACACCAGTGTTCAGGGGTCATGGCACTGATAGGTATATACTTTATCAATTTTTGAATGCCTTATCAGCTAGTCCTTTAAAACATAGTTACAAGTCCTCTTCATTTTAAAATAAAACAAACTCTTTTCTTCCTCTTGGGTAGTGGCTGTTTGGATATTATACTTGTGGTTACCGTTGTAAGTGCAGGAAGTAGAGGTGAATGACTCTGCTCTCCTGTGGGATTTTAAGAATGTGCCCTCCCAGGCGGGTCTCTTGACCAGCTTCTCATTTTGCTTTGGGTCTCAGCTATGACCACTAAGTTTTAGTTATTAGAATGGATCTGAAACTTGAGATAAAACTTAATCAGGAGACATGGTCAGGACAGACAATGTCTGTATTATCCTTGAAAAAAATCAAAGGAGAACTCCAGCCCTACAGGGACCTGGTGCTGATGGTGTTACGTGGCGTTCACAATGGCATAAGGATACATACAGACGCATCTGCCAAACCCAGCCCTGAAGATCCTGGGGAAGACCGCAGAGCTCTTAAACAAAAGTGAAGAATCAAATGTGCCATTGCTCTTTAGGAAGTGCAATTCAATATCACATTCTGAGCTCTTTCTCAAACGTGATTCTGATGGAAAGGGGAAAAGCATCTCAGAATTCTCTCGTTAGAGCCCAGCTCCCATGCCACATCCACCACAGGGTCTTCCTTGATCCTCGTGCTCAGACAGGATCCATGTTGGCTCCTCTACTCTGTGCACCCATGTTTTCCTTGCACGCAATGAGGGCAGCGGGCAAGTCGGAGGATTCTGACACTGTTGAGTTATTCTTGCTGGCTGAGATCATGTGTTTGGAGCCATCTTAAGTAGGAGCCATACCCAAGAAGCTTGGGAGGACATAGGCTCAGTATGTCCCTTTGATTTGCACTCTAAGTCCTTCCTCGTCTCATTTTATTCTTTGATCCTTGGTGTATTTGTCTATTTTCTGTTGCTTACAACAGAATGCCTGACACTGGGCGATTTGTAAGGAAAATTATGTATTAAAGTTATGGAGGCTGAGAAGTCCAAGAGCAAGAGGCCACAGGTGGTGAAGACCTTCTTGCTGGTGGGGAACTCTCTGCAGAGTCCCGAGGTAGAGCAGGGTGTCGCATGGAGCGGGGCAGAGTATGCTAATGTGCTGTCTCAGGTCTCTCTGCCTCCTCTTACAATGCCACCAGTCTCACTCCCATGATAACCCATTCATCCATTCATCCATGAATGGGTTTATTCACATCCATGAATGGATTAATTCACATCCACGAATGGATTAATTCATTCACGAGTGTAGGGCCCTCACGGCCCAGTCACCTCTTAAAGGGCCACCTCTCAGTATTGCCACAGTGGGGATTAAGTGTCAACATGATTTGGGGAGGGAACATTCAAACCTTAGCACCCACCTAAACCTGTCCAATCTCCAAGCCTTTTTTCCAAACTGGAAGCTGCTAGACTCCAGTAAACCCCTCCTGACGTGTGATATTTCATACTCAGATGCTGTTTTCTCATTAGCATGAGTAGGGGACTCCATAACCCAGGTAACTACAGGTGAAGCTAAGCAGATTATTCTTGGCCTGACCCTCCACCTACTTGGTTGAATGCTGAGTTCCTTCCTTATATGATTCTTGGGATTACAATCATGTAATCGTTAAGGAATCTCTTCCCTCCTTATCTCAGCTGCATCTTCCTAAATCTTCTCGATTAAGGCATGTTCTTTAAATCTGTGATTCGGTAGAAAATTTCCATTTCTGTGATCTTAGCAGGCAAAACTTATATTTTTAGAACCATATAATTTTACTATTGTAAATCTTCTGATGAAATACATTTTAAATAAGCTTCACTGAATCAAGTACATTTCTCTTCTTAAATAAAATGAACTTCCTTTTCACCAACCATACTCTCCCCTCATCTTCAGAATCTTTGGGATGTATTCTCCTGGCACACGTATTCTCCTGGTTTGTGTTACATCCTTCCAGTACTGTGATTATGCTCAACCCCTGTCCTCCTGATATCCCCCAGCAGAAAGCACAGGACCAGCCCATAGTAGATGCTCAGTAAAGGCGTGTAAGAGAACAGCCTTATCCCTCATTGGAATACACATGGATTTGCGAGGAGATGGTAACCCAGGCCACCTATCTCCCTGCAGTTTTGAAGTCAGTACAAGTAATGTGTGGTGACAGTCACCCACTAAGATCTGGACTTAAGAAAAGGCTGTCAAATTAGGGAAAGGAGCTTCCTTTCCTGGCTTGAATAATATTTTTGTTGAATTTTTGGCATAAAAGCAGATTCTTGGCTCTTTTTATTTGACTGTTCATAGCATTCTTTTCTTGTGAGAGCCTGTTAATTAATATGCCAGATACCCTCTGTTGTTTTACTCAGACTTTTCGAAAATTCAGTCACACTGCACAGCACACTATGGCTTTCATTTTTATACTTTCTCAACCAAGTGCAAATTAAGACAGCCCTTGAAAAAATCTCTTCTCTAAAGCACCTTCTTGCATTGTGTGTTTGTTGAGTAGCCATTGCTCCCTAAACAGCATTCACAGTAATTACACCAAATACTTACTGTTCATTAGGTACCATGCATGGTTCTAGGAACTTCTACACATATATGGAGGAGATGAGGTCAGGGTAGGCAGGAGCTGGGTTCTAGAGACCCCATCAGCCATGGTACCTGCAGCAGCAGGATTTCTGATTCCAGACGTATGAAAGTATATTCTTTATATATATATATATTCTTTACATATATATAAATTGTTTATATATATATGTTCTTTACATATATATAAATTCTTTATATATATAAAGAATTTAATTTCCACAATGAACCAGTGAAGTTGATATGACTATTATCCCCATTTCACAGATGGATGAGGCCACACAGAGTTGGAAGAATGGCCCCAAGCTACCCAGCTAAGAAGCTGAGCTGAAATTAGATTCCAGATGGATGAGCTCCAGAGTCTAAGCTCATAACCAGTCCACTCCATCCCTCTCACACGGGAAACAGAGCGTAGGCTGTTGATCAGTTCCATATGCAAAAAGATCTTTGGAAAATGCAAATGCAAGGAGGTGTACTCATAAAAATATGAAATTGAGAAGTCTTATTGAAATAGAAAAAGTCATCTGAAAATGAATTATTTATTATGCACAAAGCCACTGCCTTTTCTTTTCAGCCCAATCTGTTGCCTCTGATGTTCCCTAATGAACCATCCTCTCCAGAGGTGATTTATAATGAGATGGCGGTGTCGGCTGAACTTCAATGCTTTTAAAGGCCCATAGTACAAAACAAATGCAGAAGAGTTATTGCTTTTGTTGCTCACCGTGTGGTTATTACAGCCCTAGCTGTTGTACAACCAGTTGCTATCAGTGAACAAATAAGCTATGATGTAACTCATTTTAGAGGTACCGCAGAAGCACAGTCCATTTGAAAAGCATTTCCTGAGCTCACTTTGTGCTGGGCACTTGCCTTTGTCTTGAGATTTAGCAGAGCTCATGCCACTCAGGGGAAGCAGCTGGGAAATGTGTCAAAAATAATTGAGCAAGATAATTTCAGAATTAATACATGCTTGGAAGAAAATAGAACAGGGTATCATGGAGGGAAAGACTCATTGAGATGTGCTCTTTCAGACTAGGTTGTTCCTGCAGAGATGACATTTGAGCTCAGACATTGCTCCAGGAAGGGCCCAGCCTGGGAAGTTGTGAAAGGAGCTGGCTTTCCAGACAGAAGGAAAAGTGGGTGCCGAAGCCCAAAGCAGGGGCCAGCCCTGAGTGCTTTCGAGTGGAAAAAGGTCCAGTGCAACTGGAGATAGTGAGTGGGGAAATGGTACAAGGAGATGAGTTCAGGGTAGGTGGGAGCTGGGTACTAGAGACCCCATCAGGCATGGCACATGCAGTGGGATTTCTGGTTCAAGATGTTTATATCTGATATGATCATGATTTATTTTTTAATATCACTCTGAATGCTATGAGGAGATCAGATTTGCAGGGAGAGATCCACAATGGAAATAGAAAGACCATTTGGGGGCTCCTTTGGTGGTCCAGGTAGAAAGGATGACAACTTGGAATAGGGTGATGATGGGGATGGTGAAGATAAGTGGAAGGTGTCAGGATGTATTTCCTAAGTATAGCACCAGCACTTGCTTATAGACTGGACAAGGAGTGTGTTTGAACAGCAGAGAGCAAATGTGAGTCTAGACTAGACACTGTCCAGTGAAACTTTCCGAGATGATATAAACGTTCTATAATCTAAGCCATCCAGTATGGTGGCCACAGCCACATGTGGGTTATTGGGTTCTAGAAATGTGGATTGTGTCACTGAGTAACTGAATTTCTAAAGTTAATATTAACATAAACAGCCATGTGTGCTAGTGGCTATCAGGTTAGACAGTATCTAAAAGTTTGGCTGGGGGGATCAGGGAAATTCACATCGTTTACTGAGATGATGGTGGTTGGTATACTCTCCACTTGCCATGCGGACCCACTGTCTGTTGTTCTCCACCCTGCTGTGTGCCCCTGGGGTCTTTCCTTTACGGATTTCATGGAACAGGCTGCCCCGCCCACTGGCTTCTGCTTGAATTCAGCCAATGTAAGGCACTGAGAGGAGAGAGGAGGTCAGATAGAAGTCCCTTCCCTAATAAACACAGTTTGTCGATGGCCGTGCGCTCCATCAGAAGCACCTACTATTGTCACTGAACTCTCTCGCTAGGCAACAGCAGCACTGCCGGTTATGATGTTTGGGTTGTCAACACGGCCACGTGTGTCAGTCTGCACTTAACAGCTGTCTCATTCACTCCCTTCTGCATAGAGGCGCAAGTATCTGAGTGCACCATTATGACTTACGGTGCTGTTCCTGCCCCCAAAATTTATGTATTTGAGTACCTATTATTTTATTATAAACTATTTTCTTTTATTTATAGTTTATAATTCAGTGAAAATATTATACCAATTTTTAAAATATGTGTATTGGTAGATTATGTTAATTATGGTTCTTATTTCAGGACAGTAAAGTAAGTGCTACTTTATTTGTTACATAAATATTTGTTATATAAAAGGAGCAATAGCTCAAATAGAGTTGAAAACAATGGAGCTGGCAAACACTTTCTGTGAAGGGACAGGTACTAAATATTTTCAGCCTCGCAAGCCACATGGTCTCTGTGCAACGATTCCACCCTGCATGTGGGGCCGGAAGGCAGCCGTAAACATGTAAGCAAATGGGTGTAACAGTTCCAATAAAAAGCTGAAACTTTGTGAGAGCTGAAACTTTAATTTCATATAATTTTCATGTGTCACAAAGCAGTGTACTTCTTTTGATTTTTTTTAACCACGTATATGAATGCATAAAGCATTAGTAGCTGCAGGACATACAAAAATGACAGCTTTTGCAGGCTGTGATTTGCCTATCCCAGGTCTAATGTCAGTGTAGCCTTTGCTTATCCAGGCCTGAGTTCCTCATTCTGGGGGTTGAAAATCCCCCCCTACAATCCCCAATTATGATATAAACTTTTATCTCCTTGAATGAAGGGTTCCCTAAAAATAAAAAAGTAGTGTTATCGTGAGAAAAGTGTATTTTCCACGGAGAACAGAGATGAATTCTGACTATATGTCACCCCATGGAGAGTGTCCACGGGATTAACCAAGGCAGGTAGCTTGAGCTGCATTTTTGCTTGATCATTCTGAAGGGATCTCAGGTTTGATAGGTCAGCCCCGAGCCTGTTAATCCCTGTCATGAGCGAAGCCTCCCGATGGTGTAGCCTTCCATCCTTTCAGAGTCCCGGGGGGCCTCCAGCACTCATGATGCCTAGTCTTCCTTCATCTTTCTTAATGTTCCTCACATTCTTTGGTGAACTTCATCGTCTTTCTCTTTGGTGGTGTCCACTGGACAGTGTCGAGCTTGTTTGCTCTGTAGCTGGCAATGACCTTTGAATTAAACTCATATAAGGGTTGAAGGCAGAACTGAAAGGAGAACTGGAAACTGATTTAAGGGCATGTTTGTGACTAATTCTCAGGTTCCTACTGTGACTAATTGCTCAGAGCCAATGATTCCTTGCCTCTTGAATTGCTTTCTAAGGACTGACTCACTCCATAGCATCTAAAATCTTGTCAGCAACTACCAGAAGGTGAAAACACCTTTCATGAAGGCTGGAGTGCATGAGGGGTTCATATTTCAGGTTTTATGCCAGCTGCCAAGCCCACAGTCCTCTCTTGTATCCGTGAGACTTGTTGTATTTCTCACAAGAAAGAACCACCTAAAGCCTAACTCAAAATTCCAACAAGCCTTTGGATCCACCTAATTTGCAGGTGCCATCCAGCTTTGCCAGGCTTATGTTTTAGGGTGAATTTGATTTTGGTATTCTGTAATGTGTGGTTCAGATCATGGCGCACAAAATCCAGCCTCAACAGTAAGGCCTTTTCTGACCACCCCGTCTAAAGAATATCTTGCCACATTCTGTATTCCCTTATCCTCACTTACCTTTTCTCCATGGTATTTCTTTGCACCTAACAAACCTTGTTTCTGTCCAGCGTCTGATCCCCAAGGGAATAGGGGTAGTTGTGTTCATGCTGTGTTTGTAGCACTTGGACTACTGTCCATCCCGCGGCAGAAGCTCAGTAACCATGCTGGTGCTGGGGAATGAATCAGATGGGGCCAATTCAGATACCTGGCCTGAAAGTCTGTAACTGAGCAGACTTTGGGTGAGGTAGATGACCTTTCTGCACCTCACTTTTGTCATCTGCAAACTGGGGATAATGATGGTGCCTCTACTTCACAGGGTGATGTAAATTGTAATGAGTGTGGAAGTCAAACACGTAGCACGGGGTCTGACACTCAGTGGCTTTACAGTAAATACATGTGCTGCTCTTAACAGCAATGACAAAGAAGACATGTTTGGGGATATTCACATGCAAAAAAATTAAAGTAGTTATCACTTTTTTTCTTTTTTTCTTGAGATGGAGTCTCGCTCTATTGCCCAGGCTGGAGTGCAGTGGCACGATCTCGGCTCACTGCAACCTCTGCCTCCCAGGTTCAAGCAATCCCTGCCTCAGCCTCCTGAGTATCTGGGATTACAGGTGCCCGCCACTATGTCTGGCTAATTTTTTGTATTTCTAGTAGGGATGGGGTTTCACCATCTTAGCCAGGCTGGTCTTGAATTCCTGACCTCGTGATCCACCCACCTCTGCCTCCCAAAGGGCTGGGATTACAGGTGTGAGCCACTGCCCCTGACCATCACTTTTTTCTTCTGCAAGTTTTTCAAGAAATTAAGGTAAAAGTAACGTTGAATGTCCTCTAGGGATGAAAAGACTAAATAAATCTATGATATTTTACATAGTAAGTAATAATAGCTGTGTTGTGTGTGTGGAGTCTAAACTCTTCTATCAGGCAGGCACCAAATGGCAAAATGCTGCATCTGTTAGGACCTTTTCAAATTCAAACCAAACTGGTTTATGCAGAAATCAGAATGTATTGGTCCACTGTTTAAGACTGGATTCGCTTGGTTATGCGAACAGTCAGACTGTGTCCAATTAGGCCATCAACCTACCCTAAACTGGTAACAATCACCAGATACCCAGGCCAGGCTAAGACAGACTTCCTAAACTCATCATAACCATGGGGACAGTATCACCATAACTCACTAAGATCAGCTTCCTGTAAATGCAGTCAGTAAAAGATGGATACTTGGATAAATTCAGGCTTCCAATAGAAAGGAGCAGAAGCTGGGAAACACATGAAGTTTGAAAAAAAGAAAATCCTCAGCCAAAAAATCACAGGACAGATATGGTTATATGGAATTTTGGGTGAAGGAGGTAACTGCTTTTCCATTTATTTACAAAACAAATCTTAAAACCTTCAAAAAAAAAAAATAAAACCTACTTCCTATAGAAAATGTGCTTGAAAAATCAAAATAATAGAGAGGCATGTGAAGAAAGGACCTACCCACTATTCCTCATTAATGAAACACACGTGGCTAGACAGGGAAGAGATGACTCCTGCCTTCAAGATGACATGGCTAGCACTGTGACCCTGAATGAAGCCAGCATACCTGTCCAGTGTAGCTGGTCATTGATACCTAAATCAAAGTGCTTGGTTGGTGATATGCAACATTGAGGATTAGGCTTCAGCTAAGATTTAAAGCTTTGAAATGTATTTTTTTTATAACCTGTGAACTTCCCATCAAAAAGGATTTGACAAACATGTAACAGTGTTTTTTGACAATCTTAAGCTCCAGGCCAGGCTACCTCTAATCACATTTTCCTAAAGAATCAGCACTTTTCTTCAGAATCAATTTAATTTTCTTCGGTTCACCAGCAGTGGTTTTTTGGTTTGTTAATTCATCTAATGCTAGATATTTTTTTTCTGTTTGTTTTTCTCTTTGCAGCATGTTCACAGAGTTTGGTGTTAATCCCCAAGGCTATAGCAGGTGGATTTATATCAATTTCTCTAATGAAACGATGGTGTGCATCAGAGAATATTATGCCTAGATCAGAAAAGATGGGAAAAGTTGCTATTTACGCTTTTTTTTTAAATTGTAAAAACACGAGTAAGGTAAATAGGAATGGGAAGAAGGGACATTTTAATGCCTTATGGGTAGCTGTATCATTAAACAACAGAAAGGCCTCCCTGCAGTAGAATTCTTTAAAATTACTACCTAAGGGATATGGTAGTTACAGTTCAAAGTGACTTTTTACAGAACTTATTTTTCCTAAACCTGTCAGCAACAAACTGGAAGGAAATACTTAAACTGCACTGTATGGTTCCACGCAGATCTATTTTCCTGACAATTTTTAAATGGAAATGGAGCCTATTCGTCCTCATGAATTTGCAGTTATATGCAAGTATAATAAGACAACATATGGAAAAGCAATGCAATGATTAAGGAAAGGATTTTGCAAAGCATGTTAACAGAGATCTGAGAGTCCTATCTATTAAATCTGTCATTCCCATTTTGAAAATGTGTGTGACTAGCCAGTTAATTATTTTACTTAATGTGAGAGTATTAAGTATTACACACCTCTTACTGTATGCAACAGATTCATCTTTGAAAAACAGAAAAGTTAAATTCTTTCCTAAGATATCAAACAGGTGGCAAATTTAGCCTTCTAGTGTAACAACCTTGGTGTAATGATGGAACCTAGAACCCATATCTTTCTAGAAAAAAATCCTTCCTGGATTTAAAGGAATTTGCCTTGTAGTAATAAAATTGGGAGATAGTAATAAACATGCAATTCAACCACCGAGAAACGATTCAGCTCTACAAAATAAACGGAATGTCTTCTTTATTAAGTGTCTGGACAGTTGTTGCATGTTGCTACCTGGTTCACACCATGCAGCCTCTTCACAAAACATTGTATCAATGCTCTACCATCAAGAGAAATGGCCATCATGGCATGGCCATTTTGCAGATGAGAAAATTAAGGCTGGTGGAAAGAAAATAAGTTACTGGAAGTCACATGAGTAACATGGATGTCTGGCTCCAAAACTGATGCTTTTACATCACCAGGATTTAAGCATGGAACTATATTAGTAAGAATATACAGGGCCAATGCAGCAAAAGGCATAGACATGTCTGTGTGTCCGACAAAAACCAGGAAGGAAACATTCGTCCCACGTATGGATAGATTGAAAAGGTCATTGTATCAATGCTCTACCATCAAGAGAAATGGCCATCGTGGCTATTTTGCAGATGAGAAAATTAAGGCTGGTGGAAAGAAAATAACTTACTGGAAGTCACATGACTAAAATGGATGTCTGACTCCAGCACTGATGCTTTTACACCACCAGGATTTAAGCATGGAACTATACTAGTAAGAATATACAGTGCCAATGCAGCAAAAGACATAGACATATCTGTGTGTCCGACAAAGAGCAGGAAGGAAACATTCGTCCCACGCATGGATGGACTGAAAAGGTCTGCCTCGGCCGGGTGCAGTGGCTCACGCCTGTAATCCCAGCACTTTGGGAGGCCGAGGCGGGTGGATCACGAGGTCAGGAGATCGAGACCACCCTGGCTAACACGGTGAAACCCCGTCTCTACTAAAAATACAAAAAAATTAGCTGGGCGTGGTGGCGGGCGCCTGTAGTCCCAGCTAGTCGGGGGAGGCTGAAGCAGGAGAATGGCGTGAACCTGGGAGGTGGAGCTTGCAGTGAGCTGAGATCGCGCCACTGCACTCCAGCCTGGGCGAAAGAGTGAGACTCCGTCTCAAAAAAAAAAAAGAAAAGATCTGCCTCATGCCATGGTCCTGAGGCGTGAGGACCACATTTATCTTCAAAATGGAGGATGGCAAAGCAGAGCTGGGGCATGACTAAGTGATGGACATGGAATATTAGAAGCTTTCTGAATAACGAGAGAAAATAAGTGAGGCTCTCAAGACGAAAAACCTATGTTTCTGTCACCCCTGATCACAGTAACTTTGGGAAGTTTCTATTTTGGTATCAGCCTCTTCTTATCTGTGAAATAATGTCACAATGACCCCATCTACTTAATAGAATTCTTGACTTTTTGTTAGGAAGATCAGTGATAATATGTTTTAAAACAGCCTATGAATTTTCCATCATATAATGGAATTCTCTCTATAACATCTCCACTGGGAAATTGTCTAGCTTTCATTTATCTTCTCTGGGGACAGGAAATAATGCATTACCTCTTAGGGAAACCCATGCTTTTCTATATAAATAGACATAATAGATAAATATGTGGGTAAAGTATGGTTATGAATATAGATGATAGAGAAAAAGATAATAAAGCTATAAATGTTATGTATACAGAGATAGATGACAGGTAGGTAGGTAGGTAGGTAGGTAGATAGATAGATTTGTATAAATAATGTCTAGTGGGTGGCTCGCTTTCATTTTATTATTCATTTAAGTCATTATTGGTACTCCTCTTTCGCATGTCCTTATATCCAACCCAATACCAAGTCCTGTTGATTTTACCTGAAAAAAGATGGATTTATGTATTTTTCAAATCTATCCCTTTCTTCCTGTATCCACTGCCCCTATTGTACTCCAAACTATTCTTTTTTCTAGTGTAAACCATTACAAATGTTTCAACTACTCTTAATCTCTCTCCACACTATTTTCTATACTGTAGATGGTAATCTTTTATAACTTCATTTTTGATGATGTCCTTATCTCATACTTAAAACATATCTATGACTTTCTTTGGCTCTTAGATGAGACACCAGAATACTTCACATGGCAAACAAAACCTAGCCTACGTGGTCTAACCCCTGCCTACATTTCCAGTCTCTTCTAGTATCATCTTTTTCTAGCCCTTCCTAGCTATGAGACAACTGGAAAGTATAGTTTTTCTTGCTTAAAAAGGGTTAGGAAATTCACAGTAGTCTCCTGCACAGTGTCCCATAGAATGTCTCTTTCTTGGGTTTAAATAACTCTTGGTTCTACTAATTATTATTATTCTGTAGCTACTCTGCACATTCTTCTCCAGATACTCTTGGGTTGATTAGTATCCTCAGAGATGATGGTTTATCTTCTTTTCAGCATTAAATTGTCTATCAGTCTCAGTTTTGGACCCAAACTTAATCTGTAGTCCCAGAACTGAAAATGGTGTTCCAGGTATGGATTGACAAAGAAGAGAGTTGAACTAGACTTTAGCAGATCATTTTCAGCACCCTATTTTGATTAACCCCAGCCAACTCTCTGTGACTCTTTTTGGAAAGGTGCACTGCATTATTGACTCCCAATTCCTAAGTTTCTCTCTGTCCTTTTCACAGCCTGGTCCTCAGCTACATATTCATGGTGATTGTTCTTGTACAGTGAGGATTTTGAGCCTGAGAGTTAAATTTGGCATTTCTCTCTAAAATATCATCTCACTGGACACAGTCCATCATCATTGTAGCCTGTTGAAATATTTTAGGATCTTGGATCTGTGATAGAGCATTTTTATTATAACTCTCAGTTCTGTATCATGTATAACTGAGATTCGCATGCCATCAATTTCCTCACTCAGCTTATTAACTGACATTTGGAACAGGAAAGGACAATACCTTCTGCGGAATACCAAGGGTTCTGGGACAATGTGCATGTTACATCTTCTTCCAACCTCATGAGCTTCTCTTTTTTAAATCTCCTTTCTTTGTTTCTTCTTATCTACACATCCCACAAACACTGGACTGCTCTGAACAGTCCAGATTTTCTGCCTGTTTCGAGTCCTTGGGTGATCTCATCCTTCCTTGTGGCTTTAAATATCATCTATTTATTGATAATTCAGAAATGTGATCACATTACTCACAGTCACTTTAAGGACATAAGTGATGAGACCCTCTGAAGGAAGCGGACTGCTCCTGCAGGATCAGGAGACACCCCGAATACTGTGGGTGCCCCAACTGTGAAAGTGGGAAAGGGAGACCCTCCTCTCCCAAACACACACCCCCACTGGAGAAGCTGAAGGTCTGTTTGTGGAAGAAGTTTCTAACTTTACCTGGGGCTGAGTCAAGTTAGAGAGCCAAGCGAAATACAGGGGTAGAGGAAGCAGCAGAAAGGCCCTGGGAGCTCGCTGGGTCCCCAAGCAGCCCATTCCTGCCTGGCACCACAAGGATCTATGGGGAGGGTGGCCAGAGGAGCAGGGGGTAAAACTCCACATGGAGAAGGAATTCTTTAGCTGAACTTTGTAACAATTTGAATGGGGCGAGAAGCCTCCTGGCCAGAACTCGGGAGAGGGCTTGCAGACTTCACAGGCGGGGAAGAACCAAGACCTTTTTTTCCGCAGCTGGAAGGCAGGTAGCCCAGGGCAAGTTTTCAAGCCATCTCACCCTCCGCCTGGAGACAGACTGTTGCGGAGGGCACAATGGGAGTGAAACCAGCCCTTCAGTTGGTGTGGGAGCTGGCTGAGGCCTGTGACTGCCAGCTTTCCCCCACTTTCCTGACAACCTACGTGACTCAGCAGAGGCAGCCATAATCCTCTTAGGTACACAACTCCAATAATTGGGAATCTCACCTCCATCCCCCATAGCAGCAGCAGCAGCAGCAGCAAGACCCACCCAAGGAGAGTCTGAGCTCAGACATGCCTAGCCCTGCCCCCACCTAATGGTCCTTCCCTATCCACCCTGGTAATGGAACACAAAGAGCATACAACCTTGGGAGATCTAGGGTCCCGCCCACTGCTGGTCCCTCTCCACACTACTACAACTGGGAAGTGCCACCAGCACAAACATAGAGCATTAAACAGCCAAAGCTAAAGATCCTCATGGAATCCATTGCACACCCCTGCCACCTCCACTGGAACAGCCACTGTTATCCATGGATGAGAGACCCATAGATGGATCACATCACAGGACTCTATGCAGACCACCCCCAGTACCAGCCCGGAGCCAGGTAGACTCACTGGGTGGCTAGACTCAGAAGAGAGACAATAATCACTGCAGTTTGGCTCACAGGAAGCCACATCCATAGGAAAAGGGGAAGAGTATTACATCAAGGGACTACCCCATGGGACAAAAGAATCTGAACAACAGCCTTCAGCCCTAGACCTTCCCTCTAACAGAGCTTACCCAAATGAGAAGGAACCAGAAAACCAACCCTGGTAATATGACAAAACAAGGCTCTTCAATACCCCTTCGAAAATCATGCTAGTTCACCAGCAATGGATCCAAACCAAGAAGAAATCTCTGATTTACCTGAAAAAGAGTTCAGGAGGTTAGTTATTAAGCTAATAAGGGAGGGACCAGAGAAAGGCAAAGCCCAATGCAAGGAAATCCAAACAATGATACAAGAAGTGAAGGGAGAAATATTCAAGGAATTAGATAACTGAAGAAAAAAACAAAAAAATTCAGGAAATTTGGACATATTTTTAGAAATGTGAAATGCCCTGGAAAGTCTCAGCAACAGAATTGAACAAGTAGAAGAAAGAAATTCAGAGCTTGAAGACAAGATCTTTGAATTAACCCAACCCAACAAAGACAAAGAAAAAATAATAAGAAAATATGAACAAAGCCTCCAAAAAGTCTGGGATTATATTAAATGACTAAACCTAAGAATAATCAGCTTTCCTGAGGAAGAAGAGAATTGTAAAAGCTTGGAAAACGTATTTGGGGGAAAATTGAGGAAAACTTCCCTGGCCTTGCTAGAGAGCTAGACGTTCCAATACGAGAAGCATAAAAAACACCTGGGAAATTCATGGCCAAAAGATCTTCACCTAGGCACACTGTCATCAGGTTATCTAAAGTCAAGATGAAGGAAAGAATCTTAAGAGCTGCGAGACAGAAGCACCAGGTAACCTATAAAGGAAATCCTATCGGATTAACAGCAGATTTCTCAGCAGAAACCCTATAAGCTAGAAGGGATTGGGGGCCTATCTTCAGCCTCCTCAAACAAAATAATTATCAGCCAAGAATTTTGTATCCAGGAAAACTAAGCACCATATATGAAGGAAAGATACAATCGTTTTCAGACAAACAAATGCTGAGAGACTTCGCCATTACCAAGCCACCACTACAAGAACTGCTAAAAGGAGCTCTAAATCTTGAAACAAATCCTGGAACCACATCAAAACAGAACCTCTTTAAAGCATAAATCACACAGGATTTATAAAACAAAACTACAAGTTAAAAAGCAAAAACAACAAAAAACCAAAGTACACAGGCAACAAAGAGCATGATGAATGCGAGGGTACCTCACATTTCAATGCTAACATTGAATATAAATGTCCTAAATGCTCCACTAAAAACCACAGAATACATAAGAACCCAGCCAACTATCTGCTGCCCTCAGGAGACTCACCTAACACATAAGGACTCACATAAACTTAAAGTAAAGGAGTGTCATACGAATGGACACCAAAAGCGAGCAAGAGTAGCTACTCTTATAACAGACAAAACAAACTTTAAAGCAGCAGCAGTTAAAAGAGACAAAGAGGGAAATTATATAATGGTAAAAGGCCTTGTCCAACAGGAAATCATCATAATCCTAAACATATATGCACCTAACACTGGAGCTCCCAAATTTATACAACAATTACTAATAGACCTAAGAAATGAGATAGACAGCAACACAATAATAGTGGGGGACTTTAGTACTCCACTGACAGCACTAGACAGATCATCAAGACAGAAAGTCAACAAAGAAACAATGGATTTAAACTATACCTTGGAACAAATGGACTTAACAGATATATACAGAACATCTCACCCAACAACCGCAGAAAACACGTTCTATTCAACAGCGCATGGAACTTTCTCCAAGATAGACATATCATAGGGCATAAAAATGAGCCTCAATAAATTTAAGAAAATTGAAATCATATCAAGGACTCTCTCAGACCACAGTGGAATAAAGCTGGAAATCAACTCCAAAAGAAACCTACTAAACCAGGCAAATACATGGAAATCAAATAACCTGCTCCTGAATGAGCATTGGGTCAAAAACAAAATCAAGATGGAAATTTAAAAATTCTTCAAACCGAATGACAATAATGGCACAACCAATCAAAACCTCTGGGATACAGCAAAGGCAGTGCTAAGAGGAGTGTTTGTAACCCTAAACGCCTACATCAAAAAGACTGAAAGAGCACAAACTGACATTTTAAGGTCACACCTTAAGGAGCAAGAGAAACAAGAACAAACCAAACCCAAACCCAGCAGAAGAAAGGAAATAACCAAGATCAGAGCAGAACTAAATAAAATTGAAAGAACAACAACAAAAATACAAAAGACAAATGAAACAAAAAGCTGGTTCTTTGAAAAGATAAATAAAGTTGATAGGCCATTAGCAAGATTAACCAAGAAGAGAAGCGAGAAAATCCAAATAACTTCACGAAGAAATGAAACAAGAGATATTACAACTGACACCACTGAAATACAAAAAATCATTCAAGGTTACTATGAACACCTTTACGCACATAAGCTAGAAAACCTAGAAAAGATGGGTAAATTCCTGGAAAATTACAACCCTCCTAGCCTAAATCAGGAAGAATTAGGTACCCTGAACAGACCAATAACAAGCAGCAAGACTGAAATGGTAATTTAAAAATTACCAACAAAAAAAGTCCAAGACCAGACACTTTCACAGCAGAATTCTACCAGACATTAAACGAATTGGTAGCAATCCTTTTGATCCTATTCCACAAGGTAGAGAAAGAGGGAACCCTCCCTAATTCATTCTATGTAGCCAGCATCACCCTAATACAAAAACCAGGAAAGGACATAACCAAAAAAGAAAACTACAGATTGATATCCTTGATGAAGATAGATGCTAAAATCCTTAACAAAATACTAGTTAACCGTATCCAAAAACATATCGAAAAGATAATCCTCCATGATCAAGTGGGTTTCATAGCAAGGATGCAGGGATGGTTTAACACATGTGAGTCAATAAATGTGATACACCACATAAACAGAATTAAAAACAAAAATCACATAATCATCTCAATAGATGCAGAAAAAGTATTCAACACAATTCAGCATCCCTTTATGATTAAAACTCTCAGCAAAATCAGCATACAAGGGACATACCTTAAAGTAATAAAAGCCATCTATGACAAACTCACAGCCAACATAATACTGAATGGGGAAAAGTTGAAAGCATTCCCTCTGAGAAGTGGAACAAGACAAGGATGCCCACTCTCACCACTCCTCTTCAACATAGTTCTGCAAATCCTGGCCAGAGCAATCAGACAAGAGAAAGAAATAAAGGGCATCCAACTGGTAAAAAGGAAGTCAAATTGTCATTGTTTGCTGACAATATGACCATTTACCTTAAAAACCCTAAGTACTCCTCCTGAAAGCTCCTAGAACTGATGAAAGAATTCAGCAAAATTTGTGGATACAAGATTAATGTACACACATCAGAAGCTCTTCTATACACCAACAGCAACCAAGTGGAGAATCAAATCAAGAACTCATCCCTTTTACAATAGCTGCAAAAATAAATAGATAGATAAATAAATAAATAAATAAATAACTTAGGAATATACTGAACCAAGAAGTCGAAAGACCTCTACAAGGAAAACTACAAAACACTGCTGAAATAAACCGTAGACAACACAAACAAATGGAAACACATCCCATGCTCATGGATGTGTAGAATCAATATTGTGAAAATGACCACACTGCCAAAAGCAATCTACAAATTCAATGCAATCTCCATCAAAATACCACCAGCATTCTTCACAGAATTAGAAAAAACAATTCTAAAATTCATATGGAATCAAGAAAGAGCCTGGATAGCCAAAGCAAGACTAAGCAAAAAGAACAAATCTGGAGGCATCACACTACCCTACCTGATTTCAAACTATACTGTAAGGCCATAGTCACCAAAACAGCATGGTACTGGTATAAAAATAGGCACACAGACCAATGGAACAGAATAGAGAACCCAGAAATAAACCCAAATACTTACAGCCAACTGATCTTCAACAAAGCAAACAAAAACATAAAGTGGGGAAAGGACACCCTTTTCAACAAATAGTGCTGAGATAATTGGCTAGCCACTTTTAGGAGAATGAAACGGATCCTCATCTCTCACCTTATAAAAAAGTCAACTCAGGATGGATTAAGGACTTAAACCTAAGACCTGAAACTACAGAAGTTCTAGAAGATAACATTGGAAAAACCCTTCTAGACATTGCCTTAGGCAAATATTTCATGACTAAGAATCCAAAAGCAGACATACCACAGAGGGGAGAAAACCTTCACAATCTATACATCTGACAAAGGACTGATATCCAGAATCTACAACAAACTCAAACAAATTAGTAAGAAAAAAAATCCCATTAAAAAGTGGGCTAAGGACATGAATAGACAATTCTCAAAAGAAGATATACAAATGGCCAGCAAACATATGAAAAAATGCCAACATCACTAATGATCAGGGAAATGCAAATCAAAACCACAATGTGATACCACCTTACTCTTCCAAGAATGACAATAATAAAAGAGTCATAAAACCGTACATGTTGGTGTGGATGCAGTGAACATAGAACACTTCTACACCGCTAATGGGAATGTAAACTAGTACAGCCACAATGGAACACAGTGTGGAGATTCCTTAAAGAACTAAAAGTAGAGCTACCATTTGTTCCAGCAATCCCACTACTGGGTATCTACCCAGAGGAAAAGAAGTCATTATTCGAAAAAGATGCTTGCATATGCATGTTTATAGTGGGACAATTCACAATTGCAAAATCGTGGAACCATCCCAAATGCCCATCAATCAACAAATGGATAAAGAAACTTATATATATATATATATACACACACACACACATATATATATATCATATACATATATGTGATGGAATACTACACAGCCATAAAAAGGAATGGATTAACAGCATTTTCAGTGACCTGGATGAGATTGGAGACTATTATTCTAAGTGAAGTAACTCAGGAATGGAAAGTCAAACATTGTATGTCCTCACTGATATGTGGGAGCTAAGCTATGAGGATGCAAAGGCATAAGGATGATCCAATGGACTTTGAGGATTATGGGAAGAGTAGGAGGACGGCAAGGGATAAAATACTACAAATATGGTGCAGTGTATACTGCTTGGGTGATGGGTGCACCAAAATCTCACAAATCGCCACCAAAGAACTAACTCATGTAACCAAATACCCCATGTACCCAAATTGCTTATGGAAAAATAAAATATAAAATAAAATGTATGTCTCTTGTCTGAAACTCTTCCTTGAACCCCAGGTTCAACAGTTCCTCTTGGCTCTCTAGTAAGCATTTCAAGCTAGTGTGTCCGGAATCAAACTCTTGATCTTCATGTTCCAAACATATTCCTGGAACCTTCCCCATCTCAGTCAATGATATCTCTCTGGTTGCTCAGGCCCACACTCTGGAATTTTTTGTTCTCAGACATGAATTCAGTCTCGGTTGATCCTAATAGTTCCACCTTTACAATATACCTCAAATCTGACTATTGCTCATGCAAATACCCTGGTCTAAGCCAACATCTGATGCTTCATCTATTTTATTTATTTTTCTGCTTATTGTCTGTTTGCTTGAACTAGAATGTATGTCCTTTGGGGATGGAGGGGGCAAGAATTTGTGTCTGTTTTGTTCACACATTTAGTTCAAGTACCGGCCATAGTGGCGGGCGCCTGTAGTCCCAGCTACTCAGGAGGCTGATGCAGGGAGAATGGAGTGAACCCGGGAGGCGGAGCTTGCAGTGAGCCGAGATTGTGCCACTGCACTCCAGCCTGGGCGAAAGCGTGAGACTCCGTCTCAAAAAACAAAAAACAAAACAAACAAACAAAAAAAACTATTCTAAAAAATTCTTAATATACAGCAGGTGTACAAAAATGTTTTCAGATGAATAAATACGTTAATGAATGAATGATAGATGTCCTCTCATTCAGATTCAGCTCACTTCCCATTGTCCACAGAGACAGCATATTTTATCACATGCCTGTCCAATATTCCAGATATAACATGCTTTCCATATTCTAAAACTTAATAAATCTTTTATTTTCCCTAAGTGTTTTTCCCCCTAAGGCTTCATTCTCTCAGCAAATTGTCCCTCACTCCATCCAGTTCCTGAAACAAGATAGGAGTTCTCCGTGGTGCTGATTTGTCTTATTCCCCAAAGCCAACTGTTAAACGCAGCTGTCTGCTTTGTCTCCACAGTACACCTTTGAATTTGACTATTTATCTTCATCTCCTCTGCTGTTTTCTAAGCTTAAGACATGTTCATCTCTTGCACTGTCTAAAAAGTCTCCTCGCCAGTCTTGCGACCCCACTCCACTACCTGGTCCATTCCCTCTATAGCAGCTAGGGTGATCTTTTCCAAAATACAAGTCACATAGCCTTTTTTTCTGCTGAAGACCATTGCACACAATTGCGTCCACACTTAGAATAAAATTCAAAGTGCTTACTGAGGCCCAAGGACCCCTTCATTTCCTGGTCCCCACAAGCCTGTTTGATCTCATCTCCTAAAACTGACTCCTTTGCTGGTGAGCCCTAGACGCTCTCTCCTTCGGTATTCCTGGAACAAGCCACATTTGTTCCTACTCTGGGTGTTTGTATCAGTGGTGGCCTGTGCCTTGAAGGGTTTTCTACCAGCATGCCTCACAGCCAGTCATCACTCAGGGTATCCTCTTTCTGCAAGCTTTCCTTAATGAGGTAATCAGTGTCGCCCCACCACCAACTTCTTCACAACATTGTATTTCCCGTCATGTGGCTTATATGCTTTTCATGCCTTTAATTACTTGAAATTACCCTCTTTATTTTTATGTTTACCTGTGAAGAGTTTCTTCTGCACTCGATTCTAATTTTTTTAAACACAGGGAGCTTGTCCACTGTTCTCAGTGCATTATTCACAACATCCAGAACATCAACTGGAACATTGTGGGCATTCAAAATATTTGTTGAATGAACACATGATGGTGCCTATAAAATCCAAGCAACCAATAACTGATTATTCATAGGTAATATGTCCTTACTGGAAGCATACCATGTGCTACTAATTTTCAGTTCTTTGCTAAAGTGCTCATGATACTTTTAACAACATATACCTGTGTCTATGCTGACTTCAGGTTTATTGATCCGCAGTTTTTTTGATCACTTTCTGTCCTGTTCCTTTTTTTTTTTTTTTTTTTTTTTTTTTTTTTTTTTTTTGAGACGGAGTCTCGCTCTGTCGCCCAGGCTGGAGTGCAGTGGCGCGATCTCGGCTCACTGCAAGCTCCGCCTCCCGGGTTCACGCCATTCTCCTGCCTCAGCCTCCCGAGTAGCTGGGACTACAGGCGCCCGCTACCACGCCCGGCTAATTTTTTGTATTTTTAGTAGAGACGGGGTTTCACCGTGTTAGCCAGGATGGTCTCGATCTCCTGACCTCGTGATCCGCCTGCCTCGGCCTGTTCCTTTTTGTTCAATGAGAATTATCCTAGGACCTTTCTTTCTCCCTCCAGTTCCTCGCATGTTCAATAAGCACAACTACAAATTCCATCTGTCTGTTCGGGACAACGATGCATGCAAGCCCGGAGGCTGGAGCTCACTTTAAAAGGCTTGGTTGAGGTGTGCAGAGTGCTCATTAAATTGGGGTCCAATTCCTTCCTAATCAATATTGCTTCTAATCTGATGACTCTGACAAATTAAATGGGAATGAGGAGTTGGATGGTTTATACCATGTTCTTCAAGCCTTCCTTTTACCGGATGTACTGAGTTTCTTCTCTTTGCTTACCAAGGCCCATTCTCCACCCTCTCTTGCACAATCTTTGTTAAAGCATTTCAGTGCCTTCTGGCTTCCACCTGGGTTCAGCCAAAGAAAAGTCTCTGGAAGCCCCAGCAGGAGCTCAGAGGGAGGGAGGAGAGTGAGGTCACAGTACTTTCCTTTCCGGTTCTCTCTCTGCAAGGTCCCCTTGGGCTGGGCCTGTCCCACAACTGAACAGCAAATTATTTGTCTTTCCTCCCTCTCAGGCCAAGGATTGGTAACAGCTTAGCTGCTGCCAGCTCCAGGTTACTGAAGCATGTCTGTGGTTCATCTCTATCCCCTGTTCCTGAATAAATCCTCCTCACAATGCCCTTCTGTTTTCTGGGGAGGCCCTGACCGGTTCCCTGGCATCCTACCTCCTGACCTGGTTCCTGCCACCTCCCACCCACCCTCCTTGCCCTCACAGCCACCACTAGCCTGTAGAGTCCTTTGGCTTTTCTTTCTGTAGCAATCACGCACAGTTGTGAATCAGAACTTGAGTCTTACTCCTTGGCCAGCCCTCATCTAGATTTTCCTTCTCGGCCAGCCCTCATCTAGATTTTCCTCCTCGGCCAGCCCTCATCTAGATTTTCTGGCTGTAGCACTTTTTTTTTGGGAAATGCTTAGGAGTCTGGCTTCCTTTTCTGACCATGCTTTGTGACAAATGACTTTTCCACACCGGGCCCTTCCAGCTCAGTCGGGTGTCTTGTGGAAACGCTCCAGCTGCAGAGGACGACTCTACCATGGCTTTTGTATCTATTTTCTTATAGTTTTTTTTTAAATGTAGCTTTGCTTTTTTCCCTCAGGATTCCTCGATTTTCCGGCCTGACCACCCACACTTATTCAACTTCAATGAGTTTGAAACGCACCATGCTTCTCTTCCCAATGAGAGCTTTATTGAACACATCTAAATTTTTCTATCTATACGACACCTTGCTCTCCTAATGTTTGCAGGCTGGTTAGTGAACACCAGCAACAATGGAAAAGAAGATCCCATTTCACAGACCCAGCATAAAGTGCAACTCTCCTCTGAGTGATCCGGGTGGGGTTCTGGTGAGATGGGACTGTAGGCTGGATAACTGTCTACATAGGATCTTTAAAAGCAATCACAATCCTACAATACCTTTATTCCTAAGGATTTTACCCACTCCCTTGTGTATTATTATAAAAGAGAAAGGGCCAACATATATTCAAGGGACAAATCTGAGGGGACTGTAGAGACAAAAGCTATTTAGATAATTTGGTGCCTAAGTAGTGATAAAGTAATTATTGAACTAGTAATTAGATAGATAATTGGACTATGCCTTCCCTTTGCATTTAACAACAACAACAAAGATGCCACCAACAACTAAAGAAAGAACATGAAAAATCAACTAAACTTACAAAAAGAACCAGAGGGAATATATTAATATAATACAGGACCTAAGAAGAGTTACCTATTTAAAGAAGTTATTCACAGTGTGTTTTGCTATCAAGAACCAAACTACATAAGTGACCTTTGAATGTGTTTGTTCAAGAGGTTACAAAAGTAAGATAAAGAGAGGGAGGGTAGAGTTCTCTTTACATGAGTGGGCAAACTGAGGCTGTGAAGAGTACCCTATGGATTATGAAGACCAAGGGTGTTTGGCGTTTTGCTCACATGAGCAGCTTACCCTAAGGTACCCTTCTTTGCAAATTTAGACTAAAAGCTATAGTTACTTGCTCCTCTTCCAGTCATTTAACATCCAAAATGGTAAGTTGATCAATATCCATCTGCAGCTACTATTTACCTCTTCCAGGCAGATAAAGACATCTTACCTAGGACATTTTTATTCCATCAAATATTCTCTATAAGTGTATATCTAAGAATAGCCCCAAAATTGGCTGAATTATGTTGGCTCCTTCTTTTCCCAAACTCCAGTTAATAAATCCATTTACCATCTCAGTGGTATGTGCTATTTATTGTGTTTTAGTATTCATTTAAGAATTAAGAGGTGTTCTGCTCTTTCTGAAGGATCATTTTATTTTGCCTCTATATTCAATTTATGATTTCTAAACAAGGCAATGGGTCATCGAGTATTTTGAAGGCAAGTGATAGGAAGTAAGCCCTGCTTGTTTATTGAAACGTTGGCCAAAGTAGTTTCTGTGGCAGAGAAATGGAAGGGAATTAATTAATGAATTGCCCTTTCATGGATGCTTTGCAAGTTATGTACACGACGTACCATAAATGCAAATTAGATTCCTTTCACATCAAAAAATCCTTTGTAGAGTTTTCTTTATTCACCCATGCAGATACTTTATGGATGTTTACGTATCATGCCTAGAATGTAGGGTAAAGAAAACATGGTTCCCACTCCCATGGAGTGAGCAGTAAGGATGTAGGAGACAGAGAAGGAACAAGTAAATGAATAAGTCAGTAAAAATTGCAGGTATCAAACAGCATGCTTTAACATATAACAATATTGTGATCGAGAATTAAAGATTAGGTAAAGAGGAATCCTTCATTTGGAAGATCAGATAGGGTCAGCCTATAAACTGAGGCTTGAAGAACTAAAGAGGTGTCAGGCAAGGTGCAAAGGATATGGATGTTGCAGATAGAGGGAATTTTACCTTGGAAGCTCGAAGGAGAGAAAGAACTGGAAGTAACCAGTGTGGCCAGAATGCAATGAGTTCGAGAGAAATGTCTCAAGATAAGTTTGGAGATGGTGTCTAGACTTTATTCCTAGTGTAATAGTTAGGATGTGGGGGATATCAAGAGAAAATAAGAAAATCATACATTTTATGCTTTTAAAAATCATTTGTGAGCAGAGACTGCATTGAAAGAAAGCAGGATGGAAGCAGCAAGACCACTTGCAAAGACTGTGGCAGAGTCCAGCTAAGAAGCCAGTTGTGGCTTGGACTGTCTTGGTGCAGAGAGAAGAGGGCAGATTCGAATGATCTGCAGTTACAGCAACAAGGAAGTGATCAGGAGACTTGTTCCTCCAGGGTTATGTGAGTGTTGAGGGAAAGAAGAGAATGTCTGAGGAAGCCTCTGTGTCTGATTTCAAGCAGACAGCTGTATGGAGGACCTGTGTATGGGACAGGAGAAGAGAGGGATGAGATGGTTTTAAGGGGGAAATCAAGCATTTTGTTTTGGATATGTACATTTTGAGAAACCTAGGAAATAGAAGGGCTAAGGTTTTAAACTCCATTTAAATCATATGTTCACTGCCTGAAAAGAAATCTCCAGGTTTGAATTAGCAAATAAGCATGAGGCAGAGGGTTCAGCTGTGGTATTTTCAGTGATGTTGAAAAAATAGTAACAATAATAATGACAGGTGATAATAAGATACTGATTTCCCACTTTCCGTTGGGTTCAATAGGTGTTTCCCAGTCACTGTCACTTGGTTGGATTATACTCTTTTCATAGGGTGCTCGAGTTTCTCTCTAAATCTCCTAGAAACTCTTTAAAATCCTTCTGCATTAACATATGCACCCATTTTGGAACTAGTAGCACTAAGTTTAAAACAAATTTGAATAGTACCTCTAAGAATGTCATGACTTACATTTGGGATTGCTAAATTTGCTTAGACAAAAAAAAAAAAATCAGTCTATTGTCCTATGTTACTTCTTTATGTCAAATCTTAAAATATTTGAGGCAGTTTGAGTTAAAGGTTCATCAAATCTCCAAAAACTCCACAATCTCCAGACCTACCCGTCGCTCACTAGCGGATTCCTAGAACTGCTCATGTTCCCGCTTTTCCTTGGCCAGTCGGGCGCTCACTTCCAGGTCTGCAGACTGTCTTTAGTGCCCTAACCTGGTCCTGGAGTTCTCATTGTTGTCTAGATTTGCTCTGCCCTGTGATTTCCTAAGTCAGCATTTCCTAAATGGATGAGACATAGAACACTGGTGCTTTGAATATTATTGACTTTGTATTTAAAAAAATGCTCTGCCAAGAATGCGAAATACTGGGTTAACCAAAGTCAGCAGACTTCTCTGCTGTAGGACCACTCAGAACCATAAATAATGATCATTTGCCACATAGGAGGAATTAAAATATTGTGTTGCACAGGGTTCTTTATCATAAAATCCTATTTGCCAGTGGAATTCCTAGTTTCCCAAGCCACAACAATCAACATCTGTATTGTGCCACGGAATGCATTCTGGGAGAACATATTTGAACTATGGATAATAATACCAATTCCTTTGTTAATATGTTTTGGAAGGAGGTGAAATGTAAGTAGATAGATTAAAATGTTAATTTGGGTAAATTATGGAAGGCATGTTATGCTGAAGCTTGTCTTCAGACCTCTTTTTAGCTATCCAACTTATCTACTGCATAAGCCAGAAGAAGTTACTTGATTTCTTTTGAATTTCTTCATCTACAAATGAGATAATATTATCAAACTTTCTTAATTTTGCATGGATGTTGTGAAAATAGACATAACTACAACACTTAGATGTACTTTTTAGCTTTTGGTAACCGAGGTGTTATATAAACCCGGGCCTTGTTTATAGTGTGGTTATAATAAGCATTGTAACTTTTCCACTGGGGAGCCCTGAGACAACATTGTCAGAGAAAAAGAAGTGGCTCAACAGAACCACTTCTCTGAGTTAAACCCGTTCCCTGACAGCTGGCTGGTGGGTGAGTTGCTGAGCTCTGAGATTTGAAGTGGCATTTACAGAAGACCTTATTTTGAGAAGGCACCACGGGGAAATTATAACAAGTGTTATTTAACAGTTCTAATTATGATTTTTTTCTCTCTCTGCTTTGTATCTACAATTTGATCCAAATTAATATTTATTTATACTAATAATAGCAAACCCAGATGGATTCTTACTATGCACCCAGCACTGCTCACAAAGACCTTGCGTGGACCGGACCTTGTAATGTCCATGACACCCTGTGAGAGACGCAGTGCTATTATCCGCATCTTAATGATGCAAAACTGAGGTTCAGAGAGATTAAGAAACCTGATCAAAATCCTAACCTGGGCAGTCAAGCTCCAGAGCTCAGATTCATAGCATGTAGCCTTTCATCAACATTGCAATACATTGCTTGAGCTATTTGTTGCTGGGCATATATTTTTTTAAGTATACCATACATTTGGATGGCTTTATAACAGGCCACTTCTTTTTCTAATTTCATGTGGGGTTTTTGGGGGGCATACATCTATACTCAATTCCTTTACCTTTGCATTGTAACTAATACATAATTTGATGTCTTGCTATTTGCAGGTGGCATGAGGTCCTTTGCCAAGCCTCAGGACAGGCAGTGGCACTTAGACTCCCTGAAACTCAATCAAGCTTCCATTTCCTAAATATCAGATGTGTATACAGGAGAGTGTTGAATTTGTTGAACCAGTAATACAGCAATATTCTTTAGGCTTGAGCAATTTCTTTCTCCAGCTTTCTGGAGTGCATTTGAAGTTTGTGTTCATTTGTCTCTGATTATTTTTCAATTCAACCAATATTTAGGGGGCTGCTAATGTAAACTGGCATTGTGCTTGTTATTGGGGATATAGTGATGAATCAGGCTGGTAAAGTCCCTGCTCTCAGTTAAACTTCTTTCTTGGGATGTACTGGCATTCCCCAAGTAATAATAAAATAAGAACAGTCTAGTTAGTGGAAAGTGTATAATGGATATATGGTTTTGTAGATATTGTAGTTGGCAAAGGTTTCATTGAGGGCCAAGAAAGAGCTTGGCCAGGCGCAGTGGCTCATGCCTGTAATTCCAGCACTTTGGGAGGCCAAGGTGGGCAGATCACTTGAGGGCAAGAGTTCAAGACCAGCCCGGTCAACATGGCAAAACCCTGTCTCTACTAAAAACACAAAAATTAGCTGGGCATAGTGGCGCACGCCTATAATCCCAGCTACTTGAGAGGCTGAGGCATGACAATCACTTGAACCTGGGAAGCGGAGATTTCAGTGAGCTGAGATTGCGACACTGCATTCCAGCCTGACAGAGCAAGACCCTATCAAAAAAAAAAAAAAAAAAAAAAAAAGATCCAAGTATGTTTGGTATTTAGGGGTGTGGCAGGGGAACTTTTGCAAGATGCCGCCGTATAAATGGGAAAGAGCTAGGAGGATATGGGATTGTTCAGGCTGTGACCTGGACTTTGCATGGTGACACCAGGATATGGGATTGTTCAGGCCATGATGTGGACTTTGCATGGTATTGTAGGATATGGGATTGTTCAGGCCATGACCTGGTCTTTGCACGGTATTGGAGGATATGTAATTGTTCAGGCCATGACTTGGCCTTTGCATGGTATTGTAGGATATGGGATCGTTCAAGCCATGACCTGGCCTTTGCATGGTATTGTAGGATATGGGATTGTTCAGGCCATGACCTGGTCTTTGCACGGTATCGGAGGATATGGGATCGCTCAGGCCATGACCTGGTCTTTGCATGGTGTTGCAAGTGTAGAGTTGTCAGGCAAGGAGCTGACATTTTGAAAGATCACACCAGCCACTGTGTGGTGTCAATGACTCTGCTTACAGACTGCGATGGTTGAAATTTGGCAACTGGATTGGGCTCACGGATAGCCAGATAGTCGGTAAGACATTATTGCTGGGTATGAGTATGAGGGTGTTTCTTCCTTAGAAGAGACTAGAATTTAAATCAGTATACCAAGTAAAGATCCACCCTCTGCAGTGTGGGCTGGCACCATCTAAGCCATCGAGGGCGCAAGCAGAACACAAAGGTGGAGGCAGGGTGAATTTCCCCTCTGTCTTCTTGAGCTGGGACTTCCATCGTCTCCTGCCCTCAGGCATTGGAGCTCCTGGTTCTCAGGTCTGTAGACACAGAGATTTATGCTCAACCCGCCCCCTCAACCCACCCACCCACAGTTCTCAGGATTTCTGCTTCCAAATCACATCACCAGCTTTCCTGGGTCCCCAGCTTGCCAATGGTAGATCATGGGACTTCTCAGCCTCCATAATCATATGAGCCAATTTCCATAACAAATCTTCTCGTACACATCTGTGTATATCCTGTTGGCTCTGCTTCTCAGGAGAACCCTGACTAATACGGAGGCTCTGCAGAGTCCCGGCGAGTGATGATGGTGGAGGCTCTGCAGAGTCCCGGCGAGTGATGATGGTGGAGGCTCTGCAGAGTCCCGGCGAGTGATGATGGTGGAGGCTCTGCAGAGTCCCGGCGAGTGATGATGGTGGAGGCTCTGCAGAGTCCCGGCGAGTGATGATGGTGGAGGCTCTGCAGAGTCCCGGCGAGTGATGATGGTGGAGGCTCTGCAGAGTCCCGGCGAGTGATGATGGTGGAGGCTCTGCAGAGTCCCGGCGAGTGATGATGGTGGAGGCTCTGCAGAGTCCCGGCGAGTGATGATGGTGGAGGCTCTGCAGAGTCCCGGCGAGTGATGATGGTGGAGGCTCTGCAGAGTCCCGGCGAGTGATGATGGTGGAGGCTCTGCAGAGTCCCGGCGAGTGATGATGGTGGAGGCTCTGCAGAGTCCCGGCGAGTGATGATGGTGGAGGCTCTGCAGAGTCCCGGCGAGTGATGATGGTGGAGGCTGCAAGGGACACCCTGATGGTGAAAACTGGGTGGCACCGGTTGATGTGTTGGCTATGGAGCCATCAATGCTTGCTGATGGATTGAACACATGTGGGGAGGTGGAATTAAGGACCCGTGCTTGTAAGTGGAGTAGAAGACATTGGTTTCTACTCCTTGGTTCTTCTGCCTTTGGAGCAGACATGGGATTGAGAGCCTTACAGCAAGGAAAACGAGACTAGAAATGCACAGCTGGCAGTGGGTTGTCTTTGGGATCCAGGCCTCTGTCCCTTGCTTTATATCCACAACTTTCCTTTGGTCTCACATGGGTGGAGGCTTTCCTTCTCCCAATGACTTTGAGCTCGAGCTTCGCTGTGTGCATTGCTTTGGCCAAGGGGCTGTTGGTGGATGTAAAAGGAGGTGACACTGAACACGTGCTTATGGGGTTAGGTTTTCCCTCTGGTGCTTCTGCCATGATTATGAGAAAAATACGCTCCAGTGGCCTGCTGGTCCTGGAGAAAAAGGAAGCATCTGGAATGGGCCTGAGCCCAACCCAAAAGCTGGAACTAAGGCCCACTGCCTTCTAAGCCCAGCTGACCCACAGACTCCAGCCTGCAGTACAGCATCAGCAGCTGGCCCACAGATCAGGGCTGGAAGGAAGGTGAGCTTCGTGTTGTGTGCCAGGGGCTGCCTAATGGAGAGCCCTCGGAGACATATCCTGGCCTTGCCATAGAAAAGGTGGCAGAGGCCGGGCGTGGTGGCTCACGCCTGTAATCCCAGAACTTTGGGAGGCCGAGGCGGCTGGATCTCTTGAGGTCAGGAGTTCAAGACCAGCCTGGCCAACATGGTGAAACCCCATCTCTACGAAAACTACAAAAATTAGCCGGGTATGGTGGTGCACACCTATAATCCCAGCTACTCAGGAGGCTGAGGCAGGAGAATCGCTTGAACCTGGGAGGCAGAGGTTGCAGTGAGCCGAGATCATGCCATTGCACGCCAGCCTGGCAAGAGAGCAAGACTTCGTCAAAAAATAAAATAAAAAAATAAAGTGGCAGACAAGCCTGGTGGATGTGGATAGACCTTGTTCTTGCTTCTCAAGATTTTGAGCCCAGAAAACCACTGGGATTCACAGTAGCTGTAGTTTATGTCCTTTAGATAGAAGCTGTAGACAATACGTTTTTTTTTTTAAAGAAAAGATCTATTGGTGCTATTATAGTCTTTTCCAATGTACGTGCCTAAAATATTATGTTCCCTTCAGCGTCATCACCACCTGAGACAATAGAATATGGTGCTTAAGAGTCAGAGCCTTGAAATCAGAGTAGGCTGATGGTGAATCCTGTGTCTGTTCTGGTGTTGGGCGTTTCATTTAATCACCCTAAACCTCAGTTTCCTCATTTGTAAGTGGAGACAATGACCCCCACCCACCAGACTTGGGGAGGAGGGTGGCTTTAATTAAATAATGCATAAAATCACCTAGAACAGTGCCCAAGACAAAGTGGGTACTCAATAAATGTTAGCTTTTGCGCTCATGGTTGCAGCTGTGATTGCTGCTGTGACTGTCTTTATGGATGAAACTGAAGGCCTCATATTCTTGCCTACATGTGTGTGAGTTCCCAATTTGGAAAATTGGAGTAATGTCTGTGCTTTTGAAGCAGGTCGCATGAGGAAGTAATTAGCATGGACATTTAAAGTTCCTAGGTGAGCCTCTTTTTTTTTTAAGCATTGCTAATGGCATCTTGGTTCAACATTTACTGAGCAAATGTTAGGAAACACAGGGAGAGAAGGAGGTGAGAGGATGCAGCTTTGAGCCCCCATAGCTCATAAGGTGTGTGCTGTATACAAACTCCTGAAGGGGGATTCAGACATTTATAATATAGGGACTAGATAAGACCAAATCTTGGAAGAAGTCGAGCATTAACAAGAAGCTTAAATAAACAGGACAGCACAACCAGGAAGTTTTTTCAATGGGAGAGTCCTTTCTGGAAGGGGAGAGTTCCTTGCTTTCCAGCTTCTGCTCTCGGGACAGTGATAGACTAAATAGCAACCCCTCAAAGTGTTTGCATCCTAAACCCTTGGAACGTGTAAGTGTTGACTTACATGGCAGCAGGGTATTTGGAGTCGTGGCTAGAGATGTGAGGTGAGGAGATGATTCTCGATCATTTGTATGTATGTAACCACAGGAGTCCTTGTATAAGAGGGAGACAGGAGTGGGGTAACTACAGTAGGGAGTGTGAGGATAAAGGAAAGGTTGAAGTGAAGCACCAGATTGGAGGAATGAAATGAACGGGTCACGAGCTATGAGATTCAGGCAACCTCTGGGTACATTTGACACAATATTTCTAACAGCAACTATCATTGATGTAATTATTCGTTTCTGTATTACATTTTCCTAGTTTTTCTGTAGGTATAGCTTCAAAGTGTTTATGTTTTAAAGCATCCACTGCAAATGTTAATGTCCAAAGCAAGTCTTTAGAAATGTCAAAATGCCAGTATCTCTTTGTTAATAAATATTCAGCATTGACAGGAAAAAGAAAAAAAGACAAGGGAAGAGATTCTCCCCTGAAGTCTCCAGAAGGAACACAGTCTTTCCAACACACCGTTTTATACTGCTACCCTCCCAAAACGAAAAATAGTAATTTGTTGTTTCAAGCCACTAAGTTTGTGGCAACATGTTACAGCATCCATAGCAAAAACCTTAACAGGTGCATTGCACGTGTGTGGACTCCTAAGTTAGGTGGGTGCTCAGTGATATTCATCGTCACATTTCTTCATCCCAAGTCCTGGCCACGGAGCAGTCATCGAATGTCTTTTTATCTCAATAGATTGATGACGTTCCCATTTGTATGGCTCTCAGAACCCTCTCCTCTTATAGGGTTCCTATGTGGCAACTTGCCTTGCTTTGCAGGTTAATCACTTCTCTGAGTGTTGGTCGGCCTTGAGAGTATTGGATTCAGACCACACACTCCTGCATCTTAATTAAGTAGCTGGCTCAAGTATTCTCCATCTCCTCTACGATGACTTGGTTCCCCAGTACATTTTGAATGGCACATTAGAACAGCCACCATTCCAAGAATCTCCTTTGTGCCCAAACTCCAAATATGCGGAGACTCACAAAAGAAAAGGTGTGAGGTTTATTTCTTCACTTTTTCGCCTTTAAAAGAAATCAACCTTTTAAGCACCAAAGATATATTTATGGCTTTGAATAATATCAGATTTCAAAAGCACAAGGGAAGTCCTTGAGGTCTGAAGTTTGCCTATGAAAATGATTAAGCGTAATTGGAAAGGATTCAGTCCAGCATGGTTCATTGAAGAGACCTGTTTAACTTTACGGCACAAAAGGTTCATAGAAATATTAGCTTCCTCTTTTTTAGCACCACCATGAGAACGCCCTGAAGGACGTCTGAAATGGTGTAATTGTCATTTCCCTTTTTTCTCAGCAGTAAATTAAATCTAATACCAATAAAGCAGTGAAAATTATATTTCATTGTTAATAGTCTCTACATGTTCCAAGAGCTAAAAAAAAAAAAAAAAACCTGATTGTTCAATGTGTCCAGTTTGATGAGAGGTGGGGTGGGGCTCTCCCATGAATTGTCACATACAAAACATTCTCTGGGCTTTCTTAGCTATCTGTAAATGAGTCTTTAAGTTGTTTAGTAACCCATATGTGCTTTGGAGAAAATCAATTAAATGAAAAACAGTTGAAATTTTTTCTTGCAATTGGCAAAAAAAAAAAAAAAAAAGTTCAACTATGTGAAACAGAAAAGAGACATTTATTGACTTCCATAAAAAAGTCTGCATATGGATTTCAGGTATGGCTTGATCCAGGAGCTCCAACAGTATCATCAGCACCAGTTTTGCTCTTCTCACATTTTAGCTCTGGATTTCCCTGTATGGTTGCCTTGGCCACACACAGGCTGACCCCAGCACCTCCAGGTTCCTACCATTCTTTCCATTCACAGTCCTTGCAGAAAACAAAATAACCTATCTCCCGAGAATTCCAGCCAACATCTCATGGCTCTGGTTGACTAAATCAGATGTCATATCTGAACCACTTTGGCTCTGATGAGCCATACCTGAGTCACAGATCGACCTTGGGAACTTCCTTCTGAAGCGCTTGGCCTGAGAGTGCAGTGAAGTCGGTTTTATGAAGGAAAGTTGAGGTTCTGACATCAAAGTTCTTAATAGAACAAGTGTTTTGAATGGCAAAAGCCCTTGCCAGTGACCGTGTCTTTTAAGTCTCGTGCTAAGAGGAGGTTTATCGTCAGCACATTTAATAATGAGTGCTCATAAAGAAGAGCCTTTGACGGGGCCATCTTGTTCAGTGCCTGTCACTAAGCCACCAAATGGCCATTCTCCTTCTTTGGCTCTCTATAGATGGGCCTGGAGGACATCACATTAAGTGAAATAAGCCAGACACAGAAAGACAAATACCGCAGGATTTCACTCATATGTGAAATCTAAAATTAAGATAAAAAGAGTTGTATTACAGAAGCAGAAAGTAGAACCGTTGGTTACCAGAAATAGGGGAGCCAGACAGAAAGATTGTGGGGTGGATGGGGAGAGGCTGGTTAATGGGTACACAGTGACAATCAGATAGGAGGAAGCAGTTCTGGTGTTTTACTGCATGGTGGGGTGATGACGGTTAACAGTGAGGCCTTTTATATTAAAAAGTAGCTAGACAAGAGCTTTTGAATGTTTTGACCACAAAGAAATGATAAATGTGTGATGGATATGCTTAAACACTCTGGTTTGACCATTATACAACATATATATGTATCAAAATATCAAACTGAACCCTATAAATATATACAATTGCGATGTGTTGATGCATTTTAAAAAATAAAAAACATTAAAAAGCAGAAGTGTGACTTTGCAAGCTGTAGGTTTACTTTAGCTCTAAAATTCTGAGATAAAGAATTCAGTCTTCCTCAAGCCTGTCGTTGCTTATGATAGACATTGATCATTTTCTCTGCCTTGTAATTCGTTTGTCTTCTGCTGGAAACAGTCCTACCCTCTACACCCATGAGTTGGTGATATGTATGAATCCCACCCATGAGTTGGTGATGATATGTATGAATCCCACCCATGAGTTGGTGATATGTATTAATGTTGTTTTTCAAATGTTTCCATGTCTCCCCACCCAGATTGTGGCATCATCCTTTTCTTTTCCCTTGTGGTTGAGTAAGTCAAATAACCAGTTCTTCCTAAAAAACATTTAATTACCAGCTCAAAAGCCTCCAGAGTGATCTTTCTGTCTGGCTTGGTGTCTGACCATGTTCAAGATACTGGCTGCTTAAGTAGCCTGGGTCCCAGAACATGGGGTTGGGGAGAGCAGCGTCCCCAGCCGACCTGTGACAGGTGTGCAGCCTGACGAGGAAATCAACCTTTGTTAAAGCACCAGGGCGATGAGGTCGTTTGATAACGACCTGATAACCTCGCTTATCCAGTCTGATGCAGGATGCTCACAGGGACACCCTTCATCTGCCATCCTGTGCCCTGGCCGCAGATAAGTAATTAAGGCATAGAAACACCCTGTGCAGCTGACCCGATCAGATTCTCTCCCGAGCACCTTAAACTGGAAAGGAAAGCCACAGAGCCTGGGGTGCTTTGAAGCCAATTCTTACTAACGGCAGAGGCGTTGACCTGCTGCTGGAATCCCTTTCTGGTCCTGGTTCTTGCCCTTCTGCAGACCTGCTTTCTCAGCTATTTTTTAAATTCTCAAGTTTGTCCCAATATCTTTCCTGTAAATCCCTGTATTGCTTAAATGATCCGAAGTTGCTTTCTGCTGCTGGCAGCAAATGGCTTGCCTTGAACCCACTGTGAGGCCTAGCCAGGCCAAAATCACTCGGGAAGGCCTGTGGGGGTCAGGATGAGAGAACTGGACTAAAGAACGTGCACCAAATGCAGCTTTGCTCTATTTCAGATTCTGTCTGCCCCACCTGGTTCCAGGACCTTCAGCCAGTTTTTCCAGCCCCCTGCTACTGTGGCAACAAACTCCACATTGACTCTGAGGACTTTCCTCTGACACTAAAGACGGGGGTCTCCCTGCGTGTCCAGGCTGTCCTTCCCTAGGGCTCTCCTGTAGACTCTGAAACAGGAAACTTTCTCTGGACAGGCACATACATTTTACCCAGAGGCAGAGAGGAATTAGCACCCTGCAGAGCAAACTACTGACCAATTGAAAAATGGAAACTGGTTGATAAATTCCTCCCCAAATGGAGAGTTCTGAGAAGCATTCCTTTGTACTGTCTTCCAGAAAGTCTGGCAACAGTGAGCAATGTCTGGTGCTTGATACCAAATACTAATGAGCTTGGTAGTGTATACTCACACCAGCCTCCTTGATTCCCTGACTCACCCCTCCTTTCCCCAATCCCTGCTCTGGGGGCTGACACCCCCTCAGACATTAATAGCACATAACCTTTGCTGGCTTCAGGCTCTGTTTTCCAGGAAACACAGACTGAGCTACTGTTTATGAGTTAGTCTGGAGAAACTGGCACTTCATCTCTCTTTAGTGCCTTTAACGTATCTCACACCTTGGATGGGAAGGTGTAGGAAACTTCAGGAAAACAGAATTACAGCCTATATCCAGATTTATCTGTCACTTGAGGAAAGAAACAGGAATAGGGTTCAGAAGCTGCCGACACTTGTCTGCTGATCAGGAAGAGCATAAAGGCAAAGTCTGTAACACAAAGTATTCTCCTATTTGGCACGAAGAACATCTTGTTGCTTCTAGGATGGACTTAGAAGTAACCGGGGTGATAACTCTGTTGCAGTGAATAGAACACTGTGCTTATATTAAAATACTTGTTTTTCCATTTTGCCTTTTGCAAACCATTTAACCTCACCAAGCATCTCTTCATAATGACATTGGGAGGTTTAAATGAGATAACGTACTCAAAATCACGCAGTGCATAAAAAGCAATCAGAAGAGTGTTGTTCAAGCTAGTGAAGCATAGTGGAATGTTTACTTATATTTACAGTTGCCTGAGTCAGGGTTTTCCAGAAAAACAGAACCAACAGGATGTGTGTATGTGTGTATGTGCATGTTAATATACATATGTATATATATATATATGTGTGTGTGTGTGTGTGCATGTTCATATAGATGTATATATGTGTGTGCATGTTCATATATATGTATGTGAGTGTATGTGTGTGTGCTCATTTGTGTGTGAGTATAGTTGGCCCTTCGTATTTTCGAGTTCCACATTTGTGGATTAACCAACCACAGGTGGAAAATATTCAGAAAAATAAATACAAAGTAATAGTACAACAATAAAAAAGAATACAAGATGTAAAAATACAGTATAACAAGTATTGATATAGCATTTACATTGTATTAGGTATTATAAGTAATCTAGAGATGATTTAAAGTGTATAATCAGATGTACAAAGGTTATATGCAAATATTAAGACTTTTGTATAAGAACTTGAGCATCCTCGACTTTGCTATTCATGGTGTCCTGGAACCAATCCCTTGTGGATACAGTGGGATGACTTTTTATGTGTGAGAGTGTGTGAGTGTGTGTACAAAACTAATTATTATAAAGAATTGGCTCAAAATTAGCTGGGCATGGTGGTGCGTGCTTGTAAACTCAGCTACTTGGGAGACTGAGGCAGGAGAATCGCTTGAACCCGGGAGGTGGAGGTTGCAGTGAGCCGAGATCACGCCACTGCACTCCAGCCTGGGCAAGAAGGACGAGATACTGTCTCAAAAAAAAAAAAAAAAAAAAGGCTAATATGATTTCAGAGGCAGGGAAGTCCAAAATCTGCAGCACGAGTCTAGCTGGCAGTGTTCCCTGGAGTTTAGCCGGCAGCGTTCTGTAGTGTCTAGCCAACAGTGTTCCATAGTGTGTAGCCGGCAGTGTTCTGTAGTGTGTAGCCGGCAGTGTTCCGTAGCGTCTAGCCAGCAGTGTTCCGTAGTGTCTAGCCAGCAGTGTTCCGTAGTGTCTAGCCAGCAGTGTTCCGTAGTGGTCGTCTTCTGTGGAACTACAAAGAATCAGTGTTGCAGGTAACATGCAAAGGCAGTCTGCTGAGAATTCTCTCTTCCTTGCAGGAGGCCAATCTTTTTGTTCTATGTAAGCCTTCGACTGATTGGATGAGGCCCACCCACATTATGGAGGGCAATTTGCTTTACTCAAAGTTCATCTCATCAAAAAAACACCCTAACAGAAACACTCAGTAACATGTGACCAAATATCTGGGCACCCTGTGGCCCAGGCCAGCTGATACACACAATGAACCATCACAATAGGAAATGATTATTTATCAAAAATCCCACCAAACTGGAGAAAACAGTACACAGTCATAGGAGATATTTCAGAAAACTTTGAAAGATGGAAAGTACATTATCATTTGGTAACTAGATTAGCAGAGCAGAGGTAGCTAACTGCCTGCAGGGGGGTGATGGGAGCAAACATTGAAAAAAGTAGAGAAAATAAAAATGCTTGGGACCTGGAGGTTCCTGGTATCTTGGAAATATACAGTGTGTGATAGAGCTGAAAACAGGAAGGCAAGTTAGAACTGTATGTAAGAAACATTTTAGACTCCACGGATCCCCTCTCTTAGCCCTTGCATCCAGTCACCTGTCCCCTAAACTCCCACAGGAAGACTGAAGGTAGCCCTCTGGAAAGGGTAAATGAGAGATGTTCTGGCATCGGGGCACCTGTCCCAGCTGAAAGACTGGGTGAGAGGCCCTGTGTTAAGCATGGGGCACAGCTGTAAAGATTCATATATGATGGTGAGATTCTCCCCAGGCTACCTTCCTTGTTTAAGCCCCAATCACCAAGACAGATAGGGAAGGCAATTGATGATTTTATTACAAGCTTCATTGCATTGTTTCACTTTATAACATATTTCATCTAATGACCTTGTTTTACAGATTAGGGGACAGACATAAAGACCTGCCAGCCATTGATTACCAATACCCATCATTCGTATTCAAGGCATTAAAAATCTTGAAGGGTATTCTGAATCATGGTAAAAACATGGAACTTTAGTTCATATACTTCCCTCTGTTCTAATTATATAAATATTGATGATCCATATATGGAAATAGTGTCCTGTGCCACAAACACAAAAATGCAAGATAAATAGTTTTATAACTTTACAAGGGTGCAACCCAATTTCTTTTTCAAGTTTCTAAATGCTGCTCGTTTTCAGGAATGGAATCTCAGTTACTGTGGGGCCCCCCTCTCCTCTTCATTTTTGGTTGTGTTTATGCTCTGGGAAGCCCCAGAACAGGAGTCCCCAACCCCTAGGCTATGGACCAGTATTGGTCCGTGGCTGGTTAGGAACCGGGCCACACAGCAGAAGGCAAGTGATGGGCAAGCGAGCGAAGCTTCATCTGTATTTACAGCTGCTCCCCATGGCTCGCATTACTACCCAAGCTCTACCTCCTGTCAGATCAGTGGCAGCATTAGATTCTCATGGAAGCACTAACCCTACTGTGAACTGCACATGCGAGGGATCTAGGTTGCACGCTCCTTGTGAGAATCTAATGCCTGATGATCTGTTACTGTCTCCATCACCCCCAGATGGGACCATCTCATTGCAGGAAAACAAGCTCAGGGCTCCCACTCCTTCTACATTATGGTGAATTGTATAATTATTTCATTGTATATTATAATGTAAGAATAATAGAAATCAAGTGCACAATAAAAGTAATGCACTTGAATCATCCCAAAACCATCCCGCCACCCGTCTTTGGAAAAATTGTCTTCTACAAAACTGGTCCCTGGTGCCAGAAAGGCTGGGGACTGCTGCCCCAGAATACACTTCCAAAGCATGTGGGGATGGAAATATCTGACTGAATAACTTCTTCATGTAAAGCATCTTCTGAGACCCAGGTGTCCGTCTGGCTTTAATGCATTGGCTCTGCTGCTCCCAAGCCATCAGGATGACCTCTTTCACCCCACCTACATGGTGAACTGACTTTTTGGGTCCAGAGGCTCTTGGGGCTACTTCTGCAATACTCCTGGGCACATGAGGATGCTTGCACTGCCTCCGTACCACCCTAGGGCACAGGAAATCTCCAGGATGATATGCAAAGCCCTGTCAGGCTAGTCAAGTCTCTGTCAATTTCTCTCTCTGGATACCCTCCACATCCCTGGGAACAGAAAACAGGGCCCCTCTGCCCTCAGATCCTCTCTCTCCTCGGCTCGTTCTGGGAAACAGATCCACCAATATCTCTACTTCTCCACTGACTACCCTCCCTCCCTTTTAGTTTGAGGACTAACTTGTGGATGTGGAGCAGCCCTTGTTAGTAGGCACTGAGTCTTCATTCAGATCCTTAGCATTTCCTGTACCTTTTTTCTAGACTTTTGGAAATCGAAAGCCAAGAAAAGGTCTTTCTCTCCTTTTTTCATTTTCTCCTCTACTTTCTCAAATCTCATCCCACGCAATGGCATAATTAACTATGAATATGTCTGTGTTATTGGTAATTATGTGCTATTAAAAGTTATTTCTTTGTAATCTTCAATATTATCAATTGCACTTTCTGAGTGATTATCCTTGCATGTGTCTATACTCATCTATATTAACAATAATAGGTGGCAGGATAGGAGGAACCAGAGGTTAGGTTTATAAATCCGAAACTGAATTGAGATGCTCATGAGGAGTGTAGCAGTGAGCTAGTCTGTTTTCCTTTGGTCATTAACCCTGGCCCTTCTCTAATTACAGGATTCTCCATAAAGGATGGATCAATCTCATTTGCGCTCATGGGTGTGATTTGATTAGCAATGAAGGGCTTGCATAGCTCCCTCTTCTCTATAAGAATCTTTGGCTCCTCGGGAGTCAGTTACAGCTACTTTCAGATACGCTAATGGGAGCTAATGGGCTTCTTCCATTGTTTCTCTGCTGACCACATTAGGACTACATTTTGGAAAGAGCAGAGAAAATATTATTATGAAGACCAAGCTTCTTGCCTATCAGTGTAACAAAAAGGAAGACTTAGGAATCTTCTTATTGATGTGGATGAATTTATTTTGCTAAATCATGGGGAAAATGTGAAGAGGGCCAATAGATGTGAATGTTGATCTTTATTAATATTCTTCCAGCTCATGCTTATTAATTTCATCCTAACATGATAGGCATGCCGTTATCATACCAACCCATGATACTTTCTCCCTTCCATGGTGGTGGGGGCTGTGGACTCATATGAAAAGGCTTCCTGCCCCATGTTCGATCTCCCATTTTACTCCCCCCATCCCCCTTAAAACCCATGTATTCTATCCTTCTGATTGCTCCTAGCAAACCTTATGTCCTTCTCCATTCTTCCATTATTGTGATGTTGGCTTTGACCTTCCCCAGCCTCCTAGCCTCTGCTTAGAACAGAAATCAGGCTTTCTTTCTCTGAACCTCAATAGCCCCATAGCCATTTCCAACCCCTTTTCCCCTAGAGTTTCTCCCCTTTCCAACTCCTCCACCCACACACCATACACAATTCTAGAGGGAAGCAGGGGGATCTTGAGGAGAAACCTGTTGACCACGTGCTGTCAGAATAACTAAATCAATATTTCTTTGCAGAGAGCTTGGATTCTAATTTCATAGCCTGTGTTCCAAATTTTACAGACATTTTCCGTAGCCTTTGTTCTGTTACAAAAGTAATTAAGTTCCTTGAAAGTTGACCCATCCAGGTGGAGAGGGAAGAGATGGAGGACTCGGTCTCAGTTTAATAGCTCAGTTTCAGGCGAAAAGACATCTAGAACAAGAAGAAAACAGGAGAGTTGCAATTATTTGAGATCATTGTAAAGAGGATCCAAATGGAAAGATTATAGATAAGATAAATTCCTCTTTAAGAAAGCCTAGTAAAGTGAAGTTGCACCATAATTACTTTTAACCTACAAGCTGCCTCTAGAAATGAAACCCAGGAAGATGAAACCTCATTATTTAACTGAATTCCTCAATAATGAACACATCTATTAGCATGCATTAAAATTAGGGCTGCATAATATTAAAACAAAATAGAATAAATCCTGCAGAGGTATTTCTCCAGCCGTGCCCCATTGACTGATGGGGAGTTTATAGTTAACTTAAAATCAGAGGATTTAGTCCAGATACCTGCAACGAAAATTCCATTTGGTGTCTCTCTTCAGTGTAGTCCAGTAGTTCTTTAATATTCATGTCCAGGAAAATCACTTTATTGCTTTGGATACATGAAACCTTCGACACTATACTTTATGGGCAATTTAAGGAAAATTTTAAGAGTAATGAACTTTATGCAATTTCTGCCTTAAGCTCTGACTCTGGGACTGAATCCTCTGGGAAAATGCAACTTCATTATACAGTAAATAGAGAACCTGGCCCTACCAAATTAATGAGGTCTACACTGAAAATGTATCCTTGCCATGGGTTACAGATCATTCAGTTGAGGTCAACAACTTAACAGACTGTCTGCTTTTATTGTGAATGTTAATTACAGAAATGATTCCTGAATATATTATCATGTTTAAAATATTGCAAATAAGGCTACCACCCACATCCTGAAACCTTGTCCCCTCATTAGAAATGAACAGTTTCAAACTGTATATTCTTCTAAACCTTTTTCTATACTTTTATACACATTTGTGCACACATAAAACCTATACCAAATTTTCATGATTTTATTTCAACATAAATGGTTTCCCTCTGTAGCTGTTGTTTTGCAACTTACTTTTCTTTTGATCAACAATAATTCTTGAGATCTATGCATGTGTGTACACAAAGACCTAGCTTATTACTGCTAGCAGCAGCTCAGGTGTGTTAATTAGAATAGTGTAGGTTATGCTTCGATAACCTGTTACTTGAAGTCTCAGCGTCTTAGCACAGCAGAAACCTGTTTCTCACTCACGTAAAGTTGAGTCTAGGTGGTCGGGATGCCCTTCCATGCAGTGACTTAGGGATCTAGGCTTTCCCATTTCAAGATGCTCCCACCTCAGTGCATGGCTTCCAGGATTAACCTGGAAGGGTAACAAAGAGGTGAGGAAAAACATTGACTCTCTTGCGAACTTTTCATTTTAAAATAAGTTGAGCTTAAGTATATGTCTCAAAAATAGTAGAGTTCTCAGAGGTCCTTTACTAAGCTTCCCTAAATGTTAACATGTTACACAACCACAGTACAAGGATCAAAACCAGGAAATAAACATTGATATGAACCTATTAATAAATACAGACCCATTCAAATTCCAACAGTTATCCCTTTTCTGGCATGCGTGATCCAATCCAGAGCTGCACATTGTGCAGGGTGGCTGCGTCTGCTTAGTCTCTCTCAGTCCAGAATAATTTCTTACACTCTTAGTTTTCTATGGCCTTGTCTTAATTGATGGATTGATTGACAGAGATGAGGTCTTGCTATGTTGTCCAGGCTGGACTTAAACTTCTGGGCTCAAGTCATCCTCCCTCCTTAATCTCCCAAATAGCTGGGACTGCAGGAAGGTGCTAGACCCCTGACTTTGTCATATTTAATCAGCACTAACCAATTAGCATATTACCCCTCAATTTGAGTTTGGTTAATTTTTTTGTGATTGAAGTCAAGTTGTGCTTTTTGGATTTTTCAATTGCAGCAAGCACAATTAACATTAGTTCTTTTTGCTTTTCCTTTTCTTTTTCTTTTTTTTCTTTTTTTTTTTTTTTTTATTGAGATGGAATTTCACTCTTGTCACCCAGGCTGGAGTGCAATGGCACCATCTCGGCTCACTGCAACCTCCACCTCCCAGGTTCAAGTGATTCTCCTTCCTCAGCCTTCTGTGTAGCTGGGATTACAGGCGCCTGCCACCACACCTGGCTAATTTTTGTATTTTTAGTAGAGACGGAGTTTCACCACGTTGGCCAGGCTGGTCTTGAACTCCTGAACTCAGGTCATCTGCCTGCCTCGGCCTCCCAAAGTGCTGGGATTACAGGTGTGAGCCATGGCGCCCGGCCAGGGCAGTTAAAATTAGTTCTACCTTTTTAACAAAATCTCAAGTACACAATACATTCCTGTTAACTATAGGTACAAGGTTTTACAGATATCTCGAATTTATTCACTTTACGTAACTTAAACTTTATGCCTATTGAGCAACATCTACCCATTCCCCCCGATACCCCCATCCCTGGCACCCACCGTTCTACTGTCTGCTTCTATGAGTTTGACTATTTTAGAGACCTCCATTCACAGGAGGTCTCTAAAATAATACAATACAATTCATACAGTATTTGTCCTTCTGTGACTGGCTTATCTGACTTAGCATAATGTCCTTAAGGTTTATTCACGTTGTCACATGTTGCAGAATTTTATTCTTTATTAGGCTGAATCATATCCCATTGTGTGTATGTACTAATCTTTCTTCATCTACTCATTCACTGATGGACATTTAGGTTGTTTCCATGCCTTGGCTATTGTGAACATTCTACAGCAAACAGGGGAGTGCTAGTATCTCTCCCAGATCCTGCTTTCCATTATTTTGGATAAATACCTAGCAGTTCTATTTGTAATCCTTTTGAGGAACCTCCTTACCGTTTTGCATAGCAGCTGCACCATTTTGCATTCTTACCAAGAGTGTACAAGGGATCAAATTTCTCCACATGCTTGTCAACGCTTGCTGTCTTTGTCTTCATAATAATAACCATCCTAACAGGCATGAGATGATATCTCATTGTGGTTTTGATTTGCATTTCTCTGATGATTAGAGACATTGAGCACCTTTTCATACACCTATTGGCCATTTGTATGTCTTCTTTGGAGAAATGTCTATTTAAGTCTTTAACCCATTTTAAAATTGGGTTCTTAGTGGTTTGTTGTTGTTGTCGTTGTTGTTGCTATTGAGCTGTATGAGTTTACCATTCTAAGAATTAACCCCGTATCAGATATATGGCCTGCAAATATTTTCCCGTTTCATAGATTGCCTTCTTCCTCTGTTTATTTTTCTTCTTGCTGTGCAGAAGCTTATTAGCTTGATGCAATACCACTTGTCTGTCTTTGCTTTTGTTGCCTGTGCTTTTGGTGTCATATTTATGAAATCACTGTTGAGACCAATGTCATGGAGCTTTTCCCCTATTTAACTATTTAACACATTTTGAGTTGTTGTTGTGCATGGTGCACGATAATGGTCCAATTTAATTCTTTTACATGTGGATATCCAGGTTTTAAAAACTTACATGGAACCACAGAGGACACCAAATAGTCAAAACAATCTTGAGAAAGAAGAACAAAGCTAGAGGCATCACACTTCCCGATTTTGAAATATATTACAACGCTACAGTGCTTAAAACCATATGTCTCTGGCATGAAGACAGATACATAGACCAATGCATCAGAACAAAGAGCCCAGAAATAAATACACGCATGTACAGTGAACTGTTTTTTGATAAGGGTGTCAAAAATACCAGTGGGAAACGGATAGTCTCTTCACCAAATGGTGCTAGGGAAAGTAGATAGCCACACACAAAAGATCAACCTTTTTTAACATGAATACCATGAAAGTTTTGCTGGGCAGTTCTCGGAGCATCAGATCAAAAGGAATATGATGCCAATATGTCCTGTTACAGGTGAGGTTAACTTGGAGCATTTGGTTCAGGTGCTGTCTGCCAGATTTCTCCACTGTAAGGTTCCTATTTTCCCTATGCATCAAATAAATGTGGAGATACTAGGTTGGTGCAAAAGTAATTAAAATAATTATAAAAGTAATGGCAAAACCTGCAACTACTTTTGCACTAACCTAATGCTTTGAGGCTATGTAAATATCCTATTAATTGCCATATTTTGCCCACAAATTTTAGCATCTATTGATGATTCTTGTCCAAAGCAATTATTGCTGTGCTGTTTGCCAAGTGGTGATTTTGTATTACCATCATTCCCTTCCTGTTTATTAATTTACATTTTCAATTCTGTGCTTACATCAGCTCTGAACTCATGGATATTTGTTTTATGCCATGGATTATAGAGCATTACTATCAGTATTTATTTTCTTCCTCGAAGTATCCCGGATTCATCAGTTCATAGCACTTCAAGTCATCTCCTGCCACCATGCTTTTTTTGAGCACTTTCCTTGTTTTGTGCTATAAGAGGTCCTGGCTTATCACATACATTTTCTGTTTTAGGCTGGAATCAGCCATTGCTCCAAATAATCCCTGGCCCCTTTTCTCCCTTTTTTTTTTTTGACAGAGTCTCACTCTGTTGCCCAGGCTGGAGTACAGTGGCGTGATCTCAGCTCATTGCAACCTCCACCTCCCAAGTTCAAGTGATGCTCGTGCCTCAGCCTTCCAAGTAGCTGGGATTACAGGCATGCGCCACCACGCCCGACTAATTTTTGTATTTTTAGTAGAGACGGGGTTTCACCATGTTGGCCTGGCTGGTCTCAAACTCCCAGCCTCAAGCCATCCACCTGCCTTGGCCTCCCGACATGCTGGGATTACAGGCATAAGCCACCATGCTTGGCTCCCTGTCTCCTTTTATTGGCCAATGTTATTTACACTTTAAGGTCTAGATGCTAAGATCACACATTTGCTCTTAATGGATTCTGAACAGAAATGATGGGTCAAGCCTTGCTCACATTCCTGATTGCCCGGAGCTCCAGCACATGCTCCCAACCTACGAATGAGAGAGGCTGAGGAATCTTATTTTCCTGGGTGCCCAGGAGGAGGGAAACAGTGATGAACACATAACATTATCACTTCTGCAACAGAATCTCATAGTGTGATTACCTTTCTATTTATTTAGCCATATACTGTGCTCTTAATTTTTCATGCCTAAAAACAATCCTACAATGTACTCATTTGAACCTGTCTCCTTGGTCACAATCCCAGTAGACTACCCATGCCCAGTGTCCTTAAAAAATATCTCAGCTGAACTATAAGAAGATGAGCACAGCTTCAGATATAGCCATGGTGATATGTTTTCTGAATTTTATTAAACACCATACATGAAACACCAATGCCCACGTATATTTTGGGTTCTGTACTCCTTCTGCTTTGCCGTCAGCTATTTTTCCTATAATGATCTAAAGTAGATTGTGGCAGGCTGGTATGTCTGAAACTCAAATTCTAGTTGTCTTATTTTTAGTTTAACTTCCTTCCTAATGAACCTAAAACTAGAGAAACTTTCTTTCCAGAATTGGACACTGAGGAGGTTGGTTGCCACAGCCTTCTGTAAACCGTTCATCTAAAATAAATCTTTCTTGTTAGCAAGAAGAAAATCATGGATTTAATAGCATATTTTTTTAAAAAGCATCTTATCTGAATCAATAGAAATGTGAGGCTGTGAGAAGTAGTTAATAAAGTTACGACAACACACTGTGACTAAAGCAAATCTAGATTGGAAGACTCATCTCTGACAACAGGTCGTGATGGACTGATGGGGGAAGTGGAATGGAGAAACTACTGGGGTGAGAAGAGTGATGTGGGTTGAAATTACATGTTTTACAGTGATGGAGGGAGAAAAAAAAAGTTACTTTTCACACCTGTATTTTAGGCAGCTTGATTTAAATGTAAATGGCTGTGCTATATCAAAATAGAAACTTATTTGAAAAAACAATGATGAAAGTAAATTTTAGTCATTCCACTTTTAGTATATTTTTTCCCCAGTCAAGTAATACACCAATGGTAGCTGGTCTGGAAGTGGTTATCCCATTTCTGGGATGATAATGGGAGCCTCTCTCTCTCTCTCTTTTTTTTTTTTTTGAGACACAGTCTCACTCTGTCACCCAGGCTGCAGTGCAATGGCATGATCTTGGCTCACTGCAACCTCTGCCTCCCGGGTCCAAGCGATTTTCCTGCCTCAGCCTCCCGGGTCGCTGGGATTACAGGCATGCACCACCATGCCCAGCTAATTTTTTTTTTTTTGTACTTTTAGTGGAGACAGGGTTTCACTATGTTGGCCAGGCTGGTCTTGAATTCCTGACCCCAAGCAATCCACCTACTTTGGCCTCCCAAAGTGCTGAGATTACAGGCGTGAGCCACCACACCCAGCCTAGAGCCTCTCTCTCATCTTCCTGTTGATTTGCTTCTGCATGATGGTCTCAATCTTGGATTGCAGCACTACCTGTCCTTCCTACACAAAGGGCCACATCCCCTCTTGGGGATGTTGACTCAGTGGCATAGGAAAAAACCTCCATTGCTTTTGTAAATATAATTTATTGAGGTGAAAGTCAAATAACATCAAATTAACATTGAAGAGAACAATTCAGTGGCATTTCGTATATTCACAATGCTGTGCAAACATCTCTCTCCAAAGCGTGTCCATCACTCCACGGTACAGCCATGCACCCCTTAGCAGTCTTTCCCCACTCCTTCCCCTTACCCCTGGCACCACCAATCTGCCTTCAGTCTCTATGGATTTATTTATTCCAGATATTTCCTACAAATTGAATCACACAATATGCAACCTTTTGTGTCTGGTTTCTTTCACTTGCCGTAATAATGTCCTTGAGGTTCATCCATGTTGTAGCATGTATTAACACTTAATTCCTTTTTTATGGCTGAATAATATTCCATTGTATTTATATGCTATATTTTGTTAATCCATGCATCCGCCAATGGGCATTTGGACTGTTTTCACCCTTGCCTATTGTACATGGTCCTGCCATGAACATATGTTTACATGTGTTTGTTTGAACACCTGTTTTCAATTATTCAGGGTATATACCTTGTCATGGAATTGTGGGGACAAATACGAATCCATATTCCATTCCATCTTACACTGAAGGCCAGTGTGGCAGATGTCATGGTTTTGTGGTCAAAGAATCCTCAACCTACAAGTTTGTTCAGAGACATCACTAGAAATTAAAGAGTTATTTTAGCTAAATATTACTGAGTGCCTTAAAATGACTCTTATTATTCTTGCATGATTCTGTAAGTTGACTGAGACAAACTGAGTGGTTTTCTGTTTCAGATGATGTAGATGGGTCTTCAGGCATCTGGGGACTATATTAGACCGAAATGTCCCTGAAGGTCTAAAGGCCTGATGTGGATGTCCAGCTGCTGGCTGCCAGCTGTGAGCTGAGCCAAGGCTGCACCTGTTTCAGATGATGTAGATGGATCTTCAGGCATCCGGGGACTAGATTAGGCCGAAATGTCCCCGATGGTCTAAAGGCCTCATATGCACATCCAGCTGCTGGCTGCCAGCTGTGAGCTGAGCCAAGGCTGCACAGGAGAGCCTTGTCCTCCATCAGGTGCCTCCCACGTGGCTGGATTCTAACAATGAGTTTCAAGAATAAGAAAGAAGCTGCTCATTGGCTTAAGCTTTTGAATGTCACTCCCAGTGCTTTCCATTGGTCAAATGATCATGGGCAAGTTCATATTCAAGGGGTCAGGGGGAAGTTAGCTCCTCCCCCACAGTGTGCATGTACACAGAGAGGAGGAATTGTCGGAGGCTGTCTTTGGAGGCTCACTTCCACCAGAGGCACAGTGTCAGTGAGGGAGAGAACAGAAGCACTTGGACAAAATGCCTCTGTCTTAGGGCAGTGGACATTCTCATCTTGTGTATCGGCCTGAGAGTGTTGGAGTATAGGAGCCCTGCTCCCTAATCATCTGCAGTCACTGCCTCACCTGCCCTGTCTCCCCATCATGTCGAAGGGAGGACAATTCCATTTTCAAAGACATGTCTTGAAAATCATTCAATACTTTGGGAAAAAAAATTCAGTAGAGATATGTTTTTATATTTATGCAAGCATGAGAAAACATTTAGGAGACAAGAGTTTAAAAATAGCTAATATAAGGCTGGGTGTGGTGGCTCATGCCTGTAATTCCAGCACTTTGGGAGGCTGAGGTGGGAGGATCACCTGAGGTCAGGCGTTCGAGACCAGCCTCGCCAACATGGTGAAATCCCGTCTCTACTAAAAATACAACAATTAGCTGGGCATGGTGGCATGCACCTGTAATCCCAGCTACTGGGGAGGCTGAGGCAGGAGAATCACTTGAACCTGGGAGGCAGAGGTTGCAGTGAGAAGGTCGAAGGTAATTTCTACCAGAGTCACTCCTTTTCTGTTGTCATCACTGCTGAATGCCCAGAGCCAAGAACAATGCCTAGTTTATCGTAGATGCTCCAAAGTAGTTATTTGATTCCTGAATGCCCAAATGAAAAATTGAATGGATGAGTGTATGAATGAATGAATGAGTCAGTGAATGACAGATCTATAGGTATCAGCTCCTGCCTGGCAAATCCCCTCAGATACTTAGTATAAGTAGAGCCCCTGAGAAGACTTGGGAATCAGAAGTTCTTTATCCTGTCGTACCCAGAAAACTCATGCATTCTGGAACAGATGACCAGAAAGGCAGACATGATGACCACAAGACTTTACTGACCAGAGTGCATTCATCTGGCCCCACGAGTGAGAAAAGCATCACCAGTCCAGCAATCATAGTTGAGATTCTTTCTTTTCCATTGCCTGTGCTTTTGGCTATGTCCTCCAATAGATTATCATGATCTGAAGCACGCTTGAGGTCTCCTGGGTACAACCGTCATCTCAGTAACTCAGATATGCAAGAAATGTAAATTTCTGTGGAGTTTTCTAATTTTCAACTTAATTTCCATTTTCACCTACATTCCACCTACCTCCCAGATGATCCAAAATCCAAACTCACACTTGCCTCAGGATTGAATATAAACTCAGTGCAGTTTTCTTATTGCCACACATGGAGGTCAGGAGAGGGTTGCCAAATCTCCAGGAAAATCGTTCCACCTGGTCTTCGGTTTTTAGTCAGCCCGGATCGTAGCTGGTGTTCATCTGGACCTCAGATCTGTGCCATCTACAGATGTGAGGACTTTCACTGCTATGCCATTGGGAGCTGCAGGAAACTCTGAATCTGTCCCCAACCTCACTTTCATGCAGATATTTTTTTATGTGCTCAGCTGCTGTCTTCCAGGGGTACTATGAGCCTTGTCAGCAACCGGGCTCTGCCTGGGTTGGAACTAGGGGGAGGGATAAGCTCCCTCTGGTCTCATATTCCCAATCCCACCTGGAGATGCCATTATTCCCCTTAGAATTCAGACCAGGGTTGAGACAAGTAGTAGCTGCCTTCTCAGCAAACCTCAGTGTTTCCTCACTCTTATCTCATCTTTTGGTTGTGGATGTTGTAGCTCTGACTTCATCTTAGGTTGGGTTTTGTAGGAGTGGAGGCTGGGATGAGGTTTCTTGTGGAAGGGATTGATGGAGGGAGTATTCTTAGGAGAAACCTATAAGGAGACAAGGAAGGGAATCAGGCAAGGCAGGAAACCAGGCAATGGAGCGGGTTCACGGAGGTCTACCCTCCACCAACCCCACAGGGAGGGCTGGAGCATAGATGCCATCACTGAGTTGAGCCCCATTGAGGAAAGACACCTGGTCTTTTGTTTTCCCTTTCAACCAGGCTTTGGCGGTAGTTTGAGGAGGTTTGAGGGAGCCATAACCTCCCAGGTAATACCAGGAGAAACAGCTTCCACTGGCTGGCCAAAGGCAGGTCTTGGCTTTTGGCCAATGGGAGCTGGGAGCTGTTATCATCCAGCTTTCACAGTGGATGCAGAGAGGGTGGGGAAGAATTAATTATACTGTTTATGCAATCATAGAGGATAACTGAATACAGATAAGCAGTGTGGTCTGCTACGGGGGCGTCAGGAAGATTCCTTCTGGTCTCCATGAGTTTATGATGTAGATTAACCATATTATGCCAAAGAGTGCAAAACAAATGCCTCTCCATCAACAGAATTCACGAACAAGCCTCTGGGATGTCAAGACATAACCACAAGCAGCCTTGGCAGGAACTCTGCTCAGCAGACTTCTCATTTTCTTTCTTTTTTTTTTTAAAAAAAAAAGAATTTATTTATTGATTGACAGTAAAAAAACAAACAAACAAACAAAAAAACCTGAAACATAGAAGTGCCACAGTTGTGTGTGTGTGCACATCCTGACCAGATGGAGGTTACAAATGACACCTTCCTGGTTAAGACTATAAATCTGAAGTGGGGGTAAGATAAAGTAGGGATCAGGACAGTATGGGGCATCCGTTGGGTATGTATTCAGTGAAAGACAAAGCTCTTAATTCTTGACCTGCCTTAATGACTGTTCCATTTCTCTGAGAATAGAGTATGGCGAAGACAATTGCTATCCTGAGTTATTTTCTGATTAGCAAAGAAGGCCTGGTTGGTACTATAGAAGTAAGAAGAATCTCAGAAAGTGGCCTTATTTCCTGGGGGTTTCATATTCACCAGAGAAAGGAGTAAAGAGTATAGATGGACCACATTTTAAGAAAATAAATTTCAAAATATTGTGGCGAAAATGACCTTAGATATTACCAGCCCACCAAGAGACCTAGGAAGTTCCAAAAGTTGACATCATACTAGAATCCTGTATTAAGTTTCTCTGGAGAAACAAAACCAATAGGATATATGTTTGTGTGTATATATATTATATATATGACAGATAATAGAAGATAGATAGATGAATAAATGGGTGGATGAATAGATAAAATGGATAATTAGATAGATAAGCTAAGATAGAAGATAGATGACAGATGATTGATAGATGATAGGTAGGTAGATAGATAGATAGATATTACAAACAAATGGCTTACATACTTATGGAGGCTGAGAAATCCCAAAATATGCAGTCACTAACCTGGAGACCCATAAGAGCTAATAATATAGTTCCTGACTTCTCACTTTCTGTGGTGGAGTATGGAAGGTGCTTTTGACTTAGTGAACGTCCTAAGGAAAAGTCTGTTGTATAAGGAAACAATCATCTGATTTTCATTTATTTGTTTTGGAAAAAAGCAAATCTTATATTATGAATCCACTGCAAACACTATGTGTAATCATATTGTTTTAAATCGTATCTGCAGTAATAAACCCGTTTTGTGCATTCCCAGGGTAAATGCATGTGTCATGGATATTGCACATGTTTTATAGATCAGAATCTTTATGTTAAAATTATCCCACCAGTCTTTCACTCCTTTTATGAAATGTCTAGTTACAAATTAGAGGGATGAAGAGAGTACTAAAAGAATTCAACAAGATGGCACTCATGGTTTCTATCTCTCCTGTACTATGTGTATTTCACTTTCTTTCCTCTATATTCAGCTACATTGTTAGGCCTTAATTAGAACATTAAATACTATAGTTTCCCTTTATGAAGACAGCAGGGTTTTCTTTGCTGTGAAATGAGTGATTCAATTACCCTCCTACTAATGGATAAAGTGTAATTAACATTGTCTTGAGGCTAATTTTCATTTACGCTGCCATTCCTTATAAGCAGAACATCATTCTCTGGAAAAGTCAATGTGTCACTTTTATTAGCCTAGTTTGCACTTTAACACCAAGAAAATTAATTCAGCCACATTAACATACTTAACTTCAGATACAATGGAATTATCTGACTCTGTCCTTTATGAAGTCATGTCATTTAGAAGTGAATTGCACGTGGCTGCGTAAAACATGAGATCACCATCGGACGCTTGTGCTGTTCTTGATTTTTCTAAGTTGTGCAGCAGTGCTGGGGGGAAGAATGAACGGAAGATTTTTTTCAGTTTCCCAGTTTTCGCTCGTGAGAATATAGCTCCACATTTGAGGATGGTGGGATTGCCAATGGGTGTATTCCCTTAAAGGATTCACTCTAATTCATTACCAGATCTCTCTACTGAAAGATTTTGTAGGTTTTCGATTTTATACCCCCCTCAAAAAAAAAAATCAAGTTAAGGAAATCAAATATTAAAGAATATCGCTATTAGAGAAGAGCGATATTTTTACTTTCTTTTTCAAAGGATGTAAAATGTGGCTTGCTACTTCTGTTGCAGGTTTCAGTTCTTTCCTAAATAAGTAAAAAGTCCCCATTCCCAAAAAAAATTCTTTAGGAAGAAGAGGAAGTAGAAAAAAGAATCCTTTGCCACAGAATTTAGTATTTCGCCAAGGTCCATTAGAGTTACACTTACTTAACGTGTTATCACTCCACTGAATTTAGGCACTGACTGTTATCCTCCAAGAGAAAATCCTATTTCCTATGTGTGTTTCTTAAACATTAATTAGGTGATATCAACTTTTCCCTTTAAATTGAAAACTGCAGACTGCCGTCCCATGAGTCAGAAATGTTGTATTTGGGCTGCACAGGTTCTTTTTGTGTGTTTTGTTTTGTTTTTAATTAAATTTCGTGGCTAAATTTAACATAAGAAAAATTTACATAAAGTTTGCATTTCTGAGTTCTCTTATAAAACTAGAAACTGCCACACCGGCTGGAATCCTGCTTGATACCAACCACCCGAAGCCTGGAGGCGCACCTCCACTCAGTCCTTATAATTTGCATTTGGCCTCAGGACCTACACAACCACTTCATTCTTGGCCCCATCCAGGCCTATGTCTGTGACCTTTGAGTCAGACAACAGGAAGAAAATGATATCTAAATATTGCCCCAAATTAAGCTAGTTGTTAACACCCATGACACGTATCCTGTCTCCTGCTAATTTCTCTGCATTTCTTTTATTCTCTGGACAGTTTGGGACCCGTTTAGCGGTTTCCTTGAAGGGAAAGGAAGCTTGGTCCCTTTTAAAAGGCAAAATTGTCTTTATTCCTCCCAGAGCCAAAGCCCACAGAAGTTCTTAATGCTGGAGGGACCTCATTTGAACGGCAGTCATTTCATGTTTCCTAAAGAGGAATTCAAACACAGTCAAATGGCTTCTTGGCCCTAGACAGTCAAGAGTTCTGTCTTCTCCTCCTGAAACCAAGCCTGGCTGAGACCCGGATGCAAGACGGGGGTTAAGATGGAGCCTTGGAGTGCATGGCATGAGATAAGATCATGGTGGCTTCTTTCTGAACCAGTCGCTTCCTTGCTTCTCCAGATTTTTCACTGACCTTCCAGATGTCCCCAGCAGCTACATAACAGCATGATGTAGCAGAGCCTGGACTGTATATGTTCAGTGTGGTCTGCGTTTCATGTGCATGGTGACCCAGTTACCACTGAGTAATTCCCAGGCCAGGAAATGATTGTGCCCTGGGTCTCCCTTGCCCAGCACCTAGGAAGTCCATCACCGCGATATGAACTTGGCTGCTGCGTTTCTCAGAGAGGCCACAGGGAACACCCAAATCAATGCACATTCATCGTTTCCATTGGAGTTGGGAGCTTGGGGCTTATGTAAAGGAGTGAGCAGTTAGAACCAGACCCTAGCTGGCTGAAGACGAGGTCTGTCTTTGAGAAGACTCATCCTTGACCCAGTCCTTTTCTGCTGATTCCTGGCTTGGTTCTGGGCTCCCCGATCTCTCATTCAAGCTTGGAGTTTCTCACTGCAAAAGAAAGGTGGGCAACCAGAAGACTGGTGGTCATTTAGGACATTTGCTGCTCTCTGTATAGAGAGTGGAGTTTTAAAAGACGCCGTGAGATGAACCAGGGAGTTCTTAAGCCTAAGGATCCATCCTCTGGGTCAGTATTTTCCAAACTTTGTCATATTCACATCATGAGTGTCACCAGAGGACATAGGAGAGGCTTCCGGAGAATCTATGAGGCTTCCTGGAAAAGTTGTTTTTTTCTTCATATGATATGATTCTGATAAGAAAAACACAATACGGGCAATTTAAAAAATTGAGATACTAAATTTGTTTCTAACTTTCAAATGTAATCTTTTAAATTTTTAAATGAGCAACTTTGGTTTGCATGACTGAGCACAACTTTTAAATATCTGGCTTTATTCCTGAAATGGCTACATCAAATCATTTTTAATAATTCTTTCAAATTCCTGATAGCAGCAATGAGTAAGGGATAAAGAATTTTAAAAATCATTTGTACAAGCATTCAAAACTGGACAGCCGTTGAAATGGTATCCTTTTCTTTCCTCGACAAATTTAATATTGAAATTCTTTGTGGCAGTAAGAGTAGATCTCTGTGTGAATACAACTTTTTCATATCAAACATTTCAAAATACAGTGGAAGCCTTAATTTGACACAAATACCTCTAAGTCTGGACCTCATTGTTGAGGAAAATACATCTCTTCTTCTAAAGAGACTCAGACACACAAGCACAAATATCTTTAGTGAGAAAAAATAAAAGAAAAGGAAAAAGCCAGGCTTGTTTCCATAGTTTTTGTTCTCCACACACCCACTGTTCTCACCCACACCCATGTTCTAAGGCCCTGAAATTCACCTTTATATTATTAAGCCCCTTTGTGCTCGTCCATTTATGCTGGCTTTGGAAGCCTTAGCCTTTGGTCAGACTTAGAATCTCCTCCAAGACTTGGGTTACTTTCTTACTTTGAAGTTTTAGGCAGCAGGATTCTGACAGACACAGCAGCCAGTCACGAAGGGCACCTGGTGCGGACACATTGAGACACACTCAAGTGAATAGCAATGGTTTTGATTTTGCATAATGAGGCATGATGTACCCAGAGCATTTTGCATAATGTAAGAACAATAAATCCGTTTGGCCTTGTCATTAATTCTCAGGGCTGTGCATTAGGTAAACAAATTGCATGTCATTATACTTTAAAAGTTTGCAGGAAACGAGGAGGCAAGGATCCTGTTATTGTACTTTTTAAATAATAAACACTTAGTAATTGTTTAAAACTATCGGCGTAAGTGGGCTGTGATTCATTTGTAGTTTCCTCTTTGTCTGGTGCTGAGAGGAGACACAAAAAGCCACCTCCATGAAGTGGCTGCATGCCTGGAACTGATAAATGTATCACACGCCTGCACGACTTTATCTGGGAAACAGACTTTGATAGCTTGCTAGGATTTAGGTCAGTGGATAATTCCGCACAAACAGCAAATCTTAATGCTATGGACAAAGGGAGGGACACAAACAACTGACAAATTCCATAAATCCCTGGCTTATAAGTAGCTCTCTTTCATATATTTATTGTAAGTGTCCTTGAAAGCTATCTGAGAAAAAAATTGGCACGCTCTCCACGCTTTGACAGTATAACGTTCAGAGTTGCCGATAACTGAGTTTCCCATGAAAGCTGCTATTCAAGAAAATGGTGCCTTAGGTGGCAAGCGTTTTATCTTTGGGTAATAATACGAAGAGAAATTCCACGTGGAAGAATGGTCAATGAATTACATAAGTATCATTTTCCCCGAGTGGGCAAATCCTTGGCAATTTCCTTTAGGGGTTAGGGAGGGTGGAGGGTGAAATCTAGTTTGGGGGAAGAACCTGGCTATCATGTGTTAATATTGGAAGACCTGCTTCTGTCTTGAGAAAACAAACAAACAAACAAACAAACAAACCTGTGCATCCACGTGCCTGGAAAGCAGACTGCGGGATAAGAGATTGAACTCCTGCTAAACACGCCTGGACTGCAGCATGGCCCACGCTGTTCCTATCTACCAAATCACTCTTGATTTCCAACTCGACCTCACAGCCCTCTAGGCTTGCTTGTTGGGGTCACTCTAGAAGGTGTCTGAAAATGTCAAGACCCCAAACGTAGCAACCTTATTCTCTCTTATTTCTGGGACCTGCTCTCGTTCTTTATTTTTTCTGGGACACCTCTAGATGGTGCTCCTCCAGGCAGGTGAGATCCCCGCTTCCAGGCATTGCTTTAGCAACTCACATGGGACCTGAGCCCGGGAGAAGCCAGAAAGTGATTGCTGAACAAACATGGAATGCAGGCGGCCCTGACCTTGATCTCCTTATTCCAGCATCCCCTGAACTGTGGTGTCTGGGCTACCTGGTATCTGTCTAGAATGACTTATTTTGTGTGTCTCAGCTCCAGGGGATATGAAGTTTCCTGAGCGTGTAGTTTGTGTTTTTTAGTTTCTTGTCAGAGTTAGCAAGAAGCACAGAAATATGTCTCTACTAGAGAGTGAATAGATATATCATTGTTTCCTCACAGCAACATTACCCAAATTTTAGTTATTCAAGTATAAGTCTCATGATTTGGGGTAGTTCTATGTTCCTATTTCTGTTATAAACTTAGTGCTCTTCTTTAAATAGACTTGAGTTATTTTTATTATTATTTTATTTTATTTTATATTTTTTAGAGACTGAGTTTTGCTTTGTCACCCAGGCTGTAGTGCAGTGGTGCAATCATGGCTCACTACAGCAATTGAACTCTTGGGCTCAAGTGATCCTCCTGCCTCAGTCTCCCAATTAGCTGGGGTTACAGCTGTGTGCCACGACACCTGGCTAATTGTTTAAGTTTTTAAAAAGGTGGGGTCTCACACTGTTGACCAGGCTAGTCTTAAACTCCTGGCCTCAAGGAATCGTCCCGCCTCAACCTCCCAAAGTGCTAGGATTACAGGCCTGAGCCACTGTATCTGGCCAATGGACTCAACTTTTAATTTAATAAATATATTTTCAAAGATATTTTACATCACCTTCATTATTGTTATCATTTGTAGTAAAATAATTGTTTTGTTTTTGTTTTTGTTTTTGAGACGGAGTCTCGCTCTGTCGCCCAGGCTGGAGTGCAGTGGCGCTATCTCGGCTCACTGCAAGCTCCGCCTCCCGGGTTCACGCCATTCTCCTGCCTCAGCCTCCTGAGTAGCTGGGACCACAGGCGCCCGCCACCACGCCTGGCTAATTTTTTGTATTTTTTAGTAGAGACGGGGTTTCACTGTGGTAGCCAGGATGGTCTCGATCTCCTGACCTTGTGATCCGCCCGCCTCAGACTCCCAAAGTGCTGGGATTACAGGCGTGAACCACTGCACCCGGCCAAATAATTGTTAAAATAAATATATTGTAAAACAATTCCAGAGCATCTTCTTGCCAGGAAAAGGCCTACTGCTCTTTGTTTAAAAAAAAGATGAGGAAGTAGGATTGGTAGGATGAGCAGTGTTTAAAGGGTTGTGAGACCATATGGGCACCAGACTGATACCACCTCTGTAAAAGACTCAGAACCATGGCTGGAATCGGGGAGAGAAGACCTGTACCTCGCCATGTATCTCAATGCTAGTTTAATGCACTATCCATGTGCTAACTAAAGTTGCTTCTAATTCTATTTGCTGATAAACTCTAGACCCAAGAATGCTGCTGCAGGGGCTCCATACATCAGAGCACACATTGTTCTGGCCTATCCACTGAAAAGCTGGCAGGTTTGAGGAAAGACTGCCCTTGTTGGATGGAGACACAGGGGGAACAGAGACTCTCCCAGTTCCTTTTAACTCTCATGCGCATAAGACTTCCGGCATCATCTCAGCTCCATATCTTTTTAGAATAAATCTGGTAATTTAATCTTTTTTTTCTACAACTAGGAAACTCACATCCAAGAGAATGTATCTTCTTAACTGCAGGAAGTATAGGGTATGTCTAAATTAGTGGTATTTTCACATACCTACAAGCAGCAACATAAAAACATATTGACTCCTGAATTAGAAATCAGATGCAAACACTCTTTTTTTTTTTCAACTTTTGTTTTAAGTTCAGCGGGTACATGTGCAGGTGTGTTATATGGGTATATTGTGTGATGCTGAGGTTTGGGGTACAATCGATCCCATCATCAAGGAAGTGAGCACAGCACCCAATAGACAGTTTTTTCCTCCCTACCTCCCCACTCGACTATTCCCCAGTATCTACTGTTCCCATCTTTATGTCCATGGGCACCCGGCGATTAGCTCCCGCTTATAAATGAGAACATTTGGTAACTGGTTTTTCGTTCATGCATTAATTGGCTTAGGATAATGACCTCCAGCTGCATCCATGTGGCTGCAAAGGACATGATTTCGTTCTCTGTTATGGCTGCATAATATTCCATTGTGCGTATGGACCACATTTTCTTTATCCAGTCCACCATGGCTGGGCACCTAGGTTGATTCCACCTCTTTGCTATTGTGAGTAGTGCTGCAGTGAACGTATGAGTTCATGTGCTTTTTTTTTTTTTTTTTTTGACAGGCTGATTTATTTTCCTTTGGGTATATACTCAGCAGTGGGATTGCTGGAGCAAGTGGTAGTTCTGTTTTAAGTTCCTTAAGTTCTTTGAGAAATCTTCAAACTTCTTTCCACAGTGCTTGACAAATTAATTGACATTTCCATCAACAATGAATAAGCATTTTATTTTCTCCACAGCTTCACCAGCGTCTATTATTCTTTTGCTTGTTTTTTGTTTGTTTGTTTGTTTGTTTGTTTGGAAACAGAATCTCACTCTGTCACCCAGTCTGGCGTGCAGGGGCGCAATCTCAGCTCACTGCAACCTCCACCTCCCAGATTCAATTGATTCTCGTGCCTCAGCCTGCCAAGTAGCTGGGATTACAGGCATATGCCACCACACCCAGCTAATTTTTGTATTTTTAGTAGAGACAGGGTTTCACTGTGTTGGCCAGGGTGGTCTTGAACTCCTGACCTCAAGTGATCCACCCACCTTGGCCTCCCAAAGTGCTGGGATTACAGGCATGCACCACCACAGCTGGCTAATTTTTGTAGTTTTAGTAGAGATGGGGTTTCATCACGTTGGCCTGGCTAGTTTCGAACTCCTGACCTTAGATGACCTGCCCATCTTGGCCTCCCAAAGTGCTGGGATTACAGGCGTGAGCCGCCGTGCCTGGCCTATTTTGTTACTTATTAATAATAGCCTTCTATCTAGTGTGAGATGCTATTCCACTGTGGTCTTGATTTGCATTTCCCTAATGCCTCCAATTAAGGTCTAATATCTAAAATCTATAAGGGATTTAAACAAATCAACAAGCAAAAAACAAATAAGCAGGCAGAAGACATGAACAGACACTTCTCAAAAGACGACATCCGTGCAGCCAACACATATAAAAAATGCAAATACTCTTAATAACAATATTGTTTCACAAAATAAAGAAATACCCCATTTATCAAGAACCTCATGGGACTGCATTGTTAAAATTTGTGGAATTTCAGATTAGGAACTTAATTCCTAATTTCCTTAATTCAATGGAAACATGTTTCCAGTGACTTCATCCAGTGAAGCTTGTAGGTGACTCTCCAGTATTACAGTCAAGACTTACTGATGGCTTGGTTCCTTGGCTTGCTGGAGGAGTAATTCTCAGATTTGATGCACACACAACTTACTGATCTGTCTAAAATGTAGACCCTGATTGAGCAGGTCTGGGGTGGGCCTAGGATCCTGCATTCCCAGCAAGTGCCCAGGGCATGCGGTCCCTGCCGATCCTAAAACCACACTTGGAATAGCAAAGCACTGTGTGGCTTGGGTATTCTTTTCCTCATTGTAGCATCACTCTTGAGATGTTTTAGTACCTGGCATCCAATCACCCCGACTTTGCTGTAGAAAAACTGTCCTATGTGGAGAAATAGGAACACTTTTACACTGTTGGGTGGGAGTATAAATTAGTTGGAGCATTGTGGAAGGTAATGTGGCAATTCCTCAAAGATCTAGAACCAGAAATACTGTTTAACCCAGCAATCCCATTATGGGGTATATACCCAAAGGATTATAAAACATTCTACTAGAAAGACACATGCACATGTATGTTTATTGCAGCACTGTTCACAATAGCAAAGACTTGAAAGCAACCTAAATGCCCATCAATGATAGACTTGATAAAGAAAATGTGGCACACATATACCATGGAATACTATGCAGCCATAAAAAAGGATGAGTTCATGTCCTTTGCAGAGACATGGATAAAGCTGGAAGCCATCATCCTCAGCAAACTAACACAGAAACAGAACACCAAACACAGCATGTTCTCACTCATAAGTAGGAGTTGAACAATGAGAACACATGGACACAGGGAGGGGAACATCATACACCGGGCCCTGTTAGGGGGTGGGGGGCAAGGGGAGGGAGAGCATTAGGACAAATACCTAATGCATGTGGAGCTTAAAACCTAGATGATGGGTTGATGGATGCAGCAAACCACCCTGGTACACGTATACCTGTGTAACAAACCTGCATGTTCTGCACATGTGTCCCAGAACTCAAAGTAAAATTTAAAAAAAAATCAAAAAGAAAAAAGAAAAACTGTTCTGAGGTCTCTTCTATAGGAGAGGTCTAAGATTTCAAGTCAGAGAATCACAGGAAAGGGTTCTGTTCTGATTTTAGCTTTGGTGTTACGAAGCTGAGACTAATGATCTTGAAAATCCACGGAGGGGGCTCCCAGTCTTCCGGCAGCAAGGTGTCTGGGTGTCTTATTTTTTTTCCTAACAAATCCCCATCAGTCAGTCCCAGCAAAACATGGCCTGATTTTTTTCTTCAAGTGAGTTTCACAAACATTACTTAAAACCTATTGCTTTGGGAAAAATGCACTCCAAAAAAATCTTTGTATGTAAGTATCTGGCATCATAAAACACAAACGTTATTATGTTACTCTGCTCCTAACAATAACGCCTTTGAGGCAGCCGTCACAGGGTGCAACCACAGGTGGCAGGAACATTCCTGCCCATCAGAAAGCAAGACACAGAGATGCCATTGCAAGATACTCAACAACAACCATTTTTTAACAATACAAGTTAAACCTTGTCATGACTGTAATTATCTGTGATGAATTCCAAAGGGATGCCAATATTTTGACATGTACCAAATTGGAGGATGAGCACTGATTTGAAAGCACCACAGCCTTTTGTTAATGGAACACTTTAGAACCCAGTTGCACAGAGAAACAAAAAAGTGCATAATTCTTGTGACTTAACTTGAACTGCAAGCTGCCTGATACAGCCATTCTCTTGGCACACTCTCACACACACACACACAATATGGAACTTTGACTGTAAGGATGTAATGCACTCCCAAAGATCCAAGGGAAGCCCTTGGAATATGCAATTGCATTTCATTCTACTAATTGATGGAGATTTGTCTAGACGTGATTCAAACGGCATTTGTGTACGTACGGTACATTGGCACGCATTGTTTTCAGGGGAAATATGTGGTAAGATTACATGACACACTAATGCCATCCTGTATAACGATACAGTCATCTCCCAAATAAATTGTCTAAATACTTTAATTTTCCAGAAGTCATCTTTGACTCTTGAGTCTGAGAATTTAAACTCAAGTGGTACCCTGTGTTCTACAGGGTTTCTATGGTAACCAGACCAGATTTGTGAGAGCTGAGCTTATGGTCTCAATATAGCTTTGTAGCTTTGCTTAGAGGAACCTGCTCTTGACAACACTTACCTTTTCGGCAGAGATACAGATGATAAATTATTGCTAGAAGAAAAATGAGAAAAGAACAAAGGGAGAAGCAGGACAACCTTATCTGCATACAGGACACTGGAACCGAGGAAGGAATCGAGACTTGACAAATTGAGACTCTGAAAAGCCAGAGCTTATCAGATTCCTAGGAGACCCCTTCGTCCTCGGCCTGCGGCTTTTCCCGAGTGGCTCGCTTGATTTTCCCATTCTGTTCTGCCTGCCACTGTCACTCACCCATCAGATGGAATCCCTCAGGTTCACGTCACTGCCTTTCCTTTCAGACGCCTTGGTTGCATTGCTATCCATCATTAAGTGGCAATAGCTGAAGCCCTGTTCCCACGTTTTTACTAACAAGTAGCTAGGTTCTGTATATAATGTGAAAAATGAGATCCAGCCTCTGCTCTGAGGAAGCTCATGCAACTGCGACCGAATAACGAGACACGAGAGACCAGGATGCAAGTGAGCTGGAGCGGAACAGGCAGGAACAAAGCAGACCCTAGAACAGTGGTAACTGGGGGGGTTTTGTTAAGTGAGAAGGTCTCCAGGCTCATCTTTCCTCTTCGTGGGTCATCCTATCCTGATACTCTGTCTCCCAGTTCTGTCTCTCACTACCACGGCCTCCGTGAACGTACCTCACATCTCACAAACACATTCACTCATTCATTCATCCAAGACTTATTGAGCGTCTATGTGCCAAGCACCATTCTAAGCCAGAGTGTTGAGACAGGGCTAGCAAAAGTCCTGCTTTCATGTAACTAGGAATCTAACAGGGGAGATGGAAGGAAGGAAGAAGGAAGGGAAGGGGAAGGGAAAGGAGAAGGCAAAGGGGAAGGGAGGAAGGGAGGGAGGAAAAGTATCAGAAAAAGTACTGTGCAAAAAATACCATCAGGTAATGGGATAGAAAGGACCAACTTAGACTGGGTGGCCTGGAGGTTTTCTCTAAAAAATCACTATACAAGCTGAGATCCAAGTAAAAAGAAAGAAACAGTGACACAGAGATCAGAATGCAGAATAAAAAAAAGAGGGAAGAAATTTATTATACTTTAAGTTCTAGGGGACATGTGCACAACGTGCAGGTCTGTTACATATGTACACATGTGCCATGTTGGTGTGCTGCACCCATTAACTCGTCATTTAGCATTAGGTATATCTCCTAATGCTATCCCTCCCCCCTCCCCCCACCCCACAACAGGCCCCGGTGTGTGATGTTCCCCTTCCTATGTCCATGTGTTCTCACTGTTCAATTCCCACCTATGAGTGAGAACATGCAGTGTTTGGTTTTTTGTCCTTGCGATAGTTTGCTGAGAATGCTGGTTTTCAGCTTCATCCATGTCCCTACAAAGAACATGAACTCATCCTTTTTTTATGGCTGCATAGTATTCCATGGTGTATATGTGCCACATTTTCTTAATCCAGTCTCTCATTGTTGGACATTTGGGTTGCTTCCAAGTCATTGCTATTGTGAATAGTGCCCCAATAAACATATGTGTGCATGTGTCTTTATAGAGGCATGGTTTATAATCCTTTGGGTATATACCCAGTAATGGGATGTCTGGGTTCTAGATCCTTGAGGAATCGCCACACTGTCTTCCACAATGGTTGAACTAGTTTACACTCCCACCAACAGTGTAACAGTGTTCCTATTTCTCCACATCCTCTCCAGCACCTGTTGTTTCCTGACTTTTTAATGATTGCCATTCTAACTGGTGTGAGATGGTATCTCATTGTGATTTTCATTTGCATTTCTCTGATGGCCAGTGATCATGAGCATTTTTTCATGTGTTTTTTGGCTGCATAAATGTCTTCTTTTGAGAAGTGTCTGTTCATGTCCTTCGCCCATTTTTTGATGGGGTTGTTTGTTTTTTTCTTGTAAATTTGTTTGAGTTCTTTGTAGATTCTGGATATTAGCCCTTTGTCAGATGAGTAGGTTGCAAAAATTTTCTCCCATTCTCTAGGTTGCCTGTTCACTCTGATGGTGGTTTCTTTTGCTGTGCAGAAGCTCTTCAGTTTAATTAGATCCCATTTGTCAATTTTGGCTTTGGTTGCCATTGCTTTTGGTGTTTTAGACTTGAAGTCCTTGCCCATGCCTATGTCCTGAATGGTATTGCCTAGGTTTTCTTCTAGGGTTTTTATGGTTTTAGGTCTAACATGTAAGTCTTTAATCCATCTTGAATTGATTTTTGTATAAGGTGTAAGGAAGGGATCCAGTTTCAGCTTTCTACATATGGCTAGCTAGTTTTCCCAGCACCATTTATTAAATAGGGAATCCTTTCCCCATTGCTTGTTTTTGTCAGGTTCTTCAAAGATCAGATAGTTGTAGATATGCAGCATTATTTCTGAGGGCTCTGTTCTGTTCCATTGATCTATATCTCTGTTTTGGTACCAGTACCATGCTGTTTTGATTACTGTAGCCTTGTAGTGTAGTTTGAAGTCAGGTAGCATGATGCCTCTGGCTTTGTTCTTTTGACTTAGGATTGACTTGGCAATGCGGGCTCTTTTTTTGGTTCCATATGAACTTTAAAGTAGCTTTTTCCAATTCTGTGAAGAAAGTCATTGGTAGCTTGATAGGGATGGCACCGAATCTATAAATGACCTTGGGCAGTATGACCATTTTCACTATATTGATTCTTACTATCCATGAGCATGGAATGTTCTTCCATTTGTTTGTGTCCTCTTATTTCATTGAGCAGTGGTTTGTAGTTCTCCTTGAAGAGGTCCTTCACATCCCTTGTAAGTTGGATTCCTAGGTATTTTATTCTCTTTGAAGCAATTGTGAATGGGAGTTCATTCATGATTTGGCTCTCTGTTTGTTTGTTATTGGTGTGTGAGAATGCTTGTGATTTTCGCACATTGATTTTGTATCCTGAGACTTTGCCGAAGTTGCCTATCAGCTTAAGGAGATTTTGGGCTGAGACGATGGGGTTTTCTAAATATATAATCATGTCATCTGCAAACAGGGACAATTTGACTTCCTCTTTTCCTAATTGAATACCCTTTATTTCTTTCTCCTGCCTGAAAAAGAAAAAGAAAAAAAACCCTCAACAGGGACCAGATGAGCCTGTTCAAAGAATAAAAGAAGGCCAGTGTGGCTGGAGTATAATGAGGAAGAGAAGGGATGAAATGGCACCAGCCCAGAGACTTAGGAAGGGGCTTGATTGTGGGGCTTGCTAGGACCTTCGTTTGATCCCAAGGTGTGATCAGAAGCAGCTGGAGGACTTTTTGCCAGGGAGTGGTAACCATCTAAAGGTCATTCTGGTGCTGGGTAAAAAACAGACTGGGGCTGGGATGTCCAAGAGTGAGAGGAGGTAGAGCTCTGTTTGGAGACATTTGCTTACCCAGGTGAGATGTGATGATTCTTTTAATTTGGGTGGTGATAGCAGAGACAGAGGGAGTAGAGGGATCTGTGGTGCATTTAGGAGGTCAATCTTAATGTTGGGCAATGGATTGGATGTAGGAGGTTGGCTGATAAGAACTCTGAAAAGTTGAGATAGGAGATAACAGACGTTGGTCTCATTGGCAGAGTGGTCCTGTTTAATGCTGGTAAACTGGATGAGGTCACTGGTGAGAGGGCACAGAGAGAGGAGAGGAGAGAAAGGGAAGGGAGGGGAGGGGAAAAAGGGGAAGAAGAGAAAATGAAGAGGAAAGGAGAGGAAGGGAAGGATAGAGAGGAGAGGGGAGGGGAGAGGAGATAAGAGAAAGGGAAAGGAAAAAAGAGGGGAGAGAAGGAGCGAAGAGGAGGGGAAGTGGAGGTGAGAAAAGAAAGGGAAGAGAGGGGAAGGGCAGAACAGGAGAAGAGAAGAGGAGAGAAGAGAAAGGAAGGGGAGAGGAGGGAAGAGGAGAAAGGAAAGGAGAGGGATAGAAGGAAAGAGCCAAGTCCTGATCCACAGGTACCCAGCCCCTGACAGGCTGTGCACAGGAGGAGGAGCGAGCCAAGGAGGCTGAGAGAGGAGCCCCAGTGTGGCCGTAGGACATCCATTAGCTAAGCCAAGAACATATTTCAAGGAGGCAGGAGACATCTATGCCTAATGCTGCTTCTTGGTCAGTAAAGATACGAGTACTGAAATGACCATCCAATATGGCAGCACAAAGGCCATCATCAGTGGCCTTCACAAGAGAAGTCTACATAGAGGAGCCAAGACAAAAATCTCTCAGAGCAGATTGAAAAGGGAGTTCATTCAGTCACTCAGTGCACCTATTTATTGGGCACCTACTACATGCCAAGCCAGGCAGTAAATGTAACAGACAAAGGTCCCCCATTGCAGTGCTTATATTATACTTGGGAAGAGATCATGAATGAGATGAGTCCTGTGAGGGATGTGTGCTACAAAGTAGAAGAGAAAGATTGTAAGAGGGACAGCTGTGCCTGGGAGGGGAGGAGGTAGAAATTTGGGTTAGGCTGGTTTGAGAAGACCTGGCTGAGAACATGACATGTGAAGGAAGAGAGGGACTGAGCATGTGGATTTCTGGGGAAAGAGCACTACAAGCAGAAAGTGTAGCAACCGCAAAAGCCCTGAAGTGGGAGGGTGTTGAGGAGCCCCAAGCAGGCCAGGACAGCTGGAGTTGAAAGACATGAGGGGAGAAGAGGAGAGTGGCATCACAGAAGCCATGGGGAGCCCGAACGGCAGGACCCTCCGTGCGCAGCCATGAGGGCCGGGAGGGACACCGGGGCTTACCCCCAGGGCAATGGAGAGGGTGTGGGTGAGGAAGTGCAGACAGTTCTTTCAGAGGGTGTGGTGGATTACTTACCATGCTTATAGTTCTAGGTGCCAAATTCGGACCAAAATCACATTTCCCCAGGAGATCCGCCCCACATTTTGCCCATTTTCAAGAGCCACCTTGGCTCCCCCATCTACCACAACACTGGACATTTGTTCTTTTAGCTTCCTAGCATTCAAACCACTTTTTCTTTATTGACTCAGGCTACTCCCACCCTCAGTCTACATGGTTCTGATGGGAGTAACTCTGTTTCCCAGCTCCAGTGTGTCACATGACCCTGGCTGGTCCATGGAAGCCTGACATCCCTTTGGCCATCATGATTGTCCCCTAGGTGAGTGTGTGACCCACCTGGCAGCTCAGAGGTCCTTCCTGGATTTTGTAGGAACCATTATGAAAGAAAAGTTTTGTTTTGGAGGATTTTTTTTTCCATAAGTTATTGGGGTACAGGTGGTCCTTGGTTACATGAGTAAGTCTTTAGTGGTGATTTGTGAGATTTTGGTGCACCCATCACCCAAGCAGCATACACTGCACCATATCTGTAGTCTTTTATTCCTCACCCCCTTCTCACTCTTACCCCCAAGTTCCCAAAGTCCATTGTATCATTCTTATGTCTTTGTGTCCTTATAGCTTAGCTCCCACATATCAGTGAGAACATACAATGTTTGGTTTTTCATTCCTGAGTTACTTCACTTAGAATAATAGTCTCCAGTCTCATCCAGCTCACTGCAAATGCTGTTAATTCGTTCCTTTTCATGGCTGAGTAGTATTCCATCATATATATACCACAATTTCTTTATCCACTCATTGATTGATGGGCATTTGGGTTGGTTCCACGATTTTGCAATTGTGGATTATGGTGCTATAAACATTCATGTACAAGTATCATTTTCAGATAATGACTTATTTTCCTCGGGGTAGATACTCAGTAGTGGGTTTGCTGGATCAAATGGTAGTTCTGCTTTTAGTTCTTTAAGGAATCTCCACACTGTTTCCTTAGTGGCTGCACTAGTTTACATTCCCACCAGCAGTGTAGAAGTGTTCCCTGATCACAGCATCCACGCCAAAATGTACTGGTTTTGGGGGAGGATTTCTTTTTTTTTGAGACAGGATTTCGCTCTGTCGCCCAGGCTGGAGTGCAGTGGCACAATCTCTGCTCACTGCAACCTCCACCTCCCAGGCTCAAGCAATCCTCCCGCATCAGCCTCCCAAGTGGGTGGGACTACAGGCTCGTGTTACCATGCCCAGCTAATTTTTGTATTTTTTATAAAGACTGGGTTTTGCCATGTTGCCCAGGCTGGTCTCGAACTCCTGGCCTCAAGCGATCCACCTGCCTTGGCCTTCCAAAGTGCTGGGATTAGAGGCATGAGCCATCTTGCCCTACCAGAAAAGTTCTTAAGGATGATGTCCACCTGAAGTATGGGGCTGCCTGCAGGTGACGGCCAGCACTGAAGAAAGCACTCAGTCAAGAGACAGAGTACGGAGCCTGATGACCTTACCTTGGCCATGGATGCCAACATCCTTGAAGCTGCATCTTCCCGCTATCTTCAGTTACAGGAACCAAGTCCCTTTTTTCTCTTGCTTCATCTATTTTTGATTGATTTTCTGTCACTTGCAGCTCACACAGTACTGAATACACTTCCCATCTCACATTCAGACACTTCCTTTCCATTCTGAAGAACCCTGACTGCAGGTGTCTTTCTGCTTGCTACTCACCTTCTGCTTTCTTTTCCTCTACTTTGGGATGTATATTTTAATCCTTTGGAAGCACAAGTGCCTCAGTAGCCACACATCCCCAAAATGCCTTCCTCTGCTCATGGCATCTGCTCTTCCTCCCTTCTCCCTTCCTCCCTCCCTCTCTATATGCCCATCCTTCAAGATGCGATTTAGATCTTCTCTTAATCTTTAAGGTCCTCCTGATCACTGTGGCCTCCTTAGATCTTTCTCTCCCTAACTTCCCTCCATATATGGTCAAGAGCACAGAAGTTAGAGCTGGATTGCCTGGGTTTAAATCTCAGCTCCACCTCTTACATTTGGGTGATCTTGGGCAAACTCTTTGCCTTCTTTATACTTCAGTATTACTTTCTGCAAAATAGAGATAAGATAGCATTTGGTGAAGTAAGCTAGGCACTTAGAACATTGTCAACCTTATTGTCCAAGTTCTTTCTGGATCCTACCAGAAAACAAAACCAAAAGATACCCAAGTTGGGTCATTTGAACAGAGTATAGTAAAGGAATATCAGGACACAACAAAGCAGAATGTTATGCAGCAGGATTAGGAACAGCAAGCAGACTTCCCACCGTGAGGTCTGAAGAAGCAAAGGTAAAGGATGCTCTGACCCAGAGAGATTGCTCTGTGAAGTGCACCACTGGAGGGGAGCTCTGGCCTTTAGACAAAGGACACAGCCAGCCCACGGTAACCCTGCAGAGAGTAAGTGCTCAGGGAAATGGAGAATACGTTCTCAGACGCGACTTTCTCATTCCTGTCTGCTCTATTGTTGGAGCTCCCCATTGGCCAACCCCAACCCCAACCAGAAGCCAGAGACCAAGGGTGCCGTTGATGGTTCATGCTGTCAGCCTCCTGGTCATTGAACAGGGTAGGGGAGGGTAGGAGTGTTCTGGAAAAGATATCTAGAACTGAACTATGAGTTGTTGTTATCCTTTGTCCTATATTCTGAGCACCTCTTGCATAGACTTTCTGACCACACCACTCTCCTTCTTATAGATTGCAGGCTGCTGAAAGTAGCAATAAAGACCCAGTGTCTGAGATTACAAACTGGAGACTCTAGGGTCACAACAATGAGACAGTCTCATCTTACTTGGGCCATGTTGCCTTGTTTTAAAAGTTGGAATTACTCATCAGTATTCAAAACATAAGAGATTATGCATAAAAATACAGATTTGTGGCATTTCCTGCGAGACCACTCAGACAGCCATGAGCCCACCTTTTCCTTGACAACATCTGCTGTTGCTTCAGACATGGCACGTGCTCTCCAGAGTCCCACAGCTCTTACCTGGCTGCCTGTCCTCATCCATGCTCCCCTCCCAGCCCTGTAAAAACTTGAGTTTGGGACATCTGCCTATTCCTTAAAAGTGCCTAAAACTCAGTAGGTACCTAGCAAGCTAATGATCTATCTATGAGGGTTATAATGTTACTACTAAAGACTAAATCAGCTGATGTTTTTGGCAGGGAAGAATAATTAGCAAATTCATTTGTTATGCTTTTCTGTGCACTAATATTTTCAAAGATAATTGCTTATTCAATTACGGTCCTTTGCCTTGATCAAGGGTATTACCATAAGAAATTAACTGACGTATATTCTGCTTTATCGGTGCATCCCTTTACAAATAGAACACAAGAAACCATCACAGGCAGGGGCATCCAAGGGCAGGCTCTGGATGCAAATTTTCAGCCAGGGGTTTCCAGAAAAAAGACCCATCCCTCTGTAGGTGCCCCCAAGCCCATACTCTCTCAATGATGCCTCCACTTGACATTTCTCCCTCTCTCCTGAATCATCGATTTATCCCTTTTTATTGTCAAGAAAATATGTTTTAGTATCCTGTTATGGGCTGAAAATGGGTCTCCCCTCCAAATTCATTATGTTAAAATACTACCCTTCAGGACTTCAGAACGTGACTGTATTTGGACATAGGGACTTTAATGAGGTAATTAAACTTAAATGAGGTCATACTGGCATGCCCTAATCCAATATGCTTGGTGTCCTCGTAAGCAGAGATTAGGACACAGACACACACAGAGAGAAGGCCTTGCAAAGGCACAGGGACAAGGCCATCTGCAAGCCAAGGAGAGAGGCCTCACAGGAAAGAAACACTGATAGCACCTTGATCTTGAAGTTCCAACCTCTGGAACTAGGAGAAAATAAATTTCTGTTGTTCAAATCATCCAGTCTGTATTAGTCCATTTTCATACTGCTGTAAAGAAATGGCCAAGACTCAGGAATTTATAAAGGAAAAGATGTTTAGTGGACTCACAGTTCCACATGGCTGGGGAGGCCTCACAATCATGGCGGAGGGCAAATGAGGAGCAAAGGCACATCTTACATGGCAGCAGGCAAGAGAGCATGTGCAGGGAAATGAATTGCCCTTTATAAAACCATTAGACCTCATGAGACTTATTCACTGTCACAAGAACAGCACAGGGAAACCCACCCCCATGATTCAATTACTTCCCACCAGGTCCCTCCCATGACATGTGAGGATTATGGGAGCTACAATTCAAGATGAGATTTGGGTGGGGACACAGCCAAACTGCATCACAATCTATGGTATTTGTTATGGTAGCCCTAGCAAACTAATAAACAGCCCTTTTAAAAAAATCTCACTTAGAACCCTTTTACACTGCTGGTGGGAATGTAAGTTAGCACAACCACTATGGAAAACAGTGTGGAGATTCCTTAAAGAACTAAAAGTAGACCTACCATTTGATCCAGCAATCCCACTCTTGGGTATCCACCAAAAGGAAAAGAAGGCATTATAAGAAAAAGATAGATGCATATGCATGTTTATAACAGCACATTTTGCAATTGCAAAGATATGGAACTAACCTCAGTGCCCAGCAACCAAGTGGATAAAGAAAATGTGGTGTATATACACCATTGAATACTATTCAGCCATAAAAATGAATGATACAATGTCTTTTCCAGCAACTTAGATGGAGCTGGAGGCCATTATTCTAAGTGAAGTAGCTCAGAAATGGAAAACCAAATATCATATGTTCTCTCTTATAAGTGAGAGTTAAAGCTACGAGGATGCAAAGGCATAAGAATGATAAAATGAACTTTGGGAACTCACAGGGAAAGGTTGAGAGTGGGGTGAGAGACAAACACTACATATTGGGTACACTGTGCACTTCTCCAGTGAAAATGCACTAAAGTTTCAGAAATCACCACTAAAGAACTTATCCATGTAACCAAAAACCACCTGTACCCTAAAAAACTGTTGAAATTAAAAAAATAAAAATTAAATCTCCTTAGATCCCTCCTTCTTTGAGCTACAGCCATTTTCCTGTGAACATTTTAAAACAAGCTTCTAGTCACTTGTTCAGCTCTCATGTTCTTCTCTGTGCAGTCTGGGCTAGTTGTCACCCCAGCCACTTGATTGAAGCCACCCTTCTCATGGCCACCAATGCTGTCCAGGGTGCCGAAGGAAGTGGTTGCTCCTCTTTGTTCATTTCAGCCCACCTCTCAGGGGCATATTATCCAGTGGTTCCTCCCTCATCTGTCAGACATACTATGTTCTCTCAGTTTCTGTATCACCCTACTCGCTTGCTGTTTCCTACCTCAAGGACTACTTCCTAGTCTCCTTGGCTATCTCTTCTCAACCCCCCAAATTTAGAGTGTCCCAAGCCTCTGTGGTAGACTCTTTCCTCTTTCATTTCGAAGCTTTAACTCCCAAATGTTATCTCCAGCACAAACTTTCCCATGACTTTCAGACTCATTTCAGGCTCAACTGCCTATCTGATAGTTCCTTAAGGATGTCTAATGGTCTAACACATCTCAAACTTAGCATGGCCAAATGAAAACACTTGGTTCCAGTTCTTCCCAATTTGGCTCTTTCCCTCATCTTTCCCATCTCAGTAAATTGCGCCAACCTCAGCCCCATTGCTCAAGTCAAATTACAAGAAGTCAACTTGAACTCTTCTCTGATCCCTCACACACAAATGTCACATTAGCTTTGCTCCTAAATAATGTGACTTTTCAAGTCACATTAGCTTTTCTTCTAAAATGGTTCCCAAATCTATCCACTTCTCCACCTCCTGTCTTCACAGCTGCCAATTTAGTCTGTATGACCTCCATTTTACACCTGGGCCATTGCAAGAGCCTCCTACCTCGCTCCCAGCTCCATCCCTGACTCTAATTACCATCTGTTCTCCTTAAATATGTAAGATAGGTTATGAACTTTCATGCCTAAACCTGCCACTAAGATTAAAAACACACTCCCAGCACTACAGGGAAGATACGGTCTGGATCCTGCCTCCCTTTCCAACTTCATCTTCTGCACTTCACTGTGCTCCAACCTTGATCATTTTTTTTCCTAACATACCAAGCTTATTTATACTTTAGGGCTTTTGCAGTAACCAGTGGGTTCCTCCCTTGCCTGGAACAAGTTCTCCCAGGTTTGCTCATGCCTGGTTCTTCTCCTTCAGGCAACAGCTCAGATGTCACCCAGGCAAGGATGCTGACCATTACCAGATGAGCTTCCAACACTCACCGTATGGATACTGCTGATGCTCAGCCTAGATCCTCCTGCAGTGAGTGTTGGCTGTTAAGGGCACACAGCTGCCCACCTTCTCTGGGAAATGACTCGCAATGTTCAGGAGCCACCTAACCATGAAGGAAATGGCCTTACTGAGGGCGGCTGAAAGGTGATGACTAGATAAGAGGCCCTGGAGTGTCTACAACCCTGCTGTATGGTTAATGCTCCAGAAGCCCTAATGCTCAGCCACGGCTAGACTCTACCCAAGACACATCCTGGCTTACCTCATTATCTCACATCCTTATAATTGTTTCCTGACAGTGTTCCCTCAATGACTCATGCACACCCAAATCCCCACCTCAGACCAGGCTTCTAAGAAGCTGGACTAAAGGCACACATCGCCCACCTTTTCTTTTTGTTTATTTTACAGCATGTATTATTATTTGAATTCATCTAGCAGATTTATTTGTTTGCTTATTTTCAGTCCTCTTATCTCACTATAAGTTCCTTAAAAGTAGGTGATCCATGTCCAGTACCCTTCAAGCCTAGCACCGTGCTTGGTACACAATGATATTACATGAGAAAATGAAAGAATGAACAAAAGACTGCATGCAAAGCCAGCCACACATATTACGTGACTGACTAGCAAAATGCCTGTCTTTTGGCACAAAGGTAAAAAGTGAACACATGGCCTGGGTCGTTACCCTTCCCTTCACAGATGTCAATTTGAATTAATTTAGGACAGTCACATAACTTCACCACTCAAAAGATATTTCTCCCAATGGGTGTTCACAAGCCAATGTATATTATGAGTGATTTATTTCTCAATTTGAGGATAAGCAACTTCTAGGCATAGACTGGAACGTTTCTATTTTTGCAGAAAACATCAAGAATAGTATCATTCCACAAATATGTGTGCTTGATGCTCCAATTACTATTGATAATGATGATTATAATAATAATAATTATCTTTGCTAGCATGTTCTATGCCTTATATATTTATATATGTACTATCTGCTATACATAGATTATCTTCTTGAATCCTTGAAACAACCCTGTAAATGAAGTGGGAACCAGCCCAGCTTTACAAATGAGGGTAATGAAGTTCAGGGCATTTAAATAACTTGCCCAAGATCAGCCAGCCGGAAAGGATTAGAGTCAAATAATTCCAGCACATGTGTCTAGTTTTATGAGCAAACGGGTCCTGTTTAGACGGAAGGTGGTGGGATTGTGCATCCCTCTTTTAATTGTTGCATGAGTTTAGTTGCAAGAGATAGATAACCCAACCCAGAATGGCTTGAGCAAAAAAGGCTTCTGTGATTCTACATCTCATGTAAATTAACATGCAGTGGTACTGTCCGGGGAGCCTCTGACACCAGGTGTTGCTGGACCCAGGAGCTCAAGCAATGTCACTAGGGTCTGCTATTCCTCCCTTTCTCAGAGTTATCTCCATGCCCAGACAGCATCTCCCCACGTGGTATTGGGATGCCTTCTGTAGGTCAAGCTCACACCTTCCTACATTCACTGCAGTGGCATTTCCTGGAAGCCCTAGTGAAATTCTTGTGTTTCCCTACATCTGCATGGGTAGCATATCCACCCCCAGATCCACCCCTGCATCTAGAAGAATGCAAAGCCCTGACTGGCCAGGACTGAGTCACACACTCACACTTGGACTAGACTGAGAAGGGAAGGGGATGTATTTCTTCAGCTGAAAATCCAGGTGCCCTGAGCGAAAGAAAGGCAAATCATTGTCAAAACCAGGGGATGGGCCGGGCACAGTGGCTCACGCCTGTAATCCCAGCACTTTGGGAGGCCGAGGCGGGCAGATCACGAGGTCAGGAGATTGAGACCATCCTGGCTAACATGGTGAAACCCCATCTCTACTAAAAATACAAAAAGAAATTAGCCGGTCGTGGTGGCGGGCGCCTGTAGTCCCAGCTACTCGGGAGGCTAAGGCAGGAGAATGGCGTGAACCCGGGAGGCAGAGCTTGCAGTGAGCCGAGATCGTGCCACTGCATTCCTGCCTGGGCGACAGAGTGAGACTCTATCTCAAAAAAAAAAAAAAAAAAAAGAAAGAAACAGGGGATGCCTGGATGCCCATAAAAATGCTTCCCACTTCCATGATCAATTGACTCATCTGCCACTGGCCAGCTCAGTTTACCTTGAGTTTATTTCTCTGGGAGACACCCTTCTTCTCAGACACCCATGATATGTTGTGTGTGGACTAATATACCTCACTCGGATAGACCAGGGAAAGTCTGATGCCATGTGCCACACCATAGCTCTCTGGCCAGCTGCTAAAACATCAGAGTGGGCTCTTGAAGAATCTGCTCAAGAAATTGCTTTTTTATGGTACCTGGGATCTCAATAAGGCTCAAAGCTAAAATTCCTGTTGAGAATTAAACAATATAAACAGGCCGGGCGTGGTGGCTCACGCCTGCAATCCCAGCCCTTTGGGAGGTCAAAGCGGGTGGATCACCTGAGGTCAAGATCCTGTTTGAGACCAGCCTGGCCAACACAGTGAAACCCCGTCTCTACTAAAAATACAAAAATTAGCTAGACGTGATGGTGCACGCCTGTAATCCCAGCACTTTGGGAGGCTGAGGCAAGAGGATCACCTGAGGTCAGGAGTTCAAGACCAGCCTAGCCAACATCGCGAAACTCCATCTCTACTAAAAATACAAAAACTACCTGGGTGTGGTGGCGTGATCCTGTAATCCCAGCTACTAGGGAGGCTGAGGCAGGAGAATCACTTGAATGCTGGGAGGCGGAGGTTGCCATGAGCCGAGATTGTGCCACTGCACTCCAGCCTGGGCAACAGAGCAAGACTCTGTTTCTAAATAAATAAATAAATGGATTTTACTCTGGATACCCAGAATTAGCTACAGCTATGTCACACGGCAACCTTACCTAGACAACACAACTATATCACTCAAGTGCCCACCATGTCATTCCGCCACTGCGTGTCCTCTGCTCCCTTCTTGTCTGTGCATCCTTTAGGAGGGCAAGACAGATGGTGAGCAAACTAACAAATGGACATGATGATTGCAGATAGTATAATCGTATGTGCTAAGTGGCTGAGGCAGGAGAATCGCTTGAACCCCAGAGGCGGAGGTTGCAGTGAGCTGAGATTGCACCACTGCACTCCAGTCTGGGGGACAGAGTGAGACTCTGTCTCAATAAATCAATCAATCAGTAGTACAAGTCAAGCCCCTGACATGTTTTGTTTGAAACCCACACCCATCTCTCTCCTTATGGAATAGCACTTCTTCCTTTCTTTCACCAGCCATGTGGTTTGGTGGTATTAACTCGCTGCCCACAGCAGAGGTGGTCCTGGACTGATCTAAGCCACTCCACCCTCCCCAAGGACATAGCAATTGGTTCTTGAATAGTGTTTACCTCAATGATAGTCAATGAGCGATAAGGAGATATCTCCTGATGCTTCTGTAAAAGAGAACCCTCTTCCTCTGTTTTTCCCCCTCTCTCTCCAAGTGTGTTGTTTGAAAATGTAGAATCTGGAAATGCTGTAGCTGTTTTACTATCAAGAGTGCTGAGTGCTGAATCTGTAGAACAGAGATGGGATGGGTTTGGGGGTGGAGTGAGGGACAGGTGAAGGTTGAGGACACGTAAAGTCATAAGATTGCCAGGTATAAACACAGATAAACAAAATATTTTATGTACCATGCAAAATGTCCCATGTAGTTTTAGAACATAATTGCATTAAAATTATTTATTATTCATCTGAAATTCAACTGGCCATCTTATATTTTTATTTTCTGAATTTGCAACTATATAAAGCTGACACTGTAGAAGGCACAGTCATGAGAGGAAGAGAAATCAGATTCCTCCTGGGGCACCAGCTTCAGCCACTGGGTCAAACCTTGAGTGAACACATCAGTAAAAGGAAATAATCAACTCTCTTGTCGGTTTAAGCTTGAGCTGGGTGTTCTGTGTCTTGCCCCAAAAACAGTCCTGATGTATTAGTCCATTCTCACACTACTATAAAGAAATGGCTGAGGCTGCATAATTATAAAGAAAAGATATTTAATTGGCTCACCGTTCTTCAGGCTTTACAGGAAGCACAGTGGCTTCTGTTTCTGGGGAGACCCCAGGAAACTTAGAATCATGCAGTCGCGGTGGAAGGTGAAGGGGGACCAGACACGTCTCACATGGCTGGAGCAGGAGGAAGAGAGAGCGGGGGAGGTGCCACACACTTTTAAACAACCAGATTTTGTGAGAACTCTATCGTGAGAACAGCACCAAAGGGACAGTGCTAAACCGTTTGTGAAGGATCCACCCCCACGATCCAATCACCTCCCACCAGGCTCTACCTCCAACTCTGGGGATTACAACTTGACATGAGATTTGGTTGGGGACACAGATCCAAATCATACCACCTAACTACTACATATGGACAGCCTAGGGTGAGATGAAAATTCAAGGCCAGGAAGACTGGAATGCAACCTGGCTAACATCTGTAAAGAAATATCATATAAATCAGAAGAGGATGAGGCTATGGGGGGAAATGAGAAAGGAGGAACAAAGAAGTGTGCCTTGGCGGTGCCTGTGCTGGATGTGGTCAGTAGAGACCCGTCTCCACGACAGATGTACCCCTCTAAGGATAAGCAAATCCCCCTAACATTCACTGAGTCCTAGCATGTCCCAAAGCACGGCGTTAAGCTCTTTACAGACATAATCTCATTTAATACTCTCCCAAATCTATAATTTAGATACTCATATTTATCCCCATTTGATTACTGAGGGATCTGAGGCTTAGAGGGATTAAATAACTTGAGCAAGTCCTACTAAGTGACAGAGCTGGGATTGAACCAAGTCACTTGAACCTCCTGCTTAACCACTCTGCACTTCTCAAGGACGCTAAGAAGCACAGACACCGTTTTATAAATCCTTTTTAATTTTTGTGTGGATATATAATAGTTGCACATATTTGGGCACGCATGTGATATATTGATACTGGTTTACAATGTGTAATGATCAAATCAGAGTAATCGGGATGTCCATCACCTCAAACATTTATGTTTTCTTTGCTCTGGGAACACTACACATCTTTTCTCCTATTTTGATTCCGATGTATTCTTTCAATTTTCTGATTTTTTTGGTTGTCCATAACTCCCCGAATGTGGAGAAAGTCCTGGCTAGAGGATACGTGTATTTAGGCATCTTGGGCCCTGCATCTCCCACAGTAAATTAAGACGTTGGTTCTATTGATACACCAAGTCCGTTTTTGCTTTATCCAAGGAAGTCAGCATCCTTATGCCTGGTCACTGCTGAATCAGAAAGGTTTCCTTTTTCCTTTTGGGCTTTTACGTTGTTCACTGACTTCCAGTTCTTTTCAGATAGCTTTTTAGATTCAAAAGGATTTGGTAGGAAGTTAATTTTTTGCTACTGTGCCTGTATTTCTCCCCATGTTAATTCCCGTGGAAGGACTCACCAGAGCCAGTCTCCCCTGGAAGTGCATCCACTGAGTTAGGAATATTTAAGTTTACATGAAAGTAGGTCCCTCCCCATGCCACAAAAGAAAAGAAAAGAGAAAGGCAGCCCCCAGATAGCACCAGAAATGATCCAACTGAACCTATGCTTCTTTTGCAAGATGCTGAGTTCAGTTGAGACATGGAGGAGAAAACTCACTGCTGGCTGGTAAGCCTAAGGTATCCCCTTTGCTCAGTGTCAGAAATAGTAGGTATAAAGCCCAGTGGACAGACACAGTTGATCAAGAAATATTTATTTATTTGTTTTTCTGTAACTCAACTTAATTACTTTTCTAAGACGCTATTTTCTATGGGTTGGCTGGAAATTAACCTCAGTCTCTTTGTGTTTGCTTCTGAGGTCATGTAAAAGGTTGAAGTGAATGAGCTCATAGTGCTCAGGCTTTGGGTGGGGTGCGCACATCTAGTCCTCAAGTTGTCTGCCATTTAGCTACTGGACGACCACTGTCTCAGTCATTTGGCCACATGATTCAAGGCTTTCTGGTAGTTTCTAGGCAATACTGAGGAATGTAGAATCTTTTTTTTTTTCAATTATCACATTATTTTTTATTTTTATTTATTTTATTTTATTATTATTATTTTACTTTACGTTTTAGGGTACATGTGCACAACATGCAGGTTTGTTACATATGTATACATGTGCCATGTTGGTGTGCTGCACCCATTAACTCGTCATTTAGCATTGGGTATATCTCCTAATGCTATCCCTCCCCCTCCCCCCACCCCACAACAGTCCCCAGTGTGTGATGTTCCCCTTCCTGTGTCCATGTGTTATCATTGTTCAATTCCCACCTATGAGTGAGAACTTGCGGTGTTTGGTTTTTTTGTCCTTGCGATAGTTTCCTGAGAATGATGGTTTCCAGCTTCATCCATGTCCCTACAAAGGACATGAACTCATCCTTTTTTATGGCTGCATAGTATTCCATGGCGTATATGTGCCACATTTTCTTAATCCAGTCTATCGTTGTTGGACATTTAGGTTGGTTCCAAGTCTTTGCTATTGTGAATAGTGCCGCTATAAACATACGTGTGCATGTGACTTTATAGCAGCATGATTTATAATCCTTTGGGTATATACCCAGTAATGGGATGGCTGGGTCAAATGGTATTTCTTGTTCTAGATCCCTGAGGAATCGCCACACTGACTTCCACAATGGTCGAACTAGTTTACAGTCCCACCAACAGTGTAAAAGCGTTCCTATTTCTCCACATCCTCTCAGCACCTGTTGTTTCCTGACTTTTTAATGATTGCCAGAATGTAGAATCTTTCTGAGAGACAATTCTGGGTCTTATCTTCCTGGCTTCACCACCAGCTAGTGATCTGGATTCTTGCTGCTTCCCACTTAGGAAGAAGTTTCACCAGGAACCTTGAGGAGCAAAACTCATCTTCTCTCTTTTATTATCCAACACCCAAGGAAATTGCTCCTCCACCTCAGGTGGGAGGAGCAAAGCCCACACCCAATCCTCTGCTTTTAGACAAAACATTTTGCCCACAGCCTATATTATTCCTCCTTCTTTATTGGGCTGAGATGGTATGTTTATGTCCCAGCTCCATCTTTTGGTTTTATTTTAAACAATCCTGCATTTCTAAGGTTTTGTGAATTTGAAATATAAAAGCCAGAAAGGATCTTAACTACTCATGTAGATCCAGATACACAAATTATTATTGAACATGTATATGATTTGAATATACATATTTTAGCTAGGCTAAACCAAACTGCTCTAACAAGTAAGTCCCCAAATGCAATGTCTCAAACACAATAGGGGTTTATTTTTCATAAAAGTATAGGGTGGGTGTTCCAGTTACCAAGGAACTCCCATCCACAGGGTGATTCAAGAGCCTAGGTTCCTTCCACCTTGTGTTTCTGCCTTCCCACAATACCTCATTGTTGCCTGATGATCAAGGGGTCACTGCATCCACGGTCCAACTAGCAGAAGTAGAAAAAGAACATGGAGTAGACTCACTTGCTCTCTGAAAGGCCCTGGTCCTGAAATAGGACACATTATTCCCTCCTATTCCATTCTTAGACACATGACCACACCCCACAGCAAAGGAAGCTGGGAAATGTTTTCCAACTTTGTGGCCCGAAAGAAGAGGAGCATGGAGTTAATTGAGAGCCATACGTTGTCAAAAACACTAACTTAAATACTCATGCTGCATGCAACTCCTCTAACCTATTTAGTCTTCAAAAAGAAACAAATTTGAACGAGCTTTAAAGTTTAGGGGCTTAGTATAAAATTGAATGCCGAGATGCCTGCAGGCAAACAGGAACACTTTAGAGTTTTTTATCCATCCTTCCTCGGGTAAGGGATATGATAATTAACTCAAAGCAGAAGAGTTTCAATGACCAAGGGTCTCCGTAACAGCTTCCCTTTTCTCTCTTCTTTTTTTTTTTTTTTTTTTTTTTTTTGAGACAGTGTCTCACTCTGTCGCCAGGCTGGAGTTTAGCGGTGCAATCTCGGCTCACTGCAACTTCTGCCTCTTGGATTCAAGTGATTCTCCTGCCTCAGCCTCCCGAGTAGCTGAGATTACAGGCGCACACTACCACACCCGGCTAATTTTTTTGTATTTTAGTAGAGACGGGGTTTCACCGTGTTGCCCAGGCTGGTCTCGAACTCCTGAGCTCAGGCAACCCACCCACCTCAGCCTCCCAAAGTGCTAGGATTACAGGCGTGAGCCACGGCGCCCAGCTTTCTCTTCTTTAGTCTTGCTCAGTGTTTCCAAATTTTAGCATGCATGGTGATTGCTGCACAAGGCTGCACAGTGAACCATGCAAAATAAAACGTATGTGCAACTAAGCACATCTTCAGAATGAATTTTGATTATACACAATACCACCGTACGCACCTGCTGACATAAACTGCCTCTATTTAAAACATTATTCCTCTGCACAAGGAAATCCTGGGCATGGAAATAGTATGATTTGGTATCTCACTACATTCTCCCACTTCATGAGCATGGATAGGTAAGAACTGCCCCAAAAGACCAGAGCCAGACTCCAGTGGAGCTCATGTTCTTGTCTTTGGAGGGCTTGGTCATCCTCCCCAGACTCAGCCACTGGAACAATCCCATGCGTGTGGGCAGCTCTGTCATTAAATCACTTTGAACAAACCCCTAGAGAAAATGAGTGAATCACACATTGTATTAAGCATGAGTGGATGTTCTATCTAAGAGGAAGGACAGTTGAAGTCCTCACAGCTGTTTATCCACCACGCACAGGGGTGTTCTGGTTCATCCCAAAGCCTTGTCAGAGATACAGGAGGATCAGAGTTAGGAAGGATTGGCGCTGTTGAGGAAATTGAAGTGAGTGCTGGTCTCCACGCAATTTACACGAATAATAAATTGTTTTACTCTGTAGGTAATTCCAAAAGAAGAATTTCCAGGAATATATTGAGCAATAAAATAGATAACTTTCTCTTTAATGGAAACAGATGAGAACTTTGAAGGACCTAGAACGTATCTGCATAAAATTGTGATACATACATTGTGATGTCAGTCTCATTTTCTTAGCCATGAATTCCTTTGCCCTGTTGGCTTCTGGTTGGGCTCGGTCATTGAGAAGAGCCAGAGGAGGTGTGAGGGCAGGAGGAGGCTGTAATTGGGGTATTTGCTACCCCGCCTGCATTCTTGCAGGGTTTCCCTTGACGTCTCCATTGCTGTCTCCTTGATGTCTCCATTTGGGGCATCTGGCACCCAGCCTACCTCCTTGCAGAGTCTCGTCTGGGTGGCTTGCTCCTCTGATTGGAGGTCTCAGCGGGGTACGCCCACCTCCTCTACAAGGCTCTCTCTGGTCTCTGGATTCTGGTAATGACATTCTCCCCTTGCCCTTTAAGGTCACGGGGCCTGCTGTTCCTGCCCTTGTCACACCCTGCTAACATTTTTGTTAAGCTCTTGTTAAACTTGCTTCAAATTATCCTGAGTGTGCCGTCTGCTTCCACTGGGACCCTGGCTGATCCACGGTTCCTTTTCCAAATGTGGTTCTCAGATGTTCACAGCGATTCTGTGAGCTACTCGGGGTCTTTTCAATTAAACTCTTTTTCTGTCTCCATCGGCCGAAGTAAATATCTGTTATTGTAACTGAGACTCCTGACTGACATGGAAATGGATAAATCTCCCTTGGGCAGGAGCCTTGACTGTCTACCTGCGCTATTACCAAGACTGGCACTTAGTAGGGATTCAATATATATTTGTCGAATGACTAAATGAATAAGTGAATGAATGAATGAATGTCAACCTTACCTGGACAACACAACTGTCACCCAAGTACCTGCCACCTCATTCCCTCACTGCGTGTTCTCTGTTCCCTTCTTTCTTGTCTGTGCATCCTTTAGGAGGGCAAGACCGATGGTGAGCAAACTAACAAATGGGCATGATAATTGCAGATAGTATAATAGTATGTGCTAAAAATCATTCTTTAAGCAACTGCAAGGTGCCTAGATATGAAGGAGGATGGGAGCTCATGAAGTCAAGGGAGACTTGGAAGGCACCTTAGGGTATCTGTAGGAAGTGCCAATTGTAAACATGATTTTTTAAATTTACAATTCAGTGCCCATTCAATATTGTAAAACATTACAAAGCATCTACGCTGGCCCAGGCTCCTGGCAGGTCCCAAGCTGATTTCATTATTGCTTAATGAGCTGTATACAATATCCCGGGATCTTTGAGGATGAGATAGTTCCTCTGATCACCGACATCACCTGAAAAGAAATTTTAAGTGCCACGTTTTCTTTATCCAGTCTATCACTGATGGGCACTTGGGTTGATTCCATGTCTTTGGTGTTGTGAACATATGCCTACATGGGTCTTTATAATAGAATGATTTATATTCCTTTGAGTATATAAAGTGGTACATATACACCATGGAATACTATGCAACCATAAAAAAAGAACAAGACTATGTCCTTTTCAGGAACATGGGTGGAGCTGGAGGCCGTTATCCTTATAGCAAAGTATTGTGGAAACAGAAAAGCAAATACTGCATGTTCTCACAATGATGACAACAGATGGGCACAGAGAGGGGAACAGCAGACGATAGGGTCTAACAGAGGGTGGAGGGTGGAGCGGGGGAGCAAATTGGGAAAAATAACTAATGGATACTAGGCTTAATACCTGGGTGATGAAATAATCTGTACAACAAACCCCCATGACCCAAGTCTACCTGTGTAACAAACCTGCACTTCTACCCCTGAACTTAAAAGTTAAAAAAAAATTTTAAGTGAGTACTCTAATAAAAAAAAAAAAATCAGCCCCTGTTTCTATGTTTGTTATGTAGCAGTAAATAGCAATTGAGGGGATCTAGCAATTTCAGAAATTTCCATGCTACAGTACCAGGATGTTATGCATTGGATTTGAAAGTTAATCCATTAGTGTTACCGTTGTTTTACTTTTCGGATATTTTACTTGCAAGGAAGAATGACATCCCTATTTTAAGACTTTCTGCAGAAGTCCTTTCGTGAGAGTTCAGTTAATTAGTGTGGGATCAGCAGATCATATTGAGTTTATTATCATAAAGTTGATAGAGAAACCAGCCACCTATGACACGGTTTCAGCATTAAGTGAACAAACGCTATTTTCTTCAGCAAACGTTTCAGCAAATAAAGATTCCTCAGCAGCAGTCAGTTTTAAAATTCCGAGTTAAAATTACTGAGAATTATTAGATATTCCAATCTATGTGAAAGCGCTTTGCTACTCTTTGTAGAAGACTTAGTTAATGATATCGAGGTAGAGAACAATGATAGCTTTGGCTTGAATTTTATGCTAAAGGCATGCAAATATTCAATCATTGCAACCTTACTTATCTATTAAGGTATAATTGCCATTTGGGAGCTTTGTTGCCTTCCAAGTACCCGAGTTTCATGTTTTTTCAAGTTTTATTATTATTATCATTATAAAAAAAAAAAAAACCTGCTCATTGAAGCTGGCAGCCTCCAACTTCAGCAATGCTTTTCTATCCAGCCAGAATTAAAAGCTATGGGGCATATCGTTTTCTATTTCCTTGCCAGCCACCTCCTCACCTGGACTTCAGATGGTGAGGGGGCACCCCCCTATTAACATTACAAAGGGAAAGGACAGCAGAACCCTCGTTGGGCTGAGAACCTGACTGTTCTCTCCATTCTGAAGAACACTGTGTCTCTCGTTTGTTCCACAGTCGTGTGACTCTTACCAGCATGATTTGTAGCAACGTCTTGTCTCCTGTCTTTGTGAAGACAGAATGAGAAGCCACAGAACACTATTACAGGTGAGAAAGCTGCTGAGGATTTGGCTTTTATGGTCATCCAAATGCTGGAAAAGTCATGTAGTCGCCAAATCCAGAGCATGACCTATTTCAATACCATTTCCCACGGTAGATAGACTGTCGTGTGCTGAGAATCCCTAAAGCCAGAGAGGGACAAGTTGGGCGTTTGGTCTAGTTGTCCCTTATAAATGGCACCATTTTGGAACCAGATCGTGACACTCACCATGGCAAATGTGAGAACTGCCCACTCATGCTCCAAGGCCCGAAATGTAGAAAAACTCTATAAATCCCAACCCCAACGACTAACCCCAAATTTGAAGAGTTAGAAAGATATAAATTGACAGCAATTTGTGTACTTCCCAAAGAAAACCTGTACATTGACTCTCAGAATTTTAACCTTAGCAATATCCCGATATATACTTTGCAGAAAATAAAATCAGCTACTTAGAAGGCTTTTGAAACATCTTTTTGATTAAGGAGGAAGAAACATAACAAGAAAATCCGTATTATAGCTGGTACAGTTTTCATACCTTTGATACCAGCTTAATGAACAGAAAATAAATGACTGGATGAGTATATAATTTATTCTGAACCTTAAAAAGGCCCTTCATTTCCAGTAAATGAACTCAACTAGCATATTGCTGAAGAATAATGCATTGGGTATGTAACTTTTTCCTATTGCCACAGAAGATATGTCTGTCTTACATATCAAAACATATCAATCCTCTTGATACCATGTGCCTACTTTCTATCTTTTTTTTTTTTTTGAGATAGAGTCTTGCTCTGTCGCTCAGGCTGGAGGACAGTGGTGTGATCTCAGCTCACTGCAATCTCTGCCTCCCAAGTTCAAGAGACTCTCCTGCCTCAGTCTCCCGAGTAGCTGGGATTATAGCTGGGATATAGCATGCACCACCACATCCGGCTCATTTTTGTATTTTTAGAAGAGACAGGTGTTCACGATGTTGGCCAGGCCGGTCTCAAACTCCTAACCTCAAGTGATCCACCTGCCTCGGCCTCCCAAAGTGTTGGGATTACAGGTGTGAGCCACTGTGTCCAGCCCCCAGGTGCACACTTTCATCTGTGACCTGTTGAGTTATTAACCCATTCCTTCCCGTCAGGTTCAGCTTCTCTTTCCACCAGCTTTGGCCTCTTATGTGTAAAAGCAGAGCGGCCGTGGTGCTCAGCCTTGGTGCTGTTAGGCCAGCATGCGTCATTCCGCCTTTCTCTTCTCGTGGACACTCCTCCCCAGATTTTGAGTATTGCCTCTGTTTCCTCATTTTTAATTTTTATCTTCTATATACTCACAGCTGATGTTGAGTATGTGTAGAAGGAACAGGTTCTGTTCTTGTGACTCAAGACAGCAGCAATATTCGGTTTACAGTCTGCACATGAGCATAACTTTCGGTGGATGTGCAGACTTACTTTGTGATAGGAAAACTTCAAATGCTTATAGGAGCCAGTGGATGCTGTGAAGTGGGCCGGGGTGGGGAGAGGGTCCAACATGACAAACCACGCAACTACGTCTTCTAGTTCATGGGGCAGCTGCCTCTCAGTGCAGACAGATGACGTCATGCCAGAAGTGTACCCAAGAGTGGCAGATTTTCTAGTTTTTTCGTAAAAGCCAGAATTGTGTATTTTTACATGAAACATCTTTATTTATAGGGTGGCGACTAACTCTGTTTCTTTTAAAACACCAGGCTGACCAAACAAAACACATCTGCAGGCAGATCTGCTTTCCAGGATGCCTGTTTTCACGTTCTGGTTTGCATTCTGTCTGTTTTCTTCTTTCTCTACCGTCTGATTTCCCACTCATTTTTAGCCACCACGGTGCTGGGGCCTGCCCTGCTGGCCACTCTCACTGCCTTTTACAAACACATCACAACCCATAAATATAGGAAAAATGGAAGTTATTAATGTCTCAGCTGATATCAGAAATCCGCCAAGGGAGAGAGCAATCTTTATTCCAAAAAAAAAAAAAGTTCTAATATAATAAAAAGAATATTGGCTGCACACAGATGTTTATAGCAGCTTTATTCATAATTGCCAAAACTTGGAAGCAACCAAGATGTCCCTTAATGGATGAAGAAATAAACTGTGGTACATACATACAATGGAATAATATTCAGCACTAAAAATAAATGAGCTATCGAGCCATAAAAATACATGGAAGACACTGAGAGTCATATTCCTAAGTGGAAGAAGCCAGTCTAAAGCTATAGCTACACACTGTATTGATCCAAGTATATGACATTCTGGAAAAGATAAAACGGTGGAGATAATGAAAACATCGGTAGTTGTTAGGAGTTGGGGGAGGGAGGGTTGGATAGGTGGAACACAAATTTTTACGGCAGTGAGACTGTTCTGTGGGATACTATAATGATGGATACATGATACTATGCTTTGTGTATATAGAACTATACACTACAAAGAGTGAACCTTAATACAAACTATGGACTCTAGTTATTAGTAATATATCAGGATTGATTTTTCTGTAAAATAAGCATTAATTAAAAGAATATGGGCTTAGAATTTGAAGTAAACTAAGCTCCTGTTAAATTCTGTGAGCTTTAATGTCCTCACAAAAGAACACCAGGCCGGGCGTGGTGGCTCACACCTGTAATCCCAACACTTTGGGAGGCAGAGGCAGGTGGATCACCTGAGGTCAGGAGTTTGAGACCAGCCTGGCCAATATGCTGAAGCCCCATCTCTACTAAAAATACAAAAATTAGTCAGGTGTGGTGGCCCACACCTGTGATTCGAGGTACTCGGGAGGCTGAGGCACGAGAATCACTTGAACCTGGGTAGTGGAGATTGCAGCAAGCTGAGATTGCACCACTGAACTCCAGCCTGGACAATAGAGCAAGACTCTGTCTCAAAAACAAAACAAAACAAAACAAAACAAAAATAAAACAAAAAACAAACAAACATAAAAAAACACCACCACTTAGTCGGATGGGTTTTGTGAGTGCTAAATACAAATACTCTCACAAGGCCTTTGCATGGGTGTTTACAATTTCAAACTTTTATCTTTCTAGCCATAGCGTAAGCATTGTCTATGCACCGTAGGAGCAAGAAGTTTGCTGAATGAACAAATGAATAAGAGACCTTGTTCCTTTTTGTTTGTTTTTTTTTTTTTTTTTTTTTTTTGAGACAGAGTCTCGCTCTGTCGCCCAGGCTGGAGTGCAGTGGCGCGATCTCGGCTCACTGCAAGCTCCGCCTCCCGGGCTCACGCCATTCTCCTGCCTCAGCCTCCCGAGTAGCTGGGACTACAGGCGCCCGCCACCACACCCGGCTAATTTTTTTGTATTTTTAGTAGAGACGGGGTTTCACCGCGTTAGCCAGGATGGTCTCGATCTCCTGACTTTGTGATCTGCCCGCCTCGGCCTCCCAAAGTGCTGGGATTACAGGCGTCAGCCACCGCACCCGGCCGGAATAATTTTTTTCATTGTTCATGGGCTCATTTCCCTCACTGTTGCTCCAGTCCTTGGAAGAATGACTATCAACATAGCACCTCCGTCCAACACAGAACCCCCCAAACGCACTTCCTCCCCCTGAGATTCTAGGTATATACCTAAGCCAGGTACCCACTTCATTTACCAAAGAAAATAAAATCAATGAAAATGAGAACACTTAAACAGTTAATTAAAATGCCAAGATGTAGCATTAATAGAAGTAATTATCTAAGGTGTATTCAATCAGTTGTTAACTAAACCAATAAAAAGTTAATCAAGAGTAATTTGCTATTTGATATTGACGTTTTATATTTCTCATTCATGCTAAAGAAAATCCCATTAAAGAATCTAATTTACTTTGCATTAAATTCGCCTTTACAAGAATTGAAATCAAATCTTGCCAGATGATAATAATGAAAGCAGCAAAATCATTGTGGAGATGAAGCCCTGTGTTAGGAAGGAAATAAGCCAAAGGCCAAACTGTTTCCAGTCGTTCTAATCTGGTTTGCAAAAAATATATCTGTTGCAAAAAAAATATTGTTTACACATGCTGCATGCATGTGTAAAGAATAGGACAAGGTTAAGCCGGACTCTGCACCCCCAGAGCTTCTAACCTATACAAACATATCCACAGATATCAAGTAATTATGCCACATATGCAAATGTATGCAAAGTATGCTTACCCTGCAATTGCAGTATAGTAAAAATAATAATAATAATAATAGACTTGTTCATAAATCCAAGGTCTGATTCTCATGGATACAAACTTAAAAATCCTCGTGTAAAATAGAATCAGAAATACTACAATGAATAATGAAACGAAAGTGCTTTCAGTCACTACAAATAGAAGGGTCCATTTGCTTACATTACATCTGATAAAGCACTTAATGATTGGTACTATAGCTCATTTATTTTTGACCTGAGAAGGCTAAAGTATATGTGTGTGCACACGTGTGTGTACACATACGTGTTTGCTTTGCTTTGCCTTGTGTTGGAGAGCTAACTCCAACCACTGGTTTTTAACAGCATTATGAAGCTATATCTAGACTTTGCAGCAAAAATGGGATCCATTAGCAATGACATAAACAGACAAGATGTGGGAGCAGGCAGCCCGCAGCCTGAACTTGCTGCCTCTGGCTTAGAAATACTGCCTCTCTTACTGGACTGAACCGTCCTCAAGCCTGTTGTTTTATTCACTTGTATATTCTTATTTCCTAGCATTTTGGAAGAGCTCAATAACAGTTTAAACGATTAAAGAACTTATCAGTGGACTTCATTAGAAATAAAATCTCAGGGATAATTACCGAAAATAAGAAAAAATAGTGCGTAACTTCTTAAAAAAGAAGAAGAAAAATTGAAGGAAGAGAGAAAAATTTCATCCAAAGAAAAACAAAACAGAGAAGAAATAAATTAAGCTTTAAAAGCCTGGGTAAATAGAAATCAAAAATAAATAATAAATTGAAAAGCACAAAAAATGAATTCAAATATACAAGTGGTGATAACCCATGAAAATGAATTAAATTCTACATTTAAAAGACCAGTGTTGTCAGGGAAGAAAAACTAAAAAATAAGGACATAAAAATATTGAAAATAAAAGCTTGGAAAGTTATATACTATACTAATCAAATTCTAACCAAAAGAAAGTTGGTGTAAATATATAATTATCAAGAAAATCAGACTTTAAAGCAAAAGGTCTACGTAGACATAAAAATGGTCACTAGCTATCTATCCATATGCCTGCATTCTATGCACTCACTGTGTGCATAAATGTCAAAATAATATGCTTCTACAACTTTGCTCCTCTTCTTGGTTGAAAACAACTTTATTAGACATAAGGAAGCCCATTGAATAATGGAGGGTTAAACTGTAGAAACTGTCAATGAGAGAAGTTGTAAAACCCCATTCTTCTGAAGTCCAAGAAACCTAAGAAAATAGGGCCAAGGGCCATTTTTGGAAGGGCATTATGGTTTAGGGACTCTAGTGTCTCAGTGGAGATCCTTGAGAATACTTAGAATGAATGCCACTAAGTGCCCCTTGGCCGAATCCCCAGGGTCAGTTGCTTAATATTCAAGGGATTTTGCTCTCACACACAGAAGAGCCCTCAGAATAGTGCAATTACAGGGTCCAATGCATTTTTTTCTGTTGTTTAAATACATTTTGTCTCCCTTTCATGCACACATCTTATAATTATGGACACCTAATATGTGCCATCCATTCAGCAAGTATTTTTGATAATCTCCTCTCCAAGCATTCTATTAGGAACTGAAGACTACTGTTTTGTTATCAAAATGTAAACAAAACATGCATAGTCTATGCCCTTGTGAAGCACAGTATCTGGCAGGAAAGATAGATCTTAATCAAATAATTACAGAAATAAATATAAAATTTTATCTATGACAAGTGCTATGAAGGAGAGATATAAAACCAGAAGAACTATCATTGTTGAGGTTGGCTTATTAAGAGAAGTCAGAGGAGACTTCTCCAAGGAAGTGGTGCTTAATCAGAGATGTAAAGGATGAATGGGAGGGAACCAGGATAACAGGGGAGGGAGAGGGTGTTCTAGGCTGAGGAAATAGCATACACAAAGAATCTGCCGTAGGAGAGGGCATGCAGACACAGATCAGAAAGCAGGTCGGTGGGGCCAAAGAAGAGAGCAAAGAAGAGTGTTGTGCCGGTGTGTATGGAGAAGAGCGAAACATATGTGTCATTCAGGGTCTCATGGAAGAATTTTGCCGTTCCAAGGCAATCAGATTATTTGTTTTATGCCGTTGCATTGTTTGAACTCCTTATAAATTTTTGTAATTAATCCCTTGTAAGATGGATAGTTTGCAAATATTTTTCTCCCATTCTATGGATTGTCTCTTCACTTGTTGATTGGAAAGTTGGTTGTTTTGGAGTTTTTTTCTTTCCTTTTTTTTTTTTTTTTTTTTGAGGTAAGAGGGCTGAAGCATGGTAAGGGCCTTTCCTGGCTGGAGTATAAATAACATATTATTGAATAAGATTTAGAGTTGGAAATGCCAATTAGTAAACTATTTATATCACCCAAACACAGGCAGGAGAAAATGGCAGCATGAATGAGGGAGTTTGTGGGTTGCGATGGACGTGATGGATATAGAGGGAAAGGTTTGGACTAAACTGGGATTCAGAAGGCAGGATAAAGAGGATTTGGTGATGGATGGACAGGGAGATTGAGGAGATGTCTCAGAAGCCTCAGGCTATGGCTTCAACACCTAGCTAGAAGGTGTTGTCTTCCTCTGAGACAGAAAACCTGAAGCGGACCAAGTTTCTGGTGGAAGAGCATCGGCTGAGGCATGAGTATATTGAGCTCTCAGTGCCTTAGGAATTAGACATTAAGTGCAAGTATGAACACGTTCCAGCGCCTCAACCTTGAAGAGTTCTATCTTGGAAGACAATGTCTTTAAAAGGACAATGATAACGCAAGTGAATTTAACATTCAAAATCATAAAGCTTTTTATGATTTTTAAATCACGAAGAAATCATTCTGCATGCTGGTCCTAACAACCTTCTTCATTCTTCCTTTATATGCTGTTATAGTTTGAAAACAATATATGGTCTAGGTTGATACATCCTCATTTGGGACAATTCTAACCTTCTTATTCATTCAGCAAAAATTTTCTAAGATTTTACTGTATTTCAGCTACGTCAGCCTGCCTTTAATATAGCGTCTACTTAAGTATCATAATAATTGCCACTGTGGGGGGATATTCAAACCAGTTTTCTCAAACTGAAGACTATCATTGAACAAACTTATATTAGCAATAAATTGGAAAATGGAAGGTATCCAGCGGCATAAAAGTGAGGCAGAGGGTCATTTTATACATAAAGCAAATAATTACACACATATGTTAAAAGGGCCCTGTAGGATACACAACAAAACTTTAGCAGTGGCTCTGAGTGGCGGGATTACTGCTCATTGCTGTTTTATTCTTTATGCTTGCGTATATTTTCCAAGTGTTCTACAATAAATCTGAGTCAACTTTTATCCCTAATGCTAGAAAATGGAAGTCTACCTCTTTAGACTGGAAGGCAGACATCACTGATTGCAAAACTGACAGCCATTTCTCCCTTTTCCTTGCAAAGAGAAGAACACTTTTGCTCAGACATCGAGAGTGAACATCTAGGCCCAGAACCAGGGAACTAAAATCAAAATTGTTCTACACCAAGTGTATTGGCGTTCTAGGGCTGCCATTAGAAATTTCACAAACTTGAATCACTTGAAGCATTGTAAAGTATCCTCTGTCATTTCTCAAGGTAGAAGAATGAAATCAATGTGTTAGCAGAACCATGCTCTGTCTCCTAAGACTCTAGGGGAAGATCCTTTTTTGCCTCTTCCTGACCTCCAGTGGTTGCCAGCAATCTTTGGCATTCCTTGGTGCCTAGATCCATGACTCCCATCTCTGCCTCTGTGATCAGATGGCATTCTCTCTGCTTCCGTGTCTATTCCCAAATCTCTCTCTTCTTATATGGGCAGCAGTCATTAGATTAGGGTCTTAACTTGACTACATCTGCAAAGACCCTGTTTCCAAATAAGGTCCCACTCAAAGGTACTGAGGGTTAGAACTTGCACATATCTTTTGCGAGGACACTGTTCAGTCATTTCATCAACAAATGGTGTCAGAAGAACTGTATGTCTACACACAAAAGAATGAAGTTGGGCCCTTACCTTACACCATCTACAAATTTAACGCAACCTAGATTAAAGACCTAAATGTAAAACCTCTCAAACTATAAAATACTTAGAAAGAAACATAACGAAAAAGCTTTGTGACATTGGATTTGGCAAGGATTTCTTAAACACATAAAATTAACCATTATAGTGTTAATGTCTGGAATATATAAATAATTCCTCCAACTACAGCTCAACCACAAAAAGATAAACAAATTTAAAAATGAGCAAAGAACATGAACAGACATTTCTCCAAAGAAGATGTGCAAATGGGTAATAACAAGCACGTGAAAAGATGGTCAACATCCTTAATCATTGGGGAAAAGCAAATCAAAACCACAGTGAGATATTACTTCAAACCCACTGGGATAGTTACTGTCCAAAAAAAAAAAAAAAACAGAAAATAACAAATGTTGATGAGGATGAGGAGAGACTGAAAGTCTTGTGCACTATTGGTGGAAATGTAACATGGTACTGCTTTTGTGGAAAACAGTATGACAATTCCTCAATTGAACATAGAATAACCCTATGATCCAGAAGTTCCACATCTGTGTATACATCCCAAAGAATTGACAGCAAGGTCACAAAGGGATATTCGGACACCCATGTTCATAGCAGCTTTATTCACTATAGCCAAGAGGTAGAATCAACCCAAATGTCCATCAGTGGATGAACGGATGAGCAATATGTGATCTATACATAGAGTGGAATATCATCCAGCCTTAAAAATAAGGAAATTTGGACATATGCTACAATATAAGTGAAGCTTGAGGACATTTTTCTAAGTGAAATGAACTAGTCACAGAAAGATAAATACTGCGTGACTCTACTTATATGAGGTACCTAGAGTAGGCAAATTTATAGAAACAAAAAGTGGAATGGTGATTGCCAGGGGCTTGAGAGAAAAGGTAAAGGGAAGTTGTTGTTTAATGTGAGTAGGGTTTCAGTTTTGCAAGATGAAGTTCTAAAGATAGGTTACACAACGATGTGAATATACTTATCATTATTGAACTATACACTTGAAAATGGTTAAATTGGAAACTTTTATATTATGTGTATTTTATCGTAATTTTAAAATTGTTTTAAATAATAATTTAAAGTTTAGTTGGAAATTGACTAAGCTCAGATATCAAATGCAGAAGATTTTAGTCTTAAAAACCTTCTATTGCATTGAATAAAAATGTCAACAAGTCTGGGGCCGTCTTGCCTGTGTGCACCCATCCACCTGTAGTGCCCATTATCGCCACCATCAGGAGGGCAAAACCCACAGATTTCACAGGGACTAGGACAGGGGAAGAGACAGATTTGATATGGGGATGGTGGTGAGGATCAGACCCTTTATCAGCCAGAAGTGACAAACTCGTCTGAGATGGAGAGGCAAAACCCATCATCTTTCCCTGCTAAAAGTGAGAGCCTAGCAATCACCTTGACCTGATTCACATATTTAGAATACTCCGTTGAACCACATCAGGATGCACATTTTTGGGGAGAGTTCAAGCGATTCTCCTGCCTCAGCCTCCCAAGTAGCTGGGATTACAGGTTCCTGCCACCGTGCCCAGCTAATTTTTGAATTTTTTAGTAGAGACAGGGTTTCACCATGTTGGCCAGGCTGGTCTCAAACTCCCGAACCCAAGTGATCCTCTCGCCTCAGCCTCCCAAAGTGCTGGGATTACAGGCATGAGCCACTGCACCCAGCCAGGATGCAAATTTTTAAGTGCACATAAAACATCAGTTAAACAATATCCTAGGCCATAAAACAGATACCAATACAGTTTTAAAAATTGCCATCCTACAAAGCATAATATCAATGACATCAAAATTAAATTTAAGATCAGTAACAGAAAGAAATCTGGGAAATTTACATATGGAAATTAAACAATAATTTTCTAAATATCCAATGATTTAGAGAGGAAATCCCAAAGGAAATTAGAAAATATCATGAACTAAATAAAATTTCAACACAATAGATCTAAATTTATGGAATAAAGCAGAGCTCAGAAAGAAATTTACAGCATGTATAAAAATTAACTCAATATCAATTTTTTTTCAGGCATTAAACTCTGTCCTGTGATCCTTCACACTTAGGAAAGAGATTATTGTATATATATTGCTTCAGGGAAGATAGGGCATGACAAAAAGAGAAAAATAAGAATTCTTTTACTTTTGAGTTTCAAAAAATTGAAGAAGAGGTAACTACTACAAGCAAAGAAAACCACAGGCTAATATTCCTGAGGAATGTAGATGCAAAAATCCTCAAGAAAATACTAGCAAACTGTATTCAATAGCATATTAAAAGGATTGTTCAACATAACCAAGTGGAATTTACCCCCGGATGCAAAGATGTTTCAACATATGCAAACCAATTAATGTGATATACCACATTAACAGAATGAAGAATAAAAATCACATGATCATCTCAGAAGATGCAGGAAAAAACAATTGGAAAATTCAATACATTTTTGTGATAAAAACTCTTATCACTGTAGGTATAGAAGGAATTTACCTCAACATAATACAGACTGTATATGAAAAACTCACAACTAACATCATACTCAAGGGTGAAAATCTAAACACATTTCCTCTAAAATCAGGAACAAGACAAGGATGCCCACTCTCATCACACTAGTCAACATAGTACTGGAACTCCTAGCTAGAGCAATGAAGTGATTTTTTAAAAAAACAAAAGGCATTCAAATCGGAAAGAAAAAAGTAAACTTGTCTCTGCAAATGACATGACCTTATATATAGATAACCCTAAAGACGCCACGAAAAACTGCTAGAACTAATAAACAAATTTAGTAATGTTGCAAAATACAAAATTAACATACAAAAGCCAGTTTCATTTCTTTTCTTTTTTTTTTCTTTTTTTTTTTTTTTTTGAGATGGAGTCTCACTCCATTGCCCAGGCTGGAGTTCAATGGTGCGATCTCGGCTCACCTTAACCTCCGCCTCCTAGGTTCAAGCAATTCTCCTGCCTCAGCCTCCCGAGTAGCTGGGATCACAGGCGCACGCCACCACGCCTGGCTAATTTTTGTATTTTCAGTAGAGATAGGGTTTCACCATATTGGCCAGGCTGGTCTTGAACTCCTGACCTTGTGATCCACCTGCCTCAGCTTCCCAAAGTGCTGGGATAACAAGCGTGAGCCACTGCACCCGGCCCATACACCAATACTGAACTATCTGAAAAAGAAAGAAAGAAAACATTCCATTAGTGACTCTCTCTCTCTCTCTCTCTCTCATACACACACATACACACATACACACACACACACACACACACACACACACAAAATAGCATCATAATAAAATTATTTGGAATAAACTTAAGGAGTTGAAAAATCTGTACACTGAGAACTGTAACACATATTTGAGAGAAATTGAAGATGCTGCAAATAAATAGAAAGATATTCCACGTTCATGGATTGAAAGAATTAATATTGTTAAAATGTCCACACTACCCAAAGTGATCTACAGATTCAATGCAGTCCCCCTTGAAATTCCAATGGCATTTCTCATAGAAATGTTTTTTTTAATTCTAAGATTTATATAAGATCACAAAAGACCCCAAATAGCCAAACAATATTGTATTGAGCAAAAAAGAAGAAAGCCAGAGGTGTCACACTACCTAACATTTGGCAGATTTTAAAAGTTACATAAACTTCCATATGACCCAGCAATTCCACCTTCAAAAAGAAATGAAGACATATGGCTGCACAGAAACGTATAGGTTGAGTATTCAAATCAGCATTATTTATAATATCCTAAATGAGGCCGACTAAATGTCCATCAACTGATGAATATGGAACCAAGTTGTGATATAACCACATAATAAAATATTACTCAGCCACAAAAATCAACCACTGATAACATGTAACAGCAAGGATTAATCTCAACATCATCGTGCTAAGTGAAAGTCACAAAAGGCTATATAATATTTGATTACACATATATGTAATTTCCAGAAAATGCAAAGCTATAATAAAAAAAAAAAAACCCATTAGGGGCTGAGAGAAAGAATTGCCCACAAAAGAGTGTGAATGAACTTTGTTGAGGTGATGGAATATTCTAAATCTGGATTATGGTGATTGTTGCACAATTGCGTACATTTATTTTTATTTATTCTTATTTTATTGAAAGTGATCTCTTAGAAGAAGGAAAAAATGCATAAATTTAATAAAACTCACTGAACTGCAATTTATAAAGGATGAGTTTATTATAGGTAAACTATACCTGAATAAAGCAGTTATGGAATGCCTAGCATAGCGGAGGCTGGTGTACTGTGGGAAAAAACTCAATATAGTAGTCCGCCCTCAAAGATAGAATGAGAGTAGCTTAAATTCTAGTTTTAATTTGACTAGAATTTTTATTAAAGTTATGCAGTAAAGCTCACTGTGTCACTTTTAATGAAGTGTCTCAAATATGGCTTAAGCACATTTAATGTACATCTAATGAGGTTCTTTGGCCAACTAATTATTGAGCATGTTTAATGGAGTTTAACAATTGCATATAAGATGCCTAACTCTTTCTACATACATCTATCCTTATCAAAATACTTTTAAGATAATGGATTTCACCCACATAGATTGCCTTTGTGAATGAAAATCATTATACTCTCCCACAATAATAGTACTTATATTTCTATCAGTTATTAAAACCTATCAGATTAACATATATAAGTCATTAGTATTGGCATCCTGTGTGGATTTGTGATTTTGTGAGCTTAGCATATTTTAACGAGATTTAGACAAAACAGGGAACTTCATGCACTATGCTTCATTTTTGTAAAAGCAGAAAAAATATACTGGTTTTGTGTTTGGGGCAGGTGAGAACAAGCCTGCAGGTCATTATAAATCAGATGTGGAGAAACGTAGCTTTTTCAAGGCACACACTTTGAAAGCCAAAGTCAAGCCTAGATTTATTTTCTTGAACACACAGAGTGGGCATTAACATAAATTCTCCTGGAACGGGTGTGAAAAGATTAGCTATTTAGCAGTTGCTACGGAGCCTACAATGAGACAGGATTGGAATCCTTTACTTGCACGTCAATTCTAAGAATTTTATTACAAGACAGATCATGTCTCTTCATAATAGCTTCTCGGGTTCCACATTTTCAAACACCCCTCGGTTTGCAAATGACCAGCAGTGCATTCTCCATGCCTGTTCTCTCCTTTTAATTTCCATTCCTTAATTTCTTAGCATCCTTCCTGCATTGCATTAAAGCAGCTGTTGGAGTACATTTCTTATTTTCTCCTGCAATCACTTTTATGAAGTTTTCTAAATGTCAACTTCTAAAGTCATATTTTGCCAAGCAGAATTTACATTTCAAAACCTATGTTTATGCACATATCTAACTCAATGGTTGAGAAAATGAAATAATCTTTACAACCCTCATTAAAGATGTGGTTTGAAAGTCAGGATATGTTTTTACATTTGATGTGGTTTTCTTTCTCTTTTGCTTAGAACATCCTTTCCAAAAATTGGGTAGGTTGTGATTTTTTCAAAAAATATATACTTTACTTTTTTTTACTGAATCCATTGACCCTTGAAAACAGAGACCCAATCGTGTAAAAAATAATAATAATATCATCTATAGGCCAGGGTTAGCCGGGCGTGGTGGCAGGTGCCTGTAGTCCCAGCTACTCAGGAGGCTGAGGCAGGAGAATCGCTTGAAACTGGAAAGCAAAGGTTGCAGTGAGCTGAGATCACACCATGACACTCCAGCCTGGGCAACAAGAGTGAAACTCTGTCTCAAAAATAAATAAATAAATAAAATTTAAAAGTTAAAAAATAAAAATTAATAATATCAGTTTGTGATTTCAAGCTATGCTTCCATGTTACATTGACATAATCACCTTGTTCTTTTCAGACTTCCTCCAACATACGAGGGAGCATGTTTTTTTATAGAATCAATCCTGACCTCACCAAAAATACATCTTATCATGAGGCAGGATATAAGAACTTCCAAAGCTGCTACAGTAGAACATAATTTTCAAAGGGTAAATAATCATTTGAGGGGCTTGAATATAGGAAGGAAGAATAACTCAGGGAAAGAAACCATTTTCTGAAACTGTGGTACCATTCATTCATTCATTCATTCACTCAAGAACTGTTGCGTGCAGATGATGATAGCGTATACTGGGATGAACTCAGCAGCTGCTGGAGACACACAGGGCCCCCTCCCTCATATATCTTGTAGTCTAAAACAGGAGATGGACAATTTTAAAAGTAAGTTAATCATAAATAAACAAAATAAATATGCATTTACTTATACATATATTAACATAAGAATAAGATAATTTCTAACTAGGTGCTACAGAAATGAAAAAGGAGGCATTGTGGTGGAGATTGAATGGGGAGGTGACATGGTTTGGCTCTGTGTCCCCACCCAAACCTCATCTCCAATTATAATCCCTGCATGTCAGAGGAGGGACCTGGTGGGAGGCGAGTGGCTCAGGCTGGTGATTTCCCCGGTGCTGTTCTCATGATAGTGAGGGAGTTCTCATGAGATCTGATGGTTTAAAAGTGTGGTACTTCCTCCTTTGTGCTCTCTCTCTCTCTCTCTCTTTATCTCTCTCTCTCCTGCCATCATGTAAGACGCGCCTGCTTCCCTTTCACCTTCTGCCATGATTGTTTCCTGAGGCCTCCCCAGCCACGTGGAACTATTTGTTAATAAAAACCTCTTTTGTTTATAAATTACCCAGTTTCGGGTAGTATCTTTATAGCAGTGGGAGAACAAACTAATACAGAATGTGATTGTGAGCAGGGGACCTGGGGCAAATAGTAATCGTTCGGTGGTCACAGAAGCCCTGGGAGGTGAAGACATTTGAGCTATGAGGCCATGCTCTGCACTGGCATCCTGTCTCATGTGGATGGCAACTTAGAATCTCCTTGGACCAGAAGGCAGTCTCACCTGCAAGGCAGAGCTAGCATGGTGCTTTCTGACCTCAGCTCTGTGCAGAGTGTTTTTCCCTTACTTCTGTGTTTACTTTATGGCACCATCATTGTATTTTAACATTTCTTAAGCATCAAGCAGAAAACATGTTGCCTAACACTAGTTTGCCAGTTTGCCCTCTCTGTCCAGTCACATGTCTTGAACCATGTCTGAGTGCATGTGTGTTCACAGGTCCAGCAGAGTAGAAGGCACTCTGGAATCACTAAGGAAGGTGACCATTTTTCATGGACAAAACTCACTCTCAGTGGTGCTCACACTTTGCTGCCTATTAGAATATCGTGGGAAGATTTTTAGCCTCCCAAGATCCGGGCTGCAACCCATGACAATGAATTCAGAATCAGAGTGTGAGACCCACTACCAGTGTTGTTTAATCTCCCCAGGTGATTCCAATGTACAGCTAAGTTTGAGAACCACTGAGTGAGAATTACCTGCAAAGATATGAAAAAGAAATACTGGTGCCTGTGTCCCACTCCCCAGAGGTTCTGATATAATTGGAAGAAGCAGGCCCAAGGCATTGAAATTTTGTCAGAGCTCCATGGAGGATTATATTCTGTAGACTTGGTTGAGAACCACTTCTCTGGACCAACCTCAGGTGCCCCAGGACCTTAGGAAGAAAAGATAGTTTGGCTCTATGTTCATGTTTTCTCATGTAATTATTAAGCTGTTGGCCATAGTTAGGGTCACCATTTCAGCTGGCTGATTTTCAACAAACCCATAGCCCGGTGGGGATTGAACCCACGACCTCAGCCTCATTAACACCATGCTCCCACCAGCTGAGCTCATCAGCCACAGCTGCTTTCTTGGCTGAATGTCAGTTAGGATGCTTCTGCCAAAGCCCGGCTTAATGAAATAAAAAATAATAATGATGTATCACAAAGTGGTTATAGTGTGGACCTCCCAACCAATAAAAGAACAATTGGTTATTTTCTTGCTCTGAACTAGAGGAAATCTGATGACGTTTGACTGCTGTAAACATATAACACATTTTATACCTCTAGCTTCAGGAATGGGACAAGATTTGCCAATTCCAGCCAGGAAATGTAAAGCCCTGGAGATATGCACAGGGACCCACCAATGATATATTTTGCTTCCAACGTGGATTAAAATATCAAAGAGAACATGGCCATAATGCACATTCTCTGTTACAAATGGAAGTTAATTGAAAAAGACTTCAATGCTGATTCAAGGAGTGCCCTAAGAGCCCTGTGTTATGTTCAAGGACACGTTTGAGTCTGGCATGCCAGGAAGCGCTTGCATGAGGCTGCCTGAACTTAGCCCTAGGCTTTGTGTTGAACAGCATGAAAGACCTGCCCTTCTAAAGGTTATATTCTGATGTGGTTGAACAGACAGTAAATTCACAGCAAGAGAAAAGGGAGGATTTCTGAGAGTGACGAATGCTATGGAGTAAATAAACAAGATAAGTGGTTTCAAAGATTTTTCCTAACCCTGGCTACATATCATGGTGGCTTCATTGAAGGTGATGATCATGGAATGGAGGGAAGTGGCTGGCAGGTTTGCAGTACATTGAGCACAGTGCTAACCCAATGATCTCATGGATGTGACATAAGCCATCACTCCTGAGGTTTCAGATTGAGCAACTAGGGCACTGTTGCCCCATTTGCTGAGATTTGAATACTGTTAGCAGAGCAGATTTGAGACAGGATGTCAAGAGTTGCTTCTTGAACCCAGTGACTCTGAGACACCCAGTGGAGACATCAGCTAGGCAGAAGAATACTCTTGAGTTCATGGGAGCTCTCAGATGGGAGATCTGAATCTGGAACTGATCAGAACATCAACACCCTGGGACTGGATGAGATCATCTTCTAGGGTGTGGTCTCCACAGTAGTGTGGCTTCACCCCATCCTGTAGACACCCCGAAAACAGAGCTGCTTTGCTGTAGCATAAATTTCTCCGTAGTTTCAGACAGTTGAGAATGAGACCAGTGTCCATAATCTTGATCACAGAGCTACATTTTGAAGAAGGGTCTAATAATCATCTTCATTTTCTCCAAGTCCCCATGATTTTCATCTGTCATCAGTGGGGTTGGAGGACAGGACATGAATCATAGAATCACAGCCCCACATACACAGAAGGAGCTGAGGAAGGGGATGGCCAGGCTGGGGAGCCCCCCCCCTCCAACACAGAAGGAGTTTAGGAAGGGGATGGCTAGGCTGGGGAGACCCCTACACAGAAGGAGCTGAGGAAGGGGATGGCCAGGCTGGGGAAGTAGCAGAGACTGCTGATGTTCTTCCTTTCTCAGGAAAGGGAAGCATAGACCTCAGATGCATTTCCTTGGTCAGCAGGTTATGAAGTCTAAGTCAATGCATGGGTGACTGTGACCAATTTAAAACCCCAGATTGATTTTATCCTGCCTCCCAGAATAATCTTAATTGCATCTACCCTCTTCTCAATTAGTGTGGGCAGAAGACATGTAAATTCATTTTTACACTAGCCTAAAAGAAACATAATTAAGAAGTTGTCTGGTGAAGGCAAGAAAATGCACTTAATGTATTCCAGGGCCAAACTGCAAATGACTTTTGGGTTTTACACTATTTGGGATTAGCCACACCACTGCACCCTCATCAGCACAGATAATCAAGACTTGGCTCCCAGCCCCACCAATAAGTCTTGCTGAAATCCCTGTGGCTTGCAGGTTAAAAAAGGACTTATAAGCACTTTCGGTGCCTCTAGAGGGTTAAAATTCTAAACAAGACCCACTTTTAGGTTTACTGATTTAGTTAAATGAAGTCTGAGAGCAGCTCTTTGATGTTTATCAATTTTCTATGTCCTTTCCATACCAATTGAATTAATTCCTTAGTTTCATGTCCCATAAAACTGATAGGCTTCTCCCAGCCTACAGAAAATTCTGTAGCCTTTGACAATTTGACATGCATTTTTCTGTAGTGATATAGTAGAGGACTGAGAACCCATTTACTTAGAGGCTGCAGGCAAAACCTCCCTCAGTTTCAAAGAGCAGATGCTTTATGCTATCAAGAGGACTCTATCAACAGACATAAATTAAATATTCATGCTGGGTTTCATGGAATTGATGTTTGGAAGCTATAAATGAAGTGTACGTTTCTTAAAAGAACCTTCATTATCAACATCCGTAGTTGTCGATCTTTGATATATGCTGAGTGTACTCAACAGCATCATATTGTCAGACTTTTCTTATCAAGGAGACTGATAAATCACCAGATTTAGTATTTCTGATACAAAGAGTAGCTTGTTATTTTAAAAAGTTACACCCGAAGCTGAGTGTTTACCCTGTGCCTGTCACATTTCTTATAAGTTTTAGCCTCCGTTGTTGGAACTGGACAACGTTGGCACAGCTGGATCACACGTGTGTTGCTCGTCTAGAGGCACCTCAGCAAGGGAGCCTGGATTCAGACCCTCCCGGAGAATCCTGGACCTCCCAATTCAATGGAGACGTCAGCTCTGGAGAAGAGGAGAGAGGCCACAAGGACACATTCACTGAATGATGCCCCGGAATTGCTGAACTTCTGATTTTCCAAGACAAACCAGAAGTCCGGATCTTATGCAGATATTCTCATTTTCAAATGTTGTGATCCATTGAAAAAGAATTAAATCTGTACAGTCCAAACAAATCATTTCCATGGGCGGGATGCGGTCCTTGGAACCCTAGTTGATTAACTGATCATAACAGCATCGGAATTGATTTTTGTTAAATGGAAAGCATTAAACCTGTGTGCCTTGAGGAGTATTATTCAGCTGTGAAAGGAACGAAACACTGACCCGTGCTACAGCATGGATGAACCATGATGGCATCACAGTACGTGAAAGCAGCCAGTCTCAAAAGACCACACATCACATGATTCGATTCAGGTTGAGCATCTGGAACTGGAAAATTCAGGCAGACAGAAAGTAGATTTGTGATTGCCAGGGCTGAAGCACGGTGGTAGTGAGGGGTGGGGAAGTAGCTAAGGACATAGGATTTTTTTTAAGGCAATAAAAATGTTCAAAAATTGACTGTGGTAATACTGCACGTATCTGTGACTATATTAAAAACTAATGAATTGCACACTTTAAGCAGATGAATTTTATGGTATATGAATTTTATCTCAATAAAGCTGCCCAAAACAAAAACTCAAAACAACACAAAAATGGAAAACCTCTAGGTCTTGAGCAAGGAGCTGACATTTTCAGCACGCAAAACCAGCCCACAAAATCTGTGGGTTCCGCACCACTCCCCACCGGATTACTGGACTCATCCCGCTAAACTCAATTCAAAAGTTAAACTGCGGTTTCTAACAACCTTAGGTCAATGGCAGTTCTCCAAAACACACGTCTCATGCTTCTTCACACTGTCTACACCATGTTTTGTTACCATCCACCCAATGTTGCCCAGCTAAGGATTATAAAGGGGGAAACAAATTCATCATCTTGTACACAGCGTCGATGTCCTGGGATGCCCAGGCAGCCTTAGCCTCACATTTAAAATCAGGTAATAAACGTATACACCGTGGAATACTATGCAGCCATAAAAAAGATGAGTTCAAGTCATTTGTAGGGACATGGATAAAGCTGGAAACCATCATTCTCAGCAAACTATCGCAAGGACAAAAAACCAAACACCGCATATTCTCACTCATAGGTGGGAATTGAACAATAAGAACTCTTGGACACAGGAAGGGGAACATTACACACCAGGGCCTGTTGTGGGGTGGGGGTAGTGGGGAGGGATAGCATTAGGAGATATACCTAATGTAAATGATGAGTTAATGGGTGCAGCACACCAACATGGCACATGTATACCTATGTAACAAACCTGCACATTGTGCACATGTCCCCTAGAACTTAAAGTATAATAAAATATATATATATATTAAAAAATAAATAAAAATAAAATCAGGTAAATATTGTGGTTTCCTCTTCCTTGGAAATTCCACTTTAAAAACATCAATCTTAAGAATAAAACTGGCTTAAGGTCTTAAACTCATTCATGTGGCTTTCTCTTATTAATGAAGAGAAGGATGTACAACCCATTATGTGGGGGCCCAAGGTTAATCCAAACCCCTCTCCTAACACAGTGCATTGAAACCCATGGGATTTATAACATAATCAAGTGTCTTCGGAAAAACTCCGACTTGCGCCATATATATATATATATATATATATATTTCCTAACGCAGGACAGATGACAGATTTTCTTAGTGGATCAAAGGAAGTTATTGTTATTATCACTTGGCATCTTCTGTAGCAGTTAACATAATAAATAAAAATCCATATTTGGCCACATGCTTGAGGATGTCAGGTACGTGTGGTCGATGGGTTTAGCAGCTTACTAAATTTAAACAGAGGCAGTAACATGGCCTAGGTTCTCCCCAGAGTTAGAAATTCCTCCTTGAGGGGATTTCAGTAGCACTGCCTAATCAGCTTAAGGAGTTAATTAAACAGCTGTCATTTAGCTTCTTAATTCTGAAACTTGACGCTAAATAAGATTTGAAATTAGTTATGCAAAACGAAGCAGTGCTTTTGTGATACAGGAGATTTCTTCAGGCGGCTCAGAATGAAGGAGACCTTATTCCCAGACAGCAGGGGTTGTGGGGTGACCCAGAGAAATGAATCGGGGGTCCTGGGAAAACATTCACCTCGTTGCTGAGTCCAGACAGCAGGGCAAGAGTTCCTAATGAAGTCACAAAGGGGAGCCCTTAGGCCAGTGCACCCTGCAAATGTGTTTGTTCAAACTTCACAGAACATTTCACAAAAAGTGAGCCAAATGTAAAAGTTAGGAGATCTCACCTACCAATATTGTTTCTTGGCTCCTCTGGGAAAATCAGGACATGGGTCAGTCTGGTTCACATTCCTATAAGGCAGCAATTACCTGGAGCTGTCACTTCGCCCTCTGGCTTAGGTGTGAGGTCCTAGGTTACCAGGTGACCATTACCACCTCCAAGGCCCCGGGTTAGAACCGGAGTTTGACACCACATCCTGGGATGATTGTCTGGGCCAAGGTCTGGTGCCGCGGCAGACAGGGGCAAATGGTATGAGAACCTTCCTGTCCCTTGAGATGCCTCTTAAGTCCTAACCTGTGGGCTCTGCAAACCCACATGCATAGGTAGGTGTGCATGAGAAGAGATGCTCAAGGCCCATGCCCACAGGCATTGCCCTGTGATCCTGGCCAGGCATTTCCTCCAGAGAGAAACCAAATGTCAATTTGCATAGGAATGAAGGCGGCCAAGAACTCATGTTCCTATAGTTCATTCACCCTTTCTTATCGCAAGCCTCCAATGCTTCACTGAGAGTTCACTGGTCTTGGCAATGAAGTCCCATTCCAGAAAGAAGTTTAGTTTCCAGAGCAAACACATGATGCGAAAATAACACGCAATCAACATCACCCTTGAAAGTCCCTCAAACCACTCATAAAATACAGCTTCTACGGCTCGAAACTTCCCGTCTTTCTTTCAGCATTGACACATTATTGTTCATTGGCTGAGCACCAAGTGGAGTTGTTGGCTTGTGCTCAGGGATCCTGGGTGTGAAAAATATGTATCTTTAATACTAAAGCTACTGACTGCAGTGAGATGCTCACACTGTGAGTGGCTGTGGGGGCTGGGGGCCACTGGGTAAACAGCAGGTTCCTGCCTCCTATACTGCAGGACAAACTTGAGTGCATTGAAAGGCACGGCAGGTTATGTCTTCTTCCCTCCTCTTCCTCTCTCTCTTGCTTTTTCCTTTTGCCAGGAACGTAATTGAATCCATGTAAGTCATTGCATATGTTAGGATACTACTAATAAGCAGCCTTATTTACAAATTAATAATGCCAAGCACTGCTTTAACACTTTGCCTGCGTTAACTCATTGGATCCGCATAAGAACTCTCTGTGGTAGATACTACTTGGAACCTTGTTTTTCAGATAAGAAAAATGAGCTGCAGAGAGTTTCAGTAACTTGCAAAGTCACAAAACATGGAAGTGACAAAGCTGGGATTTGAACACAGGCCACCCGAGTCCAAAGACTGTGCGGGTGGCGATTCTCCTGCATCTCATTTAACTCCACAGTGAAGATGAGGAAAGTTGGCCTCCAAGAACTGACATACCTTGGCCAAAGTCCCACATCTGATGCTGTGTAAAGCTAGGACTCAGATCCCTCAGGCCAGGTGCCTGTCTCCACTCCCAGGCTGGTTGAGGAGTTCTTAAAGTCAGGCAGCGTGGATGACGCCAACAATGGTGAACATGTAGCTTTGCTTAGTATGCGCCAGTCATGGCAATAACCACCTTTCATGTATGAAATCCTTCCCTTCAACCCAATAGCATGGAAACTTTTCCAGTCCCGATTTCGCAGATGAGAAAACAGACACAGTGCAGTACAGTACGGTCACTATTTTGCCGAAAGTCACAGAGCTAGTAGGCATAGGAACTGAGATTCAAAGCCAGGCTGTCTGGCCCCAAAGCTCGCACTCCTCACCCTAAGCTCTCCTGTTTCCGTATTTATTTTATATAATGTCTCTAATAAAATATAAACAATATGCACACTGATTATTTCCACTTGGGGAGATCAAGGAAGATGTAGCATTTGAGTTGGGCCTTGAGTTTGCTTAGGATAATTAAAAAATATATAAAATGGAAAAGAAAAAAACAGTTTCTACCTCCCAGGTTCAAGGGAGTCTCATGTCTCAGCCTCCTGAGTAGCTGGGACTGCAGGCGTGGCCACCATGCCTGGCTAATTTTGTATTTTTAATAGAGATGGGGTTTTGCCATGTTGGCCAGTCTGGTCTCAAACTCCTGACCTCAAGTGATCTGCTGCCTCGACGTCCAAAGTGCTGGGATTATAGGCATGAGCCACCGTGCCCTGCCTGCTTAGTCTGATTTTTAATAGCAAGCTCCACTAGTACAATAAAATATTATTTCTAAATAGACTATATTCTGTTTTTGAAAGGTTTGTCTGTTACCTAAAGCCAGCTCTGGTTGCACAAAGCTCACTGTATACAGTGGAGTCCGTACTTGCTGGTGACATGAAGAAAATCAAGAAAATCAAGAATTTTTGCATTCGTTTCTGCATTTTGAAAATTTCTCCCATTTTAAATGTGTATATTTAAAACAAATTTTGTATCAAGTAAAAAGAAGTCCTGATCTATGCAGCAGGTCTAGAGAACATATTCATCGGAACAGAAGACAAAATATTCTGATGGGAGGATCCCCGGGAAAATGGCAAGGTCAGTGAAGAGCTTGGCAAAACCTAAGATTATGAACAAAGTAAATTATATTAACTAAAGAGGAAAAAAAGGAAGGCAATGAGTAACTCCAGGAGACACAAAGTATTATAATGAAAAGAAACAGAATCCAAGGACAATTCTTCGCCCCACCGCAGTGGTTCTTAACTGAGAGTGATTTTTCTCCCTCAGGAGACACTGGCGATGACTGGAGACATTTTGGGCTGTCATACTAGGGGGATGAGGGATGCTACTGGCATCTAGTGGGTGGAGGCCAGAGATGCTGCAATGCACAACTTATAAGGCATGGAACATCCTGATAACAAAGAATTATGCAGCCCAAAATATCAATAGTGTCAAGTCTGAGAAAGCCTGCTCCACAGTGAACAATATTTGTAAGAGTATAATAGATATGTTAGTGGATTTCAACTCTGAGATCCAACCTTTGTACGAAGCACAGATGACTTCATTATGTTTCAGAACACAATGTAGACGTTATCATCCTTGAGAGTATAAAAGTAAAAGTTAGAAATGAGAAAAGTTAGGAAGCTAACACCAGAGATGAACCAAAGAGGAGCTTTAGCAGGGCTAATATTCTCGTCTTGCAAAGCGGGAGGCGGGGGTTATCAGTTATCTATTGCTGCACAAGAAACCAGCAAACCATAGTATCCTTATTACAACAACAGCCATTTATATTATGTTCTGCCATATGGCTCCGGGGGTCTACAGGACTCTGCCAGGTGGCTTCTGCTCAGGGTCTCCTGTTGAGTGCAGCAAGGTAGAGTCTACGTGGTCCTCTGAAAAGCCTCTGCATTTACACATCTGCTGTGGGGGATACCGATTACAGTCTGGGCTATTGACCAGATCACCTGCATGTGGCCTCTCCATGTGGCCAGGGCTTCTTCACAGCATGGTGACTGAGTTCCAAGAGCAAGTGCCCCCAGCAAGAAAACAAGGTTGGAGCTGTCTTGGCTTTTAGGACCTAGCCTCGGAAGTAGCAACCATCACTTCCACTGCATTCTAGAGGAAGTGATGCTTGCTACTTCCGGGGCTAGGTTCCAAAAGGTGATACAGCTAGAGGTGAGTCCTAAGACCGGCCTGTGTTGAAGGGGAGAAAACCAGACTCCACTTCCACATGGCAGGAATGTCGAAGAATCTGCAGACATGTTCTTAAACTATTCAGGGACCAAGGCATTATCTCTTTCTCCCCCCAGCTTTATTGAGGTATAACTGGCAAATAAACATTGTGTATGTTTAAGGTGTATAATATGATGTCTTGATACATATATACATTGTGAAATGATTGCCACTATCAAGCTAATAAATTCATTAGTTCCCAGAGTTACCTTTTTTTGGTAGTGAGAGCGTTTAAGAGCTGTGCTCTCAGCAAATTTCAAGTATGTGATATATTATTATTAACTATACTAAACATGCTGTACATCAAGTCTACAAAACTTACTCATTTTATAGCTGAAAATGTGTACCCTTTAACCAAAATTCCCCATTTCCCCCAACACCTCACCCAGTTCCTGGCAACCACCCTTCTACTCACCATTTCTGTGAGTTCAGCTTCTTTAGATATCACCTATAAGTAAGACGATGCAGTGTTTGTCTTTGATTAGAGGTGTATTTCCTTGAAATTATAAATACAGCCAATAGAGAAATCAAAAGGGGAACATGATCATATTGCCTGAGAAAGGAGAGAAAGTAGAAGGCAGTCAGAGATAAAATTTCATTGATCATACCAGGAAATCAGTAGCTAAAGTCTAAAACTGCTATATCAAAAAAGGGGAATATAGCATATTATTTAGATATATGGGGGAAGACCTTTATAACATAGAAGAGTTGAAAACAATTGCCTGAAGGAAACAAAAATGGAGTTAGGGAAGTGTGGATACGTGCTATGGCATTTCATTGTAAATGCTTTTGGACGGGTAACATTTTAACAATGAGCTTGGATAACCTTGATAAGATTTTGAAATTTACGTTAAAAAGGAAGGGAAGAGCACCATGCATTTGGCTGTTTCAATGGCTTTGAGAAGCCAGCCTCACAGGGAGAAGGCATGACCACATGCCCAGCCTCATGTGGGATCTGCAGCATAAAATCTTGCTGCCTCCCCAAAGGTAGAAGAATTATTTTATTTTATTATTTTATTTCATTTTAGTGTGAGTGCCAAAATGCAATCCCTCTGCATACCATACCACAGCCACGAAACCCAAGAGCTGATGTACTTTAAGAAACAGAGCGGTTTATAAATCTATTTGCAATGCAGGTGCCAATTTGACTGATACTCTGCACTTGTCAAAAGAAGCACACAGGTTATTTATAGCAACACAGCATTATTGCTAATTAGATATAGTATTTCTATGGTCAACTAATAGCTCTTATGTTTAATGTGGAAGAAATAAAAAACCCACAGCCCATCATTGTCGCAGCGTTTGTTATTTATTTGGGAGGCCAGGGGTAGGAGTAGGGGCTCAAATAACAGAGTTTGGCCAAACAAGCAAAAGACAAGGACAGGGTGATTGGTTGTTATTCTACTGATTAGGTTACTGATCTTTGTTGGGAAATTGATTGAAAAGGTTTTTTTAAGAAGTCAACCACAGTTAGGAGGACACATTGAGGAAGAAAGGGATGTGAGACCTTCATACTAACTTAGGCTGGACCTGCCCAAGCTCATTACAGCAGAAATCAGGGCAGTAACCAGGAGATGAAGGGCTAGCCACCCAGCCTATGGAGGAAATTTTGAGGTTTCATATCTGAGCAATCTATCCTGCTGCCCAGAAGGACAGCCCAGAATTTAATGATTAGGTATAGAGTGAGTTGCTGAAGCTGAATTTGGAAAGTGTTGTGTATTAATCAGGATAAGTTGGGTTATATTGGAATAAAAACTTGCTCCCAAATCACATTGCCTTAAGACAAGAAAAGCCTAATTATTCCTCCTGCTGTATGTCCTGTGTGGGTCAGGAGGAAGCTCTTCTCCACGTGTGACTCAGGTAACCAGGCTAATGGAGGCTCCAGCATCTCCTCACTGCATCATCTGGAACACAGAGCCTCCTTGGTGGCCGTGTCAGGTGAGGAGAAAGAATAGGCAATTGAACATGAAAGCTGTATTGCTTCAACCCACAAGTAACAAACAACATTGACCCGTACATTTTAGTGGCTAGAAGTGTTCACAGGTCTCTTCTGAACTGTAAGGACCTGGAAAATATGAAGGAACAAATGGCATATTCTCGGAGCATTCCTTTGTCCTCTGTAAACTGGAATTCACCTGCATGGCTGGCCCAACACCATCAAGCATGGTTGGCCAGGCATCTCCTCTGATTGGTCAGTGGCTATGCCATCCCAGGGGTGGTTGTTGGGCTTTTTTTTTTTTTCATTTTTAAATATTACGCCTGAATATGATATAACAGGAGGAAAAAAATCTTTTTATACCTGATCTGGACATCTGTCTTTAAGAGGTTTATTTCTTTTTCCATGAAACGTAAATTCACAATTCTTGTATCCGTTTGACATTTAATGTCCTCAAATTTAGTCTGTGGTGGACAAAAGAATCTTACAAGGTACCATTTCTTTATGTCGCTGGGAGATGGGGTGAAGCATAGAGGGTACATAGTTCCAATATTTAAGAGAATGAATAGACTTAGCAGAACATGAGTTTCTGTACTATAACATCAGGAGAACACGAGGCCATGGAATGTTGACACATGTAGTGGAAAACTGTTGCAGCTGCCCACAAAATACTCTCTCTGAGCTTTGAGAGCTCTCTCCACTGTGTAAATCTCATCCCCACAAGGTACTTTCCAAAAATCTACTTGGCTCAGATTTTCCTGAAAGGCAGCAAAGTGTCTGTGAGGGTATATGGGCTTGCGATCCAGTCCCTGCCAACTGGATGCACCTGTGTGAGATTTCGTTTCCAACGTGGGGAAAAGGAAGTGTGTGGGCATCCATTTTGCTGGCTCAGACTGTGGGAGAGGCAATGAGGTTCTAGAACCATCTGTCTGATTTGTAAGCTTTCTAGTCATGACAAGCAGCAGGTTCTTGGTGGCCCACTCTCTGGTTCCAGGCATTGCTCTTGGGAACTCAGCTGAAATCTGTTTCTTCAATCCCATCCATATTCCTGAATAAATCCTTTTCCGCTTGAAAGAGCTAGAGTGGATTCTGTTGTCTGCAACTAACATCCCTGACTGATACAATATTCTTAAAACTGAATATTATTTGCAAGATGTTTTGAGGAATGGGTAAATATGATGAGAAATGAAGTACATATTTTAGAGAACAAATATATTAGCAATTCAAGAAGTTGCCCACACACCAGGAAGAGAGTAAGAATGTTGGAAATGGCAGACAGAGGCGAACTGTGCTCCCAAAAGGTGCAAGGCCAGCTCCCTGTATGGTGTCAGCCCTACTGATGTGGAGCCTTCATCCAGGGCATGTGGAGCCTTGATCTCTGGATGACCTGCAGGGCTACCACCATGTTTGTATCCTTAATTTAATGAAGTATTTGATATGATCTTATCAAGTGAGCTTTCAGCCTCTCCAAGGTTTATAAGCACATGAGTGAAGAAGAATTACTTCTGAAACCTGCTGTTTAAATCAGTGTAAATGCTGGCCACACACCTCCATGCAAGTTGCAGGCCCAGGTGTGCCCCCTTTTCAAAAAGTAAGTCACATTTTTGTTCCCTACTTTATCATGGGGAATTTCTCTCCTTGCATGGGAGCAACTGAGTCCATTTCTGGAGCTGCTGTCTCCGGTGCCCTTATACGCCCTCTTGGCCCTCGTTCGTGCTGGGCAGTTGCACCCATGTGAGCGAAGACTTGTCATTCCCTGACATATTAGTCTGTTCTCACACTGCTAATAAAGACATACCCAAGACTGGGTAATTTATAAAGGAAAGATGCCTAATGGACTCACAGTTCCACATGGCTGGGGAAGCAAGGGCATGTCTTACATGGTGGCAGGCAAGAGAGCTTGTGCAGGGGAATTCCCATTTATAAAACCATCAGATCTCATGAGACTTATTCACTATCACAAGAAAAGCATGGGAAAGACCTGCCCCCATGATTCAATTACCTCCTACCAGGTCCCTCCCATGACACATGGAGATTATTACAATTCAAGGTGAGATTTGGGTGGGGACACAGAGCCAAACCATATCACCTGAGCTGGCCCCACCTCCAGGCATTATGGACATCTTTCCATGTTTTGCTCCAGGGTTTTTCTGACATCATGGGAGCCCATTCCCAAGCATGGAGTTTACACACCCGGGGAAACCTGTAACCCCAGGAATGCAGGCTTCTAGCCTTTAGTCAGACAATTCTGGGAGAATCCTCCCTCTGTAAATCGAGTTCCTCTGGGCACCACTGCAACCTTGACAACACACCATTGTGTTGGCTTCCCCTGTCACTGTCTCCTGCTGCTTACGCCTCACTCCCGCCTCCTGCAAAGAGATTAACTTGTCTTAGGCCTGTTTTGGGGGGAATTCAAATGAACAAGATGTCCAAGTTGCACTTTGGTGACTGAGATTGCTACTTGCTAAAGAAACAAAAAGTTTGCATCTCAATGACAGTTTAGAATGAAACCTCAAAAACCAATATACTTTGATCTAATCACCTTGCTGGTCAACTTCATTCAAAAGGGTACAGTTATGTGCCATATACCAACATTTCGGTCAACAATGAACTGCGTATACCACTGTGGTCCCATAAGATTATGCTACTGTATTTTTATTCTCAGTTTTCTATGTTGAGATACACAAATACTTACCATGGTAAATACTTACCATGGTGTTTCAGCTGCCTGTAGCATTCTGTGCAATCACCTGCCATACAGATGTGTAGCCCAGGAACAATAGGCTATGCCGTATGGCCAGGTGTGTAGTATGCTCTGCCTTCTAGGTTTGTGGAATATACTCTATGATGTTCACACAACGATGAAATCGCCTAACAATGCATTTCTCGGAATGTATCCCCATCCTTAGTGACCCATAACTGTTCACTGTAACCAAAATAAACTGATTCTCACTACCTAACATTTTTAAAAATGAATTTATTGCAAGAATAGGGGCTCTCTCAGAGGATGAATTTAAAAGCTGGACAAAAAGCCCTCAGAAAAGGTAGGAACCAGGACAATGCTAGAGATAGATCAGGATAAAGGGCATAGACTTTTCAGGTGCCACAAATGAGACAAATGAAATTCAGCTATTCTTGACCCGGCCTCACTCCCTTTGAGTGTAATTCAAGTCCCAGGGAGAGAGGCTGCTGGTCCTAGCTCCGGAGATGCCTGCCTACTTTTGACCAGGGGAGAGCGTTATTGTGCCCCCACCAAGCTTCATGCACAGGAGAAGTGATAGCTTCCCAAAGGAAAATGGATGTCCTCTTATACAAAAGGAGGTAGGAAAAGCAAAAACTATCTATCCTAGTGACTCATTGTTTTCCTTAAAAAATGTTATGAGGAAATGTCTCAATATGTAACGCAAATCCTGTTTGTTTGAAAGTTTATGCCTACTGTCTCATGTCTATTAACAGCTAACCTCTGTAAAAAATGCTACCTTTTTGCAAGTCTTCAAGCTTAATGGGCCAGTTAGCTTTTATGTCCATTTCTTCAAAATTCCCCTTTCTCAAATGTGCCTCACACAGAGTTAAGTGATGGGAACACACTGCTTAGAGGTTGAGGTGTTGGGCTGTGAGCTGTTCTGGTTGGATAAGCCTCCATCTTCCTCTGATGCCTTCCCCGAGCCAATTTTGCACAGGGCAGGGAAGGCTGGAGGTTCAGGTGGCGCTCCGTTTCATTTGCTGTTTGGAATGTTTGCCCCCTCTAACCTCCTCCAATGGGGTGCTCAGATTGGGTGCATTAATCACTGTGATGTTAAGCACTGTGTCCTCTCTGTGACAACTCTCTGTGTCCATGTGTTCTCAACATTTAGCTCACACTTATAAGTGAGAACATGTGGTATGTTGTTTTCTGTTCCTGTGTTAGTTTGCTAAGGATAATGACCTCCAGCTCCAACCATGTCCCTGCAAAGGACATGACCTCGTTCTTTTTTATGGCTGTATAGTATTCCATGGTGTATAGTTAAGCACTTTGATGCTTTTGTTTAGGAAGGAATCAGTTGATGCAGCTCACATTACACTATTTTTATTTCTTCTAACCGTACTCATCTATTTTAACATTTATGGGATCATTTCACAACCATATATTAAAATGGCAAGTGATCTCTAAAGAGGCTGTAATAACTTTAGGGACAAAAAAGAACAACAACAACAACAACAAAAAATGTTTTTTCCCGTTACAAAAAAATAAGTCAATTTAAATAAGTCAATTTAACTTACTCGTTTTGGCTTAAGACCGATAAGAAATCATGAGGCGGTCCCCTTTCAGGTTGCATCAGTTAAGATGGTGATTATCTGTGAGTAACAGAACTTGGAAATCAATGGTTAGAATGAGCAAGCTCTTAATTCTCTCTGCAAACATGCTTGGAGGTGGATGCCCAGGGTGAGTGTGGCCATGCTTCTGGCATCCAGGCGCTTCCTTTTTGACTAGTCACTGTATTCGCTTCCTAGTGCTGCTGTACTGAAGTGATGAAGTAACACAACGTGATGGCTAAATACAAGAGACACTCACTCCATCACTGTTCTGGAGGCTGCAAGTCTAACATTATGGTGTGACCAGGGCCATGCTCCCTCTGGAGGCTCTAGGGAAGCATCCTTCCTACCTCTTCCAGCTTCTGTGGGTTGTGCCAATTCTTGATATTCCTCAGCTTACGGATGGATCACCCCAATCTCTGGCTCCATCTTCCTGTGCCATCCTCCCTGTGTGTCTGTCTGTGTTTTCTCTTCTTGTAAGGACACCCACAATCCCACCTTAATCCATTAAGACCATGTCTCAACTAATCACATCTACAGAGATACTGATTCCAAATAAGCTCACATTCAGGTGGACATGAACTTAGTACTCAACACACCATGGTCATCATTCATCTGTGCTTATTTATCAGACATTTGGGAGGGCATTTATTAGTTACCAGGTGCTGTTCTAAACACTCTACAAATACTAACGCACCAAATCTAGGGCAAACCCAAGAGGTACATACCATCATTATGCTCATGTTATAGCTGAAGAGAATTAGGCACGAAGAGTTAAGTAACTTGCTTGGAGCCACCCAGCTGGTAGTGTCACAACCAGGATTCAAACGCAGGCAGTCTGATATGGTTTGGCTGTGTCCCCACCCAAATCTCATCTTGAATTGTAGCTCCTATAATTCCCACATGTTGTGGGAGGGACCTGGTGGGAGATAATTGAATCATGCATTCGGGCGGTTTCCCCCACACTGTTCTCATGGTAGTGAGTAAGTCTCAGGAGATCTGATGATTTTATTTGGGGTTTCCCCTTTCACTTGGCTCTCCTTCTCTCTTTGCCCCACGCCATGTAAGACATGCCTTTGTTCTTCCCTCACCTTCCGCCATGACTGTGAGGCCTCCCCAGCCACCTGGAACTGAGTCCATTAAACCTCTTTTTCTGTATAAATTACCCAGTCTTGGGTATATCAGCAGTGTGAAAACAGACTAATGCACAATCCAAGAGAGAGTCCCTGCACTTAACTATTAATAGTTCACTACACTGAAACCACGTGTCTTTTAACCACATACCACCACCTTTGAGTCACAAGATGCGGTTTAACTCCAACATTATCTGTGCCTAGTGGGCAGGAAGAAAGGAAAGACATCTTTCAGAATCTGCTTAGTTCTTCTTATTTTTTTCACCTTAATTTAATTTTTATGTAACTCTTATTTTAAATTAAGGAGTACATGTGCAGGTTTGTTACAAAGGGAAATGTGTCATGGAGGTTTGTTGTACCAATTATTTCCCCACCCAGGTATTAAGCCTACTACCCATTGGTTGTTTTTCCTGATCTTCTCCCTCCTCCCAACCTCCACCCTCACATAGGCCCCAGTGTGTGTTGTTACCCTCTATGTGTTCATGTGTTCTCATCATTTAGCCCCCACTTATAAGCGAGAACATGTGGTATAAGCGAGAACAGGTGGTATGTTGTTTTCTGTTTCTGTGTTAGTTTGCCAAGGATAATGGCCTCCAGCTCCAACCATGTCCCTGCAAAGGACATGATCTCATTCTTTTTTATGGCTGCATAGTATTCCATGGTGTATATGTATCACATTTTCTCTATCCAGTCTACCATTGATGGACATCTAGGTAGATTTCATGTCTTTGCTATTGTGAATACTGCTGCAGTATACATGCACATGCCTGTGTCTTCATGGTAGAATGATTTATATTCCTTTGGGTCTATACTTGGTAATGGGATTGCTGGGTCAAATGTATTTCTGTTTTTATCTCTTTAAGGAATCACCACACCGTCTTCCACAAAGGTTGAACTAATTTACACTCCTACCCACAGTATATAAGTATTCCCTTTACCCCACAATGTCACCAGTATCTGTGGGTTTTTAAAAATCTTTTTAATAATAGCTATTCTGACTGGTGTGAGATGATATCTCATTGTGGTTTTGATTTGCATTTCTCTAGTGATCAATGATGTTGAGCTTTTTTATGTGAGTATTGTCTGTGTGTCTGTCTTCTTTTGAGTTTTTGTTTGTTTTTTCACAAAATTTTCTGGAAGTCTCACTAAATGACTTTTATTGATATCTTCTGGGCCAGAAATGTGTCAGAGATTAAGGGCAGCCAAAAACTATAGTCATTTTATTCAGGCATGTTACAGCCACAAATGAAATTGGGGTTTTGTCAGAAAGAAAGGCAGAACAGACATTGAATGGGCAACAAACTGTCTAACACAGAGATCAATCTCTTAAGATGTTTAAAAGCTTCCCTTGTGCAGTGTTTTTCTCTATCCATTATTTTCCTTGTCTCTTTTACAATTAATTTTCAAAGGTCAACATGAATAAATGACTATGCTGATACTTGAAGCATAACATCAGGATACCAGAAACATGAGGAAATTTAAAAAAACAAAAATCAAAATAAAAAGCACTCTAATTCTGGTTCCAATCCATCAGACCACTGCATGACAGATTACTTCAGTGATGTTGTAGCAGACTCAGTTAGGGCCCTACACATTTCCCTTGTACCCTAGCACAGCAGTGTTCTCCAGACCAGGTCCAAGTGTCACCATCCATCGGGAGCTTCCTTTGAAATAGTAGAAGTCTGTTTTGTCTGCACATGCAGTGGGCTGGAAGTGCTAAGCAGTGGTCTGTTTAGGAGCAGCACTTAGGTTTGGTGTATAAATACCCCAGCTCCCTCAGCCCTCAACGAAACTATTCTTAGGTGTATATTCTAGAGAAATCCCCTGCAGGGAAATACATCATAATAGATTTCAATCTATTGAGATACATACACATTTACACACTGCTACGGTTGGAATGTCTGTTCCCCCAAACCTCATGTTGAAATGTGATCCCCCGGGTTGGAGGTAGGGCCATGGGAGGTATTTGGGTCATGGGAGTGAATCCCTCATGAGTAGGTAAAGTCCCTCTCTGGTTGGCAGTGGGCGTGGGGCAGTGATGGAGTTCTCAGCATTGTTAAAAGCCTGGCACTTCCCCTGTTCTTCTCCCTTGCTTCCTCTACTACTAGGTGATCTCTGCACATGCCTGCTCCCTTCGCCCTCCTCCACAAGGCTTTCTCCAGATGCCCAATCTTTCAGCCAGCAGAATCAGGAACCAAGCAAACCTTTTATTCTTATAAATTACCCAGCCTCTCTAGGTTTTTTTGTTTTGTTTTGTTTTGTTTTGTTTGTTTTGAGAGAAGGCCTCGCTCTGTTGCCCAGGCTGTGGTGCAGTCGCACAATCACGACTCACTGCAGCCTTGACCTCGCTGGGCTCAGGTGGTCCTTTCACCTAGCCATTCAAGTAGTTGGGACTACAGGCATGTACCATCACACCTGGATAAACTTTTTTCTATTTGTTTGTAGAGACAGGGTCTCACTGTATTGCCCAGGCTGGTCTCGAACTCCTGGGTTCAAGTGATCCACCTGCCTCAGCCTCCCAAAGGGCTGGGATTGCAGGTGTGAGCCACTGCACCTAGCCTGGTATTTCTTTATAGCAATACAAATGAACTAAGACACACACACAGAATATACAATATATGTCGTGAAATACATCATCCCCTGCAGGATCAGCCCCAGGTGCCCACTGTGATAACTGGTTTAATCTACACAACTTGTTAGTAGCCTCCTTTTCCCCGTGTCACTTGCACACTCTCCTATTGAAGTTTCCTGAATGTCCCAGATAAATTGCTCTTGAATCTTTGTCCCAGGATCTACTTCCAGGCTGGCTCAAACTAAGACATGGGTCATTATTTCTCTAGCAAGACAGGGGCTGTTATTGTTTCCCTATAATGGATGACAGTGAGCCCCCAGGAAAAATATCTGAAGCCTCACTTTAATGGTGATACCTTCTCAGTGCCACATCCAGCCTATTCTCTGCTATTCTACCTCCTCCTTGACTCTGGAGTGCCTAAAGTTCTGTAGTGCTTTGTCAGAGATCCTTACTGGCACACAGATAATGCCCAAGTAGCAGAAAGGGTGTATGAAGTGACAATAAGGATTATGATTGACTGACGGGAAGGAGATATGTTTTCTAAAGAGAGTCTGTGCCTTTATTTCCTAGGCTCTGCAGTGCTGTGATAAGGTGACCACGCAGCAATAAGGAAGCTGAGCTTTCAAGGGTTTTCTGGGGTCCAAAAATCAGAGCAGTTATAGGTCATATCTCAGGCAAAGCTAAGGCTTTACAGGTACTTCTGCCACTGAACAAGGGTCTCTTTTGTCCTCCTCTTATCTGAAGACTTCTGTGAGTCATCCCCGTACCATTCACCTCCTGGAAAAGGCAAAGCTGTCCAAAACAGAAAATTCGTGACGTCAAAGAATTGGAAATACACAGAGGAGGCAGGGAAATACCAAGCCTGAAGGCTCAGTCACTCAGCCACGCTGAGATCTTGGTAGGCAGAAACACGTATGCTATTCAGAGAAAAAGGCAACACCCCAGACATATGGGCTTACAGCTGCTCATCAGTCATTCCCAGCGTCATTTCTCATTATATTAACCTGAATGTGCAAAAACATGAAAGGCCTTTTGATTTTTATCGTTAGAGTGGAGATGCTCTTCAGTTTTTACCACGAATGTGAGAAACTGTTTTCCCTGAGACTGATGTCAGAAGTGGCCACACTGCTCCCTCGTCTGTCTCTCTCCTTTGTGATGAGCCAGTTTCGGCCAGCAAGTTAAACAGCATTGTTCCACTTTTTTCCAGAATACCACTTGTTCCTTTTGATCCTCCCCCTTTAGAGTAGAAAAAAAAGTTAGGTTGGTGCAAAAGTAATGGTGATTTTTGCCATTAAAGCTAATTTTTCCTGCCTAGAGGCAGCAGGAAATAGCATCATATACTGATTTTGCCCCTTCATGTTTGTGCCATGTTTTTATTCGAATTAAAGTAAAATCAGGCTGGGAACCCACAGAGGAGAAAAAGTGTATGGATAATGGGACTTTGAAGGCCTATGCATATTCCAACAGTTTGAAACATGGTCTCTGAACTTCAGGAGCATTCCAAATTGGAGTCTTGTCTTTTAGAATTAAAATAATGAATAATATATGTATTGCTACATCCAAAGCCTAACCCCAGTGAGCTGGTTATAGACAAATCTCATCCCATAAATGACAAATAAGATCTTATCTAAGAAATAGTTAACATAATGAAAATAGTTATGTAATTTTAGGATGATAAACTTCTATTCCTTCTGCTGGCATTCTACTAACAGGCATTTTACATTTCACATGAGAATCAAAGTAACAAGAATCTTTGCAAGCTCATCTCTCAAAATGACATAGATACAGCCCTACTGAGCTCGCAGTCTTAGAAGGAAAATAAAGCGATTGAATAACCATGAGTGAAAGTAAAATGACAATTGTTTTAGATCCACCCTAACCAGCAACTAGCACCCACCCAGATCTTTTGATGTTATTGTGTCAAGGAAAAGACAGATACGTTCATAGTTAACAGAAGAAACGCAATGTGGCATGTTGATAAAACACCTCTTAGGGACACCACTGGAATGTAATGAGCTGAAACTGAGCAAAGAACATTGTGAGCTAGGACTTGGAAGTTGTATTATACAGAGATGTGGGGTTATATTGGGACTTCTACGTTTTTGTGATAGAAAATGCAATCTCTGCAGAGAAGAATGAGATTCACTTACCGGGTCTTGAGGCTCAGTTTTCTCTATCTGAAAAATGGGCTCCTATGATCTCTCTGTCCCCCACCAGTTAAAAAATCACAAGAATTCTAGAGGAGTCACTGAGGATGAGCATGGGTGTGCTGGAGAGAGAGATGCAGGGTGTCATGAGATCCAGAGATGCTCGATGTCTGGGAAACACCACCGAGGCATAGGTGTGCCTGAAAAAAGGAGATTCATGCATACAGTGTGAGGAGCTGGGGAGCAAGAAGGTGAGGATGTAAATCCCAGTCCTTTCCCTGTTGAGTCCTATTTATGCACTTGACAAACATTAACACCATTCGTTGTAGCTAAGCTCTGCGCTGGGTGCTGGTGAGCAGAAAGCAGATACAGCCCCATGGAGCTTAGAGTCTGGAAGAGAGATAAAGGGATTAAATAACTATAAGTAAAAGTAAAACAGCAACTGTTAGGTGCTACCAAGGGGAAAGGTTCAGGACATTCTTAATTCTGAAAGCAAATACTTGGGGCAAGCCGGGACATCCCTAAAGACACCTGTCTTGAGCTGCTCGATGAAAGAAGGGTTTACAGCAAAACGCATGTTTGGGTGAGTGTGGATGTGTGTGGTGCATCGTGGGTCGCATCAGTGGGGATGTGGGAGTGCTGTTGGAGCCACAGCAACATTCCAGACACGTCTGGAGGCCAGGACCCAATAAAAGCCTAGAAAATTGAAACAGAGTGAAAGCAAGCCAGAGCAAGAGAGCACAGAGAGCGAGGGCTCTCTCCCTGCCTTTGTCTCCCTCACATACCTCGCACTGGTGGTGCGGTGCTGCTCATCAAGCTTCTTTCACAACACCAGGCCCCTCTGGCCATCCTTCGGCGGCTTAAGCTACCGTCGTCATGTCCACGTTTAGACCTATTTGAGTTAGCTGATGCATGGACTCGGGAGCTGGACTTCCCAGGTTCAAATCCTGCCTTCATTAATTTCTAGCTGGGTGACCCTGGGCAAGTGACAAAAGCTCTCTGTGCCATCTGTAAACTGGGAAGAAGAAGAATGTTTGTCTTATCAGGATGCTATGAGGATTGACGAGCCGATATTTGTAAAGCACTTACAAGGGTGCCTGACACATAAGTGTTTGCCAAACACAATATTAGTAATAAATTTCCTCCGCCACCTTTTCTGTCCTCCACCCCTTCCCCATCATAGTTGCCCTGTGGAAATCTGGGTGAGGACAGAACATTATCTCATGGCTGCCACGGTCAGCCAGCTGGTGCGGACTGCCAGGATTTCTGAGCCTGCAGAAGAGGCCAGTGCTGTTTGCAGGGAGGCTGAGGAAAGGCAGGCGGCATACTCCCAGGGACTGGGCCGTCTCAGGAGGGGATGTGATGGAAGGGTGTGTTTGGTCTTCCAGGAGGCAGAAATCCTGAACACAGCCATCCTCACGGGGAAGACGGTGGCCGTCCCGGTGAAAGTGGTCTCCGTGGAGGACGACGGCACAGTGACAGAGCTGCTGGAGTCTGTGGAGTGTAGATCGTCTGATGAAGACGTGATTAAGGCAAGTTGACACCTCCCCGCCCCTGCAGAAACCTGCTGTCATGTCAGCTTCTGTGCTCCTGGACCAGCTTGGGACCTCTGGGACCTCTGGGACCTCTGGGTCCCACAGGATCCCTCCCATCCCATTCTGGTTATCCTGCCACTTAAATCAGGACATTCTCCGTGGCACAAATATTGGACAGAATGAAAAAGTGCTCTGGCTGGTGACTCCGAGTCTGGGAGGCTGTCCCTTGACACTCTGTGTTCGCCGAATGCCCTTGGCCTCTTCCCAGATCCCCAGGGAGATTGTCGTGGGAGGCAGGGACCCGCTTACCCTCCACCCACCCCAGGCAGGGGAGAAGAAGGGAAGGAGCCCTAGAACCTAGATGGATGGGTATGCGGCCACACTCCGGGATGATTCTATAGCACACAGCATTCGTGTAAAATCAATGGTGGTATAAGGTGTACAACTACTCCCAGCTTTGATTTACAGTACTGGCCAAGGGAGGAAGAGGAAATCATTCTCCATTCCTCTGCCCAGCCCACAAAATTCCACATGAGCTAGGGATGTGGATGAACAGCGCTCACCCCTCCTTCCTTCGTCTCAGCCTCTTCTTTCTCTTCTTAAATTGAAATCAAAAATGATTCAAAACAAAGGCACCCTGGGAGACGGATGGAGGAGGCTGGGGAGATGGAGTCTTGCTCTGCCAGGAACCTCATAGCACACTTCCAGCCTGCAGGAGATAAATGGGTTCCCCAGGCTGCCTCCGCCCACTCCAGAGACAGGGCTGCAGTGACAGATGCAGCAGGCACCTCCTCAAAGGAGGAGGCTGCCAACAAAAGCCCGGGACAGCGAGAAGGGCTTCACGAGGCTCCGGGAGACTCCCTCCATATGAGTCCTAGCCATGGCTGGAGCACAGGACAATTCCCGGACAGGAATTGGTGTAACCACTCTGCTCTGAAGCAAACCTTCAGGGAGCATTTTTGCTCACTTAAAACGCAGTCAACAAATGCGAATCAAATCCCCACTAAGTGCTAGGTACTGTTCAAGACTCTAGGACCACATAAATGAGATGGACGTCCATCCTTATGGGTTTCAGAGAGAAGGCAGAGATGTCAGAAAGCAACAGGGCAGCGGAACACATGACATCATACAGCACTCCTACCTACTCATTCCAGAATCTTCTTCACATCAGCACAGGACAACTTCCTTCACTGACTCCAGCCAATATCTAGGCTCATCTTACATTTCTCCCCTCTCTGCACACCCAAGCCTTCATCAAATCCTGTTGGCAGTGCCTTCCAAGGATAGCCAGGATCCAGCCCTCCTCGGGTCCTGCCACCACCCCAATCCCAGACACAATCACCTCAAAGCATTGACCACCTTGCTGGTGACCTAGGGCCTGTCCTTACCTCCTCTCCCATAACCCCTCTTTAGTGCTACAGCCAGGGCGGTCACGGGCGATATGACCATGTCACTCCTCTGCTCGGCCCCTCAGGCTGATGAGTGGACACAGATGTGCAGTTTGAAAGAAGAAATAAGACCTCATGTTAGATAGATCAGTTGGGTGATGACAGTTTACAATAATCTATTACATATTTCAAAATAGCTAGAGAATAATACTAACATTCCTAGCATAAAGAAACAACAAATATCTTAGGTGGAGGCTATCTCAGTTACACTGATTTGATCTCCACAAATTTTATGAATGTATTAAATGGCCACGTGGACCCCAAAATATGTACATTAATTATGGATCAATACTTTTTTTATATAAAAAAAATTCACTGGCTTCCCCTCCTCACAGTAAAAGCCAAAGTATTTACAGAGACAGAATCAAACCTTTGCAGCCATACCTGCTGTAACGCTGGCCTCACGCTAGGCACAGCCCCTCTGGCTGCCTCCACTCTGGCCACACTGGAGACTCGGCCACTCCTGTAACAGGACAGGCATCCCCTCTCCTCCCTCTGCCTTTAACTCTCTTTCCCTGGATGCCTGTACGGCTCCCTCGCCTCATCTTCTCCCCAAGGCCTTTTCTGAGCAGCGTCAGCAAAATCTTCACAGACACCCACAGCACTGCCTTCCCCATCCCTGCTGAACTTCTATTCATATATGCGTATATGTCATACATAGCATACGTTTATGTATTCACAGATACACTATATATTTTTGTTTGTTGTATTCATCTTCTGACTGTCCTCGTTGGAACCTAAGCTCTGTGAGGGCGGTGCTGTATTCATCGTCTGACTGTCCTCATTGGAATCTAAACTCCATGAGGGCGGTGCTGTATTCATCTTCTGACTGTCCTCCTTGGAACTTAAGCTCCGTGAGGGCGGTGCTGTTTGGGTCCACTTTGTTTGCTGCTCTATTCTTATCACAACAGTAGTGGGGGGTTTTTTGTTTGTTTTTTTCTTTT